>NC_000006.12:45211515-45514545 GCF_000001405.40 Homo sapiens | reverse complement strand
CACCCTGGCACCATGTTACTTTACCAGTGACAACTCCAGAAATGTTAAGGGTTGGAGGAAAAAACTGGACTAAACTCAGTATAAACCAGTTTAAACCAGAGGCTCACTCCTACCTGTGGCCTAAGATAGATACATGGCTGGAAAATTAACCAGTTTCTGCTCCTGCCTCCCTACCTGTGAAATGGGAAAGGTACTGTTTTGTGGAAATGTTTTAAGTAACCCTCAGTAAAGTAACTTGAAATAATCTGGCTGTTTTCCGTTACACATGTACATGATAAACAATGACGACTACTCATTTATGCAGCATTTTTCCAATGTTATTTTCAATGGCTTTCCTGGTGAACTCACAGGAATATACCTCAGTAGGAAACTGCTGTAGTTAAGTGTCTCTAATGCTACCATCACTCCCTGAGGTTTTTTTCTTGTAGGTACTGCTAGAGAAAAAAACAGCAAAATCTGCTTCAGCCACAGTGGGTTGGGCAGATGGAAGCCCCAGGGGACCCCAAACAGAAGCAAGTTTGCATAAGTCTATTCTGTCAAAGTGTCCTTTCGGCCCTATGTAAAACAAAACAGCCTCTCAGTATGAAATGCAGAAGGAATAACCAGAACTAACTCAACACCATCAACATTATGCTTTTAATCCCGCATCAGCCTTCGTTATCCCCACTGTGCCTTACTCATCCTTTCCCGTACCTTTAATTAATGTTTGCCTGAAGGCGACGGTGATCCCAGGCAAGGGAAATGATAACTAAAATTCTATACTCTATACAATTCCCCAATACATACTATGTGATTCGTAAAAATGATAACAGGAGTCATAATGAAAAGTGGTAACATGGTTTTCCAAAAAACCTTGCAATTCTCCCTCCACCCCTCTTCTTTCCCTACTCACCCCCATGGGAGTCCATCTGCTGCAGAAAATGTGAGGCACTAGGACCAGAGAGCCCTTTCCTGCTATTTGCTTGAGAAACAAAGCCTTCCCTCCTCCCAAGTTGAAAGAAATAAAGGAGTCTGAACTAATCAAAACCCGCAAGCCTGCTGGTGGAGCTTCAGCTTGTCAGTGATGCAACTCAGCGGAGTGAGTAACGGCTTCGAGCTTTGCAGAAAATGAGAGAGGGAGAGAAACAGAGACAGAAACACAAAGAGAAAGAAAGAAAGGCATTAACCTGGCCAGGAGTCAAACAGGTGCAGGGGCCCGAACGCTGAGAAGAGTATCTGGCAAACGTGGGATCCAATGGGGTGTGTGCCTCTGTGGACGTACGTCATTGAGTGGGGACAATGTTTGCAGTTCATATGTCAGGGTGGACCAAGAGGTTTCTTTTCTTATTCATGGGACTCATATAGTCAGCTAAGGGCCTTTAACTTTTCTCTACTTGTCAGTTTGGAGTTTTTGTGAACACTTTCTGGCTCTCTGTGATGAATTCTCCAGGATAGAGGGGCAGCCAGGTCATCTGTCACACACACTCTCCCCATGGGCCACACATTTCTGTGGTGCCTTTGGAACAGAGGAATTGTGAGCACTGGGCTGCCGGGCTGCAAGTGACAGCAGCATGCATTATGTTTCACAGAAAGTCTGCCTCCTTCTTGAGTTAGCCACTCAGAGGCCACGCATTGTCTTTTAAGATTCTTCCAGGCCTCACAGCACTTCAAATGACTAGTTTCTGACAAAGATCCTAAGTTTGCAGGTGCTCTCTCTTGGAACTGACTAGCTTGGACTCCTGGGACTTATAAGCCTTTAGGAATGGAGGGCTGTGCCATCAATCTTGTTTATAGGCAGATGTTACGAAAAGAAAGGAACACAAGCAGAGGAAATCCTGGCATAATACCCTCAGGAAAAGGCCCTAGTTATGAGACAGTGCCCACCAAATGGGATACAATTCAGCAGGACACTAACTGGGCGGCATTAAATACCATG
This sequence comes from Homo sapiens, assembly GCF_000001405.40. Classification (NCBI taxonomy): domain Eukaryota; kingdom Metazoa; phylum Chordata; class Mammalia; order Primates; family Hominidae; genus Homo; species Homo sapiens. Next base: position 45,512,630 of record NC_000006.12, on the reverse strand, counting down.
TTAAAAGTATGCCATCTCTAGCGGATTTTCAGTCTCTTGACTTAAAATGTTCCAGTGTTTGATAACCCCATAATTCAGAAGATTTAATTTGCCAGTTGTCATTCCCTTGCCCACATGCCTCTAATAGAGAGTCACTGTGAGCATGGATGAGACAGGCTCAGCCCATCCCACTCCCCCCGACCCCTGTGCAGGGATGGATTTTTAGTTAAAGCACGGTCTTTACCTGAAATGCGCCTAGGCACATCGGTGATGGCAGGAAGCCCAGTGCCCCGTGTGGAAGACAGCGGGGTGGTAGAGTGGATGGACGGGGACGTCATCTGGCTCAGGTAGGAGGGGTAAGACTGGTCATAGGACCACGGCGGGGAAGACTGTGCCTGCCTGGGGTCTGGGAAAAAGAAAAAGAAAAATCTTTAGTATAGCAACCATTGCAGCCTTAGAAACATGCAACCCAAAACTCAGAAAGGAAAAAGCAGAAAAACAGGGAGAGAAAAAAAAATGGCTTATATATATATAATATATAAGGAATGGCTATTTATCTCTTATAACCCCATCCTTTCAGGCCTTAAATAGCACAAAGCGTTCTAGACTTTGAGTCTCAATGAAAGCAACAAAATGGATGATGCATAAAGACTATTTGTCTCTCTCTTCCAAATATTTCAATTTCGAAAGTCTAATAGTCATTTAGAAAACAATCTGCTTTGGTTATCTTTACAAAGTGGAATTATATTTATTTTCTGTATCTCTAAAATTCCTCCAGTGAACATGGATAACTTTTTCTAAGTTAGAATATTTTCTGAACAATTAACTTGGTTAAAGACTATGTAGACTGTGCCTTTCGCTGCTGCATATCCAGCTACTTACTATCTTTCAGACATGCTTTTTGGTTTTAAAGTGCATGATTCCATGATTTCATCTCAGGGCACTTTCTTTTCAGGCAGGTCAATGGAATGGCCCTTTCTAGCATGGGGTGAAGGGAATAAGGGCAGGAATGAGAATGGAGGGGCAGCACGTAAGATGAACAGGAAGGAGGGAAGCCAGTTACGTTACTCTCATGCTAAAGCTAAAACAGAAAATAACCCGGAAGAAAAAGACAAAAATTTAATTTCAAAGTCAACTACCATTAAGAACTGAAAAGTTTCATCACCAGCCAGTTTCAATGTTAAGCACCATAGTTTCTGACAGTAAGAAAATGCCCCAAAACAGGAGAACGGGGAAATGTTTTTAATCCTACTGGAATCTGTTTAGAAGAAGTCACATGTCTGGAATTTGGCCTAGTGTTACCTACAGTCATTGTAATAATAAAACTAATGGGCAGTCAGCTGTTTAGGTTTAATTGCTGAACATTAACAATATTTTTTGATGTATCTCTAGGAGTTTCTTGGAGGTACAAACTCAAGGCCACATAGATTTATTAAAAGACCTTCTGCTTATATACAGAAAAAAAGGTAAATGTGCTGTATGTTTCCAAAGCAAAAAAAGTATGTATTTCAAACTCTTTTGCTCTTACTTGAGGGCTAATCAAACAAAATCATAACCAAATTTCTCTTAACACGTTTTTATGCTAATTTTTAAATTATGTTAATTTTTAAAATTCTAATAGACCAGGCTGTTCACAAGATAGCTTGGTATCTTAGAATATGCACGGACTTTGGAATGTTCAGAATTAGGTCCAAGTTCTGAGACTTCTTCTTTCTGTGTAACCTTGGCTTAATTACTCAGTCACTCTGAGCCTCAGTTTCCTCATCTGTAAAAGGTGAGGAAGGAGGGGCAGCAATAATACCTGAATCATAAGGATATGAAAATTACAGGAGAAAACGATTAAGAGAAAACTAGCACAAAATAGACTTAATAGGCATTAATTATTTTATATACATATATATATTAAAAAAAAAACTCTGGGTGACATAGGGTAAGTTCCATGTTTCAAACATATCTGAACTGGAGTTAATACACTTGGAATAGGTTTCAAATTATCCCTACACATCACCTATTATTCTTTGAAAATAAAAACTATTAATATACTTGAACAGTTAATTCAGGTTTATCTCTAAAAGTAAAAATGAGTATAATAAGATGCGGATTTTTAGATCATTCCTCCGTTAAAACCTCTCAGTTTTTCTATACAGTCACAGCAGTTTAGTTCAGCTATTTCTTGTTTATTTGTTCAATTCAGAAACAATTTATTTAAAGATTGTTTAAATAGGACATACTTCCTTGAGTCAAAATAATTAAACACACCTGGATATTTATCGGATGTTTACTGACATTGACATATACAGAAAAATGTCATCCAATTCAATTTTAAAGAACATTTACCTGAGTTTGCAATTTGAATAAAAAAGCAGTACTATAAGTGGTTAACAAACTTTTCCTTCAGAAATCTAAAGGATAATTGATCATTAAAGTAACGGGCTTCTGTGCCTTAAAATTCTCAAGGCCGAGATTGTAGAGATTGGCAACATTTCAAATCTGAGTGACTGGTCCTTGTTATATATCTGATATTGACATACTTCCTTGCCTTACACCATTAATGTAATTCAGTATTCAGAGAAACGGTAAATGATCTTCAGATGGAAAAAGATTCATTCCTTACAGCACAGGAAAGCAGTCTCGCAAGGGCAAGTCCTTCTCTCAAGCAACATTTTCAAAAGACAAAGAGGTTGAGAACCACATAGCTAAATAAGTTGGGTACACAGGACTCAAATTTGGATTTGAGTTCTCATCTAACTTCCCCAGATGACTTCCTGAGCAAGCAGTTTAACCTATACCATTCCTCTCCTGCAACAAGTCATCCGTCTAGGGCCCCCTGCCTAAAAACAAGAACAAATACAAAGAAATGTAAAAAATGACGAAAAGGAATTAGGGTACTCAACCTGGATGTAAGATACAGTTCTCCTTGTGCAGAAAGGCGGCTCAGTACAGTGGGAAACAAGTGGGCTTTCTAGTGAGAGGATCTGAGTTGGCGTGCCAGCTCCGCTATTGATAAGCTGTATGACCTCATCTGGGTTAGCTAACTCTGAATCTCAGTTTCCTCATCTGGAAAATGAGGCAGCATAATACAGAAAAGTGAATATAGTAAAGTGGTCACACATCCTGGCTGTGCAGACAAACCTAGGCTTCAGTTAAACCTCCCTGCTGTGCTGAGCATATCACTTAAACTTTTAGGCCTTGGTGGCTCATCTATAAAATGGGAATAATGATACTTATTAGGGTTTTTGTGAGGATTACATGAACTAGGCCATGTCTAATATGGTACCTGGCACTCTTAGCACATATTAAGTATATAATAAATACAAGAGCTATCTATATAATGAATACAATAATAAATACTCTCATTTTTGGAAAATGAGATAATGCAAGTAAAAGCATTTTGATAACTATAAAGTACTACAGAAAAACTATTTTGACTCTCTTTAGGAGCTCACATGGTGAAGGCCCTGCCTGAGCCTTGTGACCTGGGCTGTGTTTCTCAATGTTACTGAGCTTTAATTTCCTCATCTGCAAAATGGAGATGATAATACTATCTCAAAGAGTTGAATCCTCAGACTGAAGATTAAATAATATATGGTAAATGGAAAATCATCATTATTAAAAATAAATATTAAAATATGACTCTATGCTATCTAGGGTAGCTGGGTTTGTCTCATGTTGTTATTCTTAAAGACTTCCAAGATCAGATTCAGCATAACTAAGTATAATGCCTTGCACATAGTACTCAATAAACAACTATTGAATGAACCTTTCAGGGTGGCTTGAGTGAATAATAAAATATTAAAATTAAGTCATAATTAGTAATTCTCTAATTTCTCTTTAAGCTACCAAAGAGGTTTATATCGTGAGGTTTTAGGTTTTACATCCTGACTGCCAGAATATATACTAGAAAAGTCTGTTAAAGGATAGTTTTGCTTTTAGTGGAGGCCTTTCCAAATATCCAAGATTAGGAAAAGTAAGTTCTCAAGATCCCTAAACAAGTCAGAAGATCTATCTTTGTCTTTTTGTCTCTCAGAGGATAGGCTAGAGTCAAGCCAGTCTCTTTCAAGGTCACTGTCCTAAGAGTCTATGAGAATGACTTAAAGAAAGAGTTACTAAAGAAAAATAAAATAGGCCGGGAGCAGTGGCTCACACCTGTAATCCCACCACTTTGGAAGGCCAAGGCAGGCAGATCACCTGAGGCTGGGAGCTCAAGACCAGCCTGACCAACATGGAGAAAGCCTGTCTCTACTAAAAACACAAAATTAGCTGGGCGTGGTGGCACATGCCTGTAATCCCAGCTACTCAGGAGGCTGAGGCAGGAGAATCTCTTGAACCCAAGAGGCGGAGGTTGCGGTGAGCCGAGATCACGCCATTGCACTCCAGCCCGGGCAACAAGAGCAAAACTGCATCTCAAAAAAAAAAAAAAAAAAAAAAAAAGGAAATATAAGAACTGCCATATGGGGTTATGGGGTTCACTAGATCTAGCATAAAAAACAATTTTAAAGAGGATAGCAACCTTTTAAACAAAAGCCATGGTCTCCAAACACCCCCATGCCTTCTCTAATACCTTGTGAATGAGTGATTACCAATCCAAGCTCCACCATTTCCAGACTGTGTGATTGGACAAATTACGTATCTAAGATTAAAGTTTCCTCATCTATAAAATGGGAGTAAATAAGAATATCTCCTTCATAAAGTTGTCTGATGATTAAATGAGATAATATAATATAGAGTTTAGCATATGGAAAGAACCTGATAAATGTTTCCCACAGTTAAAGACTCTATCTTACTGAACCTTCATTTTATATTTGTTTCTAGCCCTTGACCTCTTTTTCTGGCAGAGTACAATTTTTAGGAGAGCTTCCTGTACCGTGTAGTTCACAATTTGGAGCATATATGTCCGTGTTAGTCACGTTGATATCCTTTTACAATGGCTTAACCTTAATCATGTTCTTTCTTAAGTTTTGGTTTCTTCCCAGAGAAATCCTAATTTTTTAAGTGTATTTTCAAATACTGTACACTTTAACCTTTTCAATCTTTTAGTGGGGAAAAAAATGGCTGTAAAATGTCTTCACTTCCTAAATGCGCAATCACCAAGAAAATATAATCCTGTCATAAATACATGATTACAACATATTTGCTTTTTATGGACAATTATTAGTGCTTATAGTAGAGGAAAGTCACCTTAACCTGATCTCATAAACAATTTCTGAACTCAACTTCCTGAAGAAACCTGAGACTTCTGAGATTTACTCTCAAATTGGATGAGTCAGAACAGGTGATAGATGTTTTTCAGGCATCATCAGTCAATCCTAAAGTTACTAATAGGAAAGATACAAGGCCTAGCTCTGAGACAAACCTACTAATTAACGACAAACAAGAAACTGTCTTTATCTCAGCCTCAGGTCCCACAGAGCAAGGATAATCCATCCGTCACCCTGCCTCACCCAGAGTTATATTGGATGGTGTGTCTTTTCAAATCTACAGAAACATGGAGGGAAGAACCATGTCCTAACACTCCAGCATAAACACAAATATCCTTGACTTTTAATCATGGCCTTAAGGTGACACCCTGGCTGACTGCAGTTATAGGTCAGCCAGAGTGTCACCTCAAAGCCATGAACTACCTACAAGTTTTCGGGGGCTAAATCAATGCTATGTCACAGAAAGTTTCCAAAAAAAAAAAAAGGAAAGAAAACTGTTGCCAGGCACGGTGGCTCAGGCCTGGAATCTCAGTACTTTGGAAGGCCAAGTTGGGTGGATCACTTGAGCCCAGGAGTTGGAGACCAGCCTGGGTAACAGGCTTTTGTAGAGACGGTGAAACCCCACCTCTACAAAAAAATACAAAAATTATCCGGGTGCAGTGAAACATGCCTGTGGTCCCAGCTACTCTAGAGGCTGAGGAGGGAGGATCATTTGAGCCTGGGAGGCACTGAGTCACGCCACTGTACTCCAGCCTGGGCGACAGAGCGAGACTTTGTCTCAACAACAACAACAACAAAACTGTTGTTGAACTTTAAATATTTTTATGTTTTTTTAAAAACTATAATTCATTCTTTTTATATGGCAATCTTCAGAAACAGTATCAATATTATTTTAATTACTATATTAGAGAAATTCAACAAATTGACATGTTTTTATATGGATATGATATATGAACAACCCTCTGGTGTTGGGTTTTTATGCACTCACTCTTGAGTGCTTGGGAAATCTGAGGCACTACGTATCACTAAAGATGACTCCACTCTTATTTCTCCACCAACTTCTCTCCTGCCACCTAAAATAGGGGGTCTTAGAGGGAAGTGGTAATCAAATCTGACCTGTAACATAAACTTGAGAGAGAAAATCAGGTCTTTCCTATCTGATGGGTCTGCTGTACTCACAGACAGGATGTGATTGATCAAAATGACTACATGCGAGAGAAGAGAACAAAGCAGAGGACCAGGGCTGCTCCTGCGGGCCCTGAGGATGAACCCAGGAAGAAAGGGGTCCCCAGGGCCGAGAAAGCACACTAAGAACCACCACCAGGAATAAAGGGAAGGCTATTTATTGGACCCCTCAGATCTGCAACAACACATTTTCAGAAGCAATCATGGTTTCCTCCGTGAGAGTAGACCAAATCTAGCTATTAAGAGTTCAGGTTAATTTCTCTTTTTCTGTCTAAGGTAGAAGCCACTGAAAGCCGTAAAAAGGAACCAGTCATCTGTCATAAGGAATCCCTTCAGCATGTGTTTCAACCGAGGCAAAGTCTGTCACAAGCATGGAATTGTGTTTTTAAAAACGCTCTAAAGATGGAAAGGAACCATGGAGCACCAATGTCAGAATCGATTTTATAAGTTCTCCTTCTAGGGTGGTGTTCCTTCAGCTTAGACTTCTTGGAGAGTGGTTGCATCTGCTTTCCATCCTATAAACCACAAAACATAAAAGCACAGAAGGCAAAACCGTACCCAGGGGGTGCTCAAAAATGCTAGTTGGGAGAGGGGTGGTTCCTCTGTCTCAAGTTGCCTTTCATCAGGCAAAAATGGAGACAACCCTTTATGTAAACCTGTGGAGATGAGGAAAGCAAACAGTCTTTTTTGAGCAGGACCACAGCTTCTGAAGTACAATCACTGGTATGGGGAACAAAAAGGGGGTGGCTATGCACTTCCTACAGTGATATAGAAGAGTCATGAGCTCTAGGAGTCTCCATACTTTCAAATGACTAAAAAGCCAAATTTCGCATCTGCATAATTGAACCCTAAACACTTGGAGTTATATTGAGAAGGGAGGAAGGCAGAAAAGAAAAAAAAAAAAAAAAGGCATCCCAGGAAAATGAACTGACTCCGGGAAAACATATCCAATTCTCTTCTGAATGAGTAAGTTTGAGTGGGGGCAGCAGAGCAGGCAGAGAGCTTTCTGAAAGCCCAAAGGTATGCTGGAAACAAGGCAGCTGCTATTAGCAAGGCTCCTTTTGTAAACACTTTGGTTAAACATGTGTGGGTGTGAAGGAGGATCTGCTTTCCTAGGAATTGCTCACAACAAGGCACACCAGGGACAGGGTGCTGAACTTGATGCAGACGGGAGGAAACAAGTCAATGGGAGCAAAGCCTGAACCCGCATACAAAAGGCTATTTCCTGTTCCTGCGGCCAGCAGGCTTCTGTGTAACAGGACACCATGGCAGCCAGTGATTCTGCCAAAGCTGTCTGCAGGGAGTACCTGCCGTATTGGGGCAACAAGGTATAATCAAAGATCCCCACAATCCCACCCCTTATTCTCCACCCATTTTCCCCCTAAACAGTACTCAAATCAGGCTGTGTAAACCTCAAATATTTCTTGAGAAAACTGGGGTGTCAAAAATGATATACAGAGTCTACTGGCTTAGAACTATGCCTCTTAATTGCTACCAGGGTCAATCATCCTAACACAGAGGAGCAGATTTGCCATTTCCTATCTTAAACTATTTCTGTCATATTACTGTCATTCATAATACAGACATACTCACACTTATACATATACACATTCATACATACAGAGATTCCCATTTCAAAACAATCTACACTAAATATGAAATGTTAAATTCTATGTCTTTTCTAATAACCCTGTCAGCAAGACTGGAATTTTAGAATGAGCTTTCTTCACTCATTTCTGGTTCTCTTGACTAACAGGAAACTGTTTACAAACAAATGGCCTCCTCCAAGCATAGGAAGAGCCCTAGACTGGAGGCTCTGGCACTAACTGTGCAGGCTTGGACGAATAATTTATGGCCTCTGAGTCTCACTGTTTTCACCTGTAACATGGGAATGGGTGGGTTATCTCTAAGATGTTTTCCAGATACAAAATGCTATGATGCTAACCACTCAGAAGAGTGAGCTCCCAACCCTCAGTCCTTTCTGGAGACTGTAACTGCATCAGAAATGACTGAAGCCATGCAGAGCTGACTTGGGGTGGCTATGAAAGGTAGCTGACAATGCAGCGCCTCCCATCACAGAGCATCTGGCTCATGTCTGCTGAGAAGCCCCAAGAGCAAGGTGCGGACCCCCCTTGTCCCCACCAAGGGCCTTCTCCAACTGATCTGGTGGCTACCAGAATCATCCAGCAGGAGACAGACCCGAGTGACAGAGTCTAAAAATGAAATCTGAGAAAAAAAAGCAGCAAACTGGTTAAAACTGGAGGCTATGTAGGGTACACCAGGCATGACCATAGGTTATATTACAACACAAACAATGGGAGAAGAGAGAATTAGTAAACTTAGAAGACAATAAGCAGAGAAGAGAATGAAAAACGATATGTATGGCCTAAGATATCATATCCTGTAATAAAATGTTAAAAGAAAAACCAGAAGGAAGTTGCATTGTTAAGACAAGGTGATGAGAAGCACTCTTATGTATCACCAACTTTTGCTAGATAGGGATCATAACTGTCTTACAGAAAAGGACAGGCATTTCTTGTTTTAAAAAAATCTAATAGAAGAAGAAAGAGGCTATACCACATGTCATACCTGTCCTGGCCTCTCAGCCTTGGCATATCCTGAATCTCAACGGCAAAGCTAGAAGAGGGAGAGAAATGAGATACAAAAGGGTGGGACAAGAACTTGAAATGCCACTGAGATGTGATGCTGGCAAGGGAGAGTGGCCCTTAGTTCGAATCATAGTATTGAACTGGGTGTGGTAAATTCAGGTTCAAATCAGGCTGATGTCAACATCCAGGAAATCAGATATGGGCAGTCGGGGTATTACAGAAGGTCCCCAGGCATGGTGATACCTGATGTCACATGGATGATTATATCCATCGTTCTAGTAATTGTCTCTCATTCATTCATTCAAAAAAATATGTATCAGGTATCTACTCTGGTATTGTGTAGGCACTTGGAATATTAATGTTGAATAAAAATAGACCTAATCCCTGGTGCTATGGAGTTTTATGACCTAATCCCTGGTCCCATGGAGTTTTACAGTTGGGTAGGAGAGACAGGCATTAATCAAATAATCATATAACTATGGTAAATGCTGAAAAAGAGATGTTCATGGTACCATAAAATGGGAACTCCAACCACATTGAGCATCAGGGAAAGCTTCTCTAAGGTAGTAAAGATCAAGCCAAGACCTGAATGACAAGCATAAGTCTAGAAGATGAGTAAGGGAGGTTAAGAGGGCTTTAGGCCCGTGTCCAGTTCCTGGGAAGAAGGCAATATCATTTTTTTATGTACTTGATAGAAGGCCTGTGTTTAGAACATTGTGAAAAAGTTTCAAAATATTGTGAGATGAGAATGGAGAGCAGGCAGGGAGGAGCCAGGCTGTGCTGACCCTGCTGGGCCATGCTAGACATTTTAATCTTTATCCTAAATGCAATAGGTCACCTTAGAAGATGTTTAGGTATAGAGTGACATAATCAGACATGCATTTTTAAAATCTCCCTCTGGCAGCATCCTAAAAGAAACAGGGCAGAAGTCCAGTCTAGGACCAGGCGTGCAGGAAAGGGTGTGGAGAGAAAACAACAGCTGGAATGGACACAGGGGTGGAGTCCAGGGGCTGCACTCAGGCTTCGGGCTCTTAGCTGCCTCCACACATCAGCTGATCACGGGGGCGAGGCTCCTGAGATGGCCTCAGGCTGGATCAGGATGAGTTCTGGATGGGTAAGGTGAGCCTTGAGTAATAGGCCTGCCTTGGGCCTACAGCTGGGAGTGATTTGGGCCGGCTCCACCTCACACCTTCTAATTCAGCGGTAGAACCTGGGCATCTGTATGTTTAACAAGCTCCCCAGGTGATGTGATTATGTGCCAAAGTTCAAGAACAATAGGCATAATTTTTATTAATGAAAGTTAGAAAGGAAAATTACCGAACCCTATTTTGATTTAATCTTCCCTATCAAAAAGGATGATCTTACATAGAAAGAGCAGAACAAACGTGCATAAGAGGAAATTAAGGCCCAAGAGAAGTGAGGAGATAAGGGAGAGCAGTGTGCTGCTTTAGATGAATTCAAGTCTCTGCTCCAAGATAAATGACATCCCACAACATGGCAAAAATGTAGGTAACTAGTACTCAAGGGGCTGCTTCTTGATGGAGCAGGGTCTAAAAAGTTTTTCCTTAGATTAAGTAAAATATGCCTCCCTATAACTCCAATCACTACTAATCTTAGTTTTGCTCTCTGGGATTACTACTCCACATGACAGCTGTTAAATTACTTGAAGATAATGCCTTTAAAGTTTACGACACAAAATACACTAGGTTTTACATTCCCTTATTCCATTTATCTTATTCTGAAAACAGCATTGCTATTGGTAAAATCTAAGTTGCTGAAACTAAGTTGTTTTGGAGCCACTGTTGGTGTTGACTTGCTTGCAGCCCACTAAAAACACTTTCAATAGCCAGTGTGCAAAGAACTTCTCACACTTCATCCCACAGTGACTATCAGAAAGCAGAATGGGCTCACTAAAAAACTGTCTCCTAGAATTACTAAAGCAATAGATTAGAAGGCAGCTCATCTGTCTATTGCATATCTGGACCTCAGCAAGATATATGCCTTATCTCTAAGTGATTTATAGCTAGTTAAAAAGCCTGCCAGAAAGTGGTCATTAATATATAGATTGTGGTCAGTTTAGACAGAGTTATATGGTGGCATAATCCAGGGCACAATAGTCTTATTTCTGTCCAGCATCTTCACCAAAGTCTTGAAGGATTAGAAGGGACCTTTCCAAGCTTCAAGATGAGACAAAGTTGTGAGGAATAACCCAACACAACAGAAGAAGAATCAGAACTACAAAATAACCCTACAGGATGGAAAGAGGAGGTGAAAGCAACATGATGAAATGAAATAAGAGCAAAAGTACAGTGCTGCATTTTGTCAACTACAAGACAGGATGGGGGAGCCTGCTCCAAGAGCAGAGTTTTTCATGGACTGACAGCCACAGTGTGATGGGATAACAAAAAGTTAACACAAACTTGGGATATATTAACAGAATATTAGTAGACCCCTACTGACCTGGTCAGGCATAGCTAGCGGATTGTGTTCTCAAGAGGCAGCATCAGGCTAGAGCACTGGAGAAGACAGGACAAGGTGTGGGACCTCTATCGGTCACATGAGGAATAGCTGAAGAATGGCTAAGAGCGCCCATCTACCTTCAACCTCTCCAGATGACACTCCTTCCCCTTCCCACCTGAACGAACACACGGATTTCCCCGTTAAATTTCCCTCTTAACCCTTCCACTCAGCTGCTGCTCATTTTCCCAGTCCAGATGGGTCAAGTCCTCTTTGGAAGTTCTTCCATCTACCAACCTGCAGGACATTCCCCCACATGGGAAACTGGCTCAACATCTTCCTTGTTCCCCTGTGTTGTACTGAATCCTACCTAGTCCTAGCAGACAGACGGTCCACGACAGCCTAGCCCACTCCTAGTCACAAACTGTAACCACTGTGGGAGAGAATCACATAATCATGCCAATTGGCTCTTCCCATGACCTCTACCTTCAGCTGGGTCCTCAAAGATGCTCATCCAAAGTCATTTTCCATTCCCACCATTCACCCTGGCAACAGCGCCAAACATTTTTCATTCTAAATCTTTCCCCCTACACCTTCACCCACTCCCCACCTAAAACTATCTGTCAGGTTTCACCTTCCTAAGACACAGATTTCCAATTTCAGCTCTGAGGATTTCAGAAATCTCCTAGCACCTCAGTTTTCATATTCTCTATATGGATCACAATCTGATTCTTCCGTTAAATCTTGTCTTTTAAAGTCTATTAAAACCAATTGTTTTAAGCCATTAAAAAGCAAGTCTTTATTACAATAAACAAAGCCCTAAAGAGAATCTGATGCCTCTAACTGGGAGTAGTGCCATACAGTTATATTCCTGGAATACTTTCGCATACATTAAAATGAAAACACTTTTTAGACTGATCATATCTATAATATATTATTGTTGCTATTAATACTGCACAGTCAATGTACACCAACTCTCTGTGTGAAGCCCTGAGATATGTGGAAGCATATCACATAAATAATGGATATGTGAAGCATATCCATTATTTAGTGTGAAAATATACCACCAGGGCATCTTTGCACAAAGCGCAGGCCTAACTTGCCCCTCTGCTGGGTTACCCCATAAGTTAATATTTCCTTCAACATTAATCTCCTATTCTGATCCTTTTGCCCATAGTCCATCACAAAAGGTAAAACAGGGCAAAAAAGGACCCTAAGCAACTAATAAAGGGGACAGGTATGCATACACGTGGGTGTACATATATACGTACATATACATATGTATATAAAACTAAAACTAAATATAAAACTAAAAGAGAAAGATGATGTGTTGGAAAAGAATAGGAGAACAAAATCAAGACTTCCTCTGCATGGAGAGTTAAAGACAGGCTAGAAATGGAACTGTTTTGGGGGAAGAAGGATAAAATGAGGCATTATATAGGAGATGAACCCTTCTTATCACAACTAAGTGTTAACTATGCATCTTATATTCCCAGATAGGAGAAAATTACAAAGACAATTTTTTGAAACAAAAAAATAATTTTTCTGGGAACATCACCCTCTCTACTTTTCTGAAAGCGTACTAAAGTCAGACCATCTTCAGTTAATAAGGGAATGCCAACAGACAGAAATCCAAACAGAGCACCTTTAAGAAGCTCATCTGTGGATACTGCTAACAGGCTAAGCAACAACATAACGGGTTGACCACCAGCCCTTCACAGAGTCCTAGGAAGCTTCATTCTTTAAAGCCAGCACAGGCTGCACCTAAAGTCTACTCTTCCTCATAATGTGGCCACCAGAGCAGAATCAGTATGAAATAGTGTTTACACACAGGATTTGAGCCCTTTCTAAAAATAAGGATTGTGACTAGCAACCTCCTGTACAGATTCCCTGCTCACACATGTGCAAGGCAGCAGCAAATTTGCCCAGCTGCCCCACCTGAAACATCTCAAAGGAAGAAGACAGGGCAAAACTTCCCAGGAACTTCAGAAATTACAACACTGCACCACCAAAGTAAAAAAGAACCACTTCCAACAATCTGTCTTTCAATGCAGTGACTTCAGTTCCTTGACACAAGTTGCCTACAAGTGAGCAGGACCACAGTGACTGTGAAGTCTGAGAATTCACTTGACTCCCACTCTCCTCCATACCCACACTGATGGTACCCTACTGTCATTCTTCCTGCTCACCAACAGTATCTGAGCCTCTTATGGGTCCATCCACCCTCACACTCACAGCCAACATCACCCCAGGCCCACTTCATCTCCCAACTTGTTTCACATTAAAGAATCATGTGGTCACTCAGCACTTGAACAGAACAGTAACTTAAGACACATGCAACTCAGCTGTGCTTTCTGATTTCTGAAAGGATTACACTAGTAAATGTTTCGGGACAAGCACTAGAATCCTAGGACAGCCAAACATATACACAGCCTAATTCCAGCTGGCCTAATTGGCTGAGGTCCCCTTAATTTTTAAAGGAGTTCTGTTTGCTGAGGGAATACAGAATCAGACTGAAGTTAGGTGGAAACCACTTCAGTCACAGTAACTGCTGATAAGATTATTATTAGACAGGATGTCTGGCAAGCAGTTTTTACCTTAAATACATGCCTTATATAACTGGAATTTAATCATTTAAATGATTATATTGAATTTTAAAGTATAATTCAGATATTCCTAATGCTAACTCCCGTTCATGAAAATATTCTCTCTAAGTATCCTAAATAATGTATAATGGACAGAAGAAAAAGAAATTAGTCCTGCAGGACACATGTCACTTAGATTGTTGGCAACAAGCCCAACCTATCTTGATAGGGATGAAGGTGAGTGCTTGCTAAGAATCAGGAACTCACAGTCAACTGCAATAGCTGAAGTAGCCTTCAGCAAGTCATTTCTCCAAGAATCAATTTCTTCCATCTGTGAAATATGTACCTTTAGAATTGTTTTAGGCCTTTGGTTTGTAAATGGTAAAGAACTGAATAAATGAAAGTGAGGTACAGAAATGGGAGGAAGCTGAGCCATGATAAAAGTACCTTTCAGCTTCCCAAGAGTACTTGGTGGTAAGTACACAGGGCCATGGAGCTATGGAGAGCTGCCTTTACTTCCTGTATTTACCACTTACTAGTAGTAAGTGGGACCTTGGGTGAGTTATTCCACCTGTCTACCATCAGTTTCCATAAGAATGCCTCCTATCTCATAGAGCTATTGTGAGGAACGTATGAGTTAAACTAATTAGAACAATGCCTGACACATGACAAGCATTTAATAAATGGTAACTAATAGTAATTCAATCAAACAGACACTAGAAAAATATTAAGGCTAGGATAATAGTGGGTCCCGCCTCCTGAAGAGGTCAGTGACCCCATTTATTCACTGATCACCGAACCAAAAGTCACGTAGTAAGCAGGTACCGTGTAAGACAATGGGGGACACAAAGATGAAGAAAACATGGCCCTAGACTTTGAAAAGTCCAAAGTCTGATGGAGGAGACAGACATGTGAACAGTAATCATCAGCACATGGAACAAGATATAATCAAGGGTTGTACAAGGTGGCACGGGAGCCTGATTCGACTCTGCTTGGATAGGTTGGAAGAGGCTTGACAGAGGTGGCAGCATTTGATCTGAGTTTTGAAGAAACAATAAAAATGTGTTTGGAAAAACAAGACAAGGAAGAGTGTCTAGGCAGAGAAAAAAGCATGAAATACAATAACATATTAATTTAAAATAAAAAAATAAGTGAAACTTCAAATGAATTGCTTGTACATTACAAAAGGAGAAAAAGTCACAATAAATAACATGATGGACTATCTAGCAGCCTATGCAGAAGTGTCCAGAATCTACTCCTGAGTGAAGGGCAAATAGGGGTCTGAACCAAGGAAAAAAATATCCTGTGCACTTCCTTCCAGCATTTACATGCAGGGAAAATCAACTTTCATTGACTGCTTAGAAAAACAACCAAGACTCAAAAGAACCAAGAGCTGCTTTTAAAAGAGAAAGGAAATCATGAAAGGGAACGCTGCAACCTAGGAAGAATCATGAGAAGGGAAGCCCCTTGGGTGTCTGCAAAGGCAGTTTTACAAGCTACTGTAGGAGTGAGAATGTCGAGTCTCTTCTTTCTTAGTATCTTCTTTTCTCCACCCAACTGCTTCTCTGAGCTCCCCAGCCCCACTCCACCTTATCCTCCCTGAGTCTTCCCCACATCAGTGAATGGCACCACCATCCTCCAATTGCCCAGGTCAAAACTCTGAAGTCCTGTTTTCCCTTCACCATCAGCGAGAGTTGTGAACTCTCTATTAAAAAAAAGAGAGTATTCAGAATCCTTCAGTGTCCTTCCACCTCCACTGCTACCACCATTTACTCTCTCGAGCTACTGTAGCAGCTTCCTGAACATAATTCTGCTTCTTTGTTTAGCCCCTTATGGTCCCCTCAAACAGCATCCAAACAGGTTTTATTATGCATGTAAATGACATAATGTCATTCCCTTGCTTCACATCCCCCACTACACTGGTAGCCCACTACAATCAGAACTAAACCCAAGCCACTATTGTGGCCCCCAAGACTCCCCATAATCTAGGCTTTGCATGAGTTTCCTACTGCCTGAAATGTCATTCCTCACAGATCTTCAAAGCTTTTCAAAGGACCTTTTCTCAACTTTCCAATCAAAATTAGCTCCTTCCCTCTCCGAGTTGTTACCTAGCAATTATCCTATTTCATTTTCTCATAGCATTCATTATTATCAGACATTATCTTATATGTATGCTTATTTACCTATTTATTGACTGTGTCTGACACTAAAATATAAGCTCCTTGTGAGCAGAAGCTGTGTCTCTCTCACTCACTTGCATCAATGCCTAGCAGATAATACGCACTCATTAAGTATTTTTTGAATGAGTGAAAAACAGAATAGCAGTACATCCCCCACCCTAAAAGCGAGATGAATGTCCCAATCCACCAAACCCAAGGGCCTGAATCAGCATTATTTTTTAGGTGTAGCGGACCCATCTAGAGGATAATGAGTTTAAAGATATCTTAAGCGATATCTCCCAACATCATATCCTTACTCTATTGCTATCGCCGCTTTCTGAATCAAAAGAAGTGAACATTTGTGACAGACTAGGTGTTTCCTGGCACCTAGAGACAAGCAGCAGATGTCTGAATGATAAGAGGTCTAGAGGAAGCAACTTCCCCAGGAAGCTGTGGGGAGGCCCTGGGCCTTCAGCTGAACATCAGCCATTAAAGACTTCCACAAAATATCACCATCAGACAAGCACTGCAAAGATACCAGGGAGGGAATACAGAATCAGACTGAAGTTATGTGGAAACCACTTTAATTAGGTTCTAGCTACCACATGGCTAGAAGTTTTGGTCCTAGGAACTGCAAGAGACACTGGAAAAGGCTAACTATGAAACACTAAATGCTTATGACTTCCTCAATTTATGATTGCTAATTTCACTTCACTCTTCTGGGAGTTTAAAGACGTCTTCTGCCTTTTATGTTGGCAAGTGGGAGAACTAGAGGGGACTATATAACCATGATCATTATCTACAGTTTTGGGGTAAAAGCTTGAGATATCAAGAGTAGCAAGCCAATTGCAGAGAGGAAACTGGGCCCTTCCTGTTACAAACGTCTTGTCCAAAGGATTACATGAACTAAAATGCAGATATGGCATATTGCAAAGAAGTTACAAAATCCATTACAGGCAAGAATTTAAATTTAGTCATGCAATTACATTGACCCTAAACTTGAATAAAACCGAACAGTTTAACTAAGTAAATGTTTTATTGAAATGTGATTTAAGCTGCTGCCCATCACTAGGGAACAATGACATCCTGGGACAGGAAATTAGAAAGAAGAGTTAATGCTACTAAGACAGATATGATATCCTCTCAACCCTTATTGCACCGATTGCTTCTCACCTGAACTTTCAATAATTCATATTTAATGAGACACTGCCACTGGGCTAGTCACAAAAGAAAATAAATCCCTGTAATAAATCCCTCAAAGAATGTACAATGTAGCAGGGTAGAAAAGATGAATACACAGTATCCTTAAAAGAAGGCAATCTTAACTAAAGCTTAGAGGGTGGATGAACTGCCTTTGGATGAAGGTTCCAGAACTTTTTCCTGAAGAAGATAACACAGTGGCCTTGGAGGATGGGTGGAATCTTGTCAGCAGACAGAGACTACTGTAGATGGGCTGGCTGAGTAAAGGGGTACAGAGAGAAGCACGTGTACTCAGGAATGGTATTACAGTTGGGGCACAGGATGTGGTATGCCAGGGCTGGGGAGGATAACTATCTCTTCAACTACAACTAAGAACAGCGCTTTTCTTCTCTCTCCATATTACCTAACACCCAGTTTGCTACATGTGATAGGCCCCAAATCATACTTATTGAATAAACAAAGAAGTCAATCCAGAGATTAAAAAATTGAACCTATTCAATTCATTTTCGCATTGCTGCTGCTCCAGATGTTCCTGGGCTTTCCTTTAAAAATTGGGTCACAGTAGAACACTGCATCTCCTTGGTTATGGACAGATACAGGCATTCTCTCACTCACAATATGGGAACATTTAAAGAAAGCTCACATGGCCAAGAGTGGTTGGGGTGACAAGTATGTATGTGGACATCTGGAAATTTGGAAAGTTTGAGAAAAGTTGTTGGGTCCAATACCTAGTGGATGTTGAAAAAAAAAGAACACTAGTCTATAAATCAATTCTATTACTACTATAATCCCAAAATGAAGAGCACTAATACTCATAAAAATTCCAAGAAGCTATCAGTACCTAGAAATTAACTTGTTTTATATTTTCATTTTCAGAAATATATCCAGTGAATGTGTTCCCTGCCCTGCCAGTAACTTGCTGTGCAACTGCAGACAAGAAGCTTAACTTCCTGAGCCCCCTAACAGGGAAGAGGGTGAAGAGAAGCTGACAACTGGAGGAGGGCCAGGCCTGTGGAGGTGGCCACACTCTCGATCTGCTCAGATGCATTTGTGGCACAGGTGAGCCCCACACCTCCTCTGAGCCTCACTCTCTGCACGTGTATCTGCTAGGCGGGGATGCTACTAAAACACAGATCCTCTTCACAATTTTTCCAGCCATTGGTTTCACAATATCTAAGGTACCTTTAGGTTCTAAAATGTCCTCTGGATCTACTTTATGATCTCATCTTTAGATTTAAGGACAAAGCCTTGAGAGAAGCATCTTCTTAAGTGAATCTGGCAACACGCAGTCTCCAAAGGCCATTTCTAAAGCATTAGTCATTAACAGCATAAATAGCAAACAAATAATGATCAGAATACAGAAATCAAACATTTAAAAAGCCAGTGGTTGCCAAATCATGGAACATATATTTATATATATTTTATTAGTCATCATAAATCCATTACAAATCATATATAAACACATATATATGTGTGTATATATATACATTTGCTTCTACAAACACACACACACACACACACACACACAGTCTAAGGATTACTATAAAGACAAAAGGAAAGCTATTTTATGCCTTAATGAATAATCTAAAGTCTACTACTTTTTTTTTTACATATATTTAGGGGGTATAAGTATGGATTTCTTATATGCATATAGTGCATAGAGGTGAAGTCTGGGCTTTTAGTGCACCCATAACCCAAACAGCAATCATTGTACTCAAGGGTCATTTTTCAACCCTCACCACCGCCCCCCCACTCTCCCATCTTTTGTAGTCTCTAAGTCCACTACTTTAAATGCAGCAGCACCCATAGCTACAAGCTTCAAATTCACAAGTTAGTGTGAATTTTACTCTTGTATTTTTATCAAGGACATATGTCTAGTGAACACATTGACCTTTCAACCCCACATATGAATGATTAAAGTTTTATATAGTCTAAAACATGGCCATTCTTCAAAGAGCAATAATGTTCTTCCTTAATGCAGATATCTGGTTATCTTTAGTGTTTAGATGTTTGATTTTTATAATTCTATATTATTTTTTAAAATATACACTCATGCAAACTCATACATTCCGACTAAAATATATACACTCACAGAAACTGAAACCTACTCTAAGTAACTATCCAAGAATACATTTACATAATATGGGCAGGAGAGAAGAAGAGATAGGTCATTCTGCTTATAAACAATTATGTTTTGAGACCATTAAGAACATTCGAGCCTAACTACTATAAACAAAAATCTAACCATAAAAAAGATCCATGTTGAGGGCTTATTACACATTTTGTTTTGACTTACTTTCCCTCTATTCTAGTCCACCTCTACCAATGATAGCAATTAGATGACATGTAAACTTCCTTTCAGCTCTCAATACTTTTATCTGCAAATTAAAGATTTATAATAATTAATACACTCTCTTGTCATCATGACCTAAAAGCATTCAAACGAGTCTTTAAATAAATCTGTTTTTGCACAAGTGGGACAAAAAGAAAAGAGTTGGGGGTCTTAATGCACCAAATGTGAATGATTAGTCTGTAATGTAATGCCGATGTTAATTTCTCAGAAGAAAGGTAAAGTAAGTAGCTGACTAGAATTTATAAAGAGAAATGTCTAATGGAGAACCAGAGCTAAATGTAAATCAGAAGTGAATTCTGTGTGCCCGATGAGCCACACATTGACCTTGCCTTATAACTACCAATCAAGGCTTCCTGTTCGCCCTGGGCAATTTTCAAGCAGACTTAATGAAATAGTTATACATGTAAGAAATGTAAGCCCAAATCTGAGAGGGTAACACTAATTTTCTAATAGTAAGGGTGTGATGTTATCCCCTGCACCACCTGGATACAATATAGAAACGTATAATAAACATTCTCCCAAAGTGCATTATTACCGTTCCACCAGGGTGTAGACTGAGATTGCTGCAGAGTAGAGCATTAGTAGAAATATCCCCCAAAATGTTATCCCCAAGTTATTGAATGTTATTTTTTTTAATAAAAAAGAAGAAATCAGTGTCTTCAAGTCTTGATTCTTTAATAATAAGCCGCTTCACAGCTCCAGGAGTTTTGAAGTGAACACATCTCCTCTGGTAGCCCCTCACCCCCAGCCTGCCAGCGTCTATGCAAGTGAAACCTATGAGTCTGTCTTACCTGTAATCTGACTCTGTCCTTGTGGATTAAAAGGACTTGGTGCAGAGTTCAGGGAGGGCCGTGGGTTCTGAGGCGGGACACCTACTCTCATACTGGGATGAGGAATGCGCCCTAAATCACTGAGGCGGTCAGAGAACAAACTAGGTTTAGAGTCATCAAGCTTCTGTCTGTGCCCTGGAAATAGCAAATCATAAAATAAAAGCATATTAATTAGCTGAACAATTGACCATGCTAAATAGATATGTGAACATACAAACTGGGAGTTTAAGCCAAGGAATTATCAATATTAATATTTATAATGACTTGTCTACATAATGCCTTCCATTTCAAATTGCTTTATAAGCGGTATCTGGTGGCCAGCATTCCTAGCTCTGTTTTATAAATGGAGAGCTGAGGTCTCAGAGGACAACTTGAAGTCAAGCATCAATAGAGAGGCAGGATACTAGACACCTTCTCTGGCCCTCTCAGTAAAAAAAAAAAAAAAAAAAAAAACAAACAGGAGAGATGTGTATTGGGGGTGTTTGCTTGTTTCATGATGGAGGAAATCCCCTCTGAAAGTTCAGAGAGTCCGTGCATGTTAGCCACAATGTCACAAAGCTGGAGCAGAGACACGGACAAACACATTTGTCAAAGGGAAATTTCCACGATGACCATAGTGACTTTTCTTTAACGTTACAACTACTCTTTACTAAGACTCTTTTCTGGAAAATTAAAACTCAAACCTAAACCCCTTTAAGAAATAAAAAAACAGAAATGTAAGCAGGGAAACTCAAATTCTCAAGAGGAATCTGGATATTTTGTGATATGCCAAAGCTGGAATGTGTATAATAAACTCTGTTAAATCAGAGAGAATGCTTTTTTATTTTAAATCCACTACTGTGGTTTTGGAAAAGAAGCTGAAATACACTCTTTAAGTAAACATGTGACTGTGACAATCCATTATTTGGCGGAGGGGGGGAGCCTTTCTATCTCTCTTCTAGTTTATTCAAGTCTAAAAGCTAAAGAAATTCTGGGTATTAGAGAAATGCACAAATTAAAACAAACCAAGATACTAAGACTTCTTAAAAATCATCAAATCATTCTTAACAAAAGACATACTAGTGTCTTGGTGCAAGTATAACAGAAAAGCATCTGAATCTGGGTGTACCACAGTAGAGTAAATCTATAGGGTGGTGCTATTGGGGACAAATGCAATGCTAATAGAGAAACAGAAATGGACTGGGGATTCCTTCCTCCAGATTCTGTGCCAGTGAGGCCCTAGGGTGCTGCCCTAACATTTTAGTATGACTATTAAGTAACTGAAGCTGATTCGAGGAAGAACCACCAAGATGATGATGGGATTAAGAGTTTGCCCCTTGAAGAGAAACTAAGGGAATTAGAATATTATCCATAAAAGAAAGAAACCTTGAAGAAGGTTTATGAAAAGCCTTCAAGCCTGGGAGTTTTTCACTACTCTATGGGTAGCGCAAACGCCTTAGCTTCCACTTAATACAGAACAAGAGGAATGTATCAGGATAGGGTTAAATTGAACATTAGAATTTCCCAACTATAAGCTGTCTTCGTAAGACAAATTCCTTATTTTATTTGCCCCAAAATGTATTTTCCTGTCTCCTTTTTCATTGCCTTCCCAGCCCAAAGAAAACAGATAGGAAGCCAAGGCTTGGTAATATGAGTGTAGCTGTCTCCACGGCCAAACGTGTTCCAACTAGGCCCATTAACTGAAATGCACCCACCACCCTATTTCCTGCCAGTGCAAGTTTTTGGGCATCTGCTATAACAGAAGGACTAGACCTAGGAGAAAAATGAACAGGAAAAATTAGAGAAATTCATTGTTAATGGTTGTTTTCCCCACCATTACTGTTTTGTATCCAGATTACAAATAGATTTTAGATCCCTAGAGGACTTTTAGAGATGACCCAAAACAACTCCTAGACCCTGGCAAGTAAGGTGTTCACCTATGAAGTGACTGAGGCCTGCAGAGGTAGAACAACTAGCTTATGGTCCTCGGCTGCCGACTAGCTGAGCCTTCACGAGGATATAGCCCTCGTCCAAGTTGACTGAGCTTTCCATTCATCACGTGGCACCATCAGTGCTGGTATTCTAGCTTTCTCTTCCCTTCCTCTTCCAGCTGCTATGGAGGACTGAAAATATCCAGATCATATAGAGTGAAACACCTAAGAACTAAGCCCAGTGAGGTGCCAAGGCTGGCTTTCAACATAAGCAGAAGTAGCAACAAGGATTCAATTACAAAGTTAATAATTCACCCATTACCCTAAACAAATGGCTGTAGCCTAACTCACCAAACTTCCATCAATACATCTTGCTGGGTCTAACTAGTTTCACAATTAGGGAATTATATAGTACTTGTCACAGATCCATGGAGTCTGTTCCTCACACTCACACACAGACACACACATGCACACACATAGTATTGGTGTGGTGTTGATACAGCTGTAAACATTAACAAGAAAGCTTACGGAATTGTCCCTGGAAGTTATTTTTCTTAATAGGCCATATTTTTGGAATGGCAGGTTCCCTGAGGGCTGAGGGGAGGGCTACATGATCTTGCATGGTTCCTTTATACACTAGGACTTTACGTGGGCCATGGGTCACAAGAAAATTTAATAAGCTTTGCCTCTGCTTTCTATAGCCTTTTCATTAGGTTTTCCTAGAGGCTGTATGAGATGTGAGCTCAGACTGTACATGTGTGAGTACATTTTTACTTTCTCTTAGCCCAGCGTTTTCAGGAGTAATAAGAGTTTGCAGGCAAAAATAAAGGACTTAGGCTAGGACTGGTAAGTGTGAAAAATTTTAAAGCAGGTGAAATTTTAAAACCCTTCATGATCTTTTGGAAATTATCTTCAAAGAACACTTCCAAGTATCTACAGGCACCCTAGAATAATTCAGGAAACATTTATCTGCAGATGCACACATACAAAAACATACGCATTTTTCTTTGTAGATATCTGCCCCTTCACAGACACCACTGCAACCACAACAAAATGCACTCTTCATAATGTATGAAGTACATTGAAGAACAAAGTACATTGAAGAGCAAAAGCCAAACAAGTTCTTCACATTTCAACTATGACAAATACCTGTTACCACTAAACCACATCAGGGTAACACTCGAATGATGGGCTGAAAGAAGGTGTACTTAAATCCCCAGCACCCAAGCAATTCCTTCAGAAATTAAGAACATGGAAGACCAAGGACACACTGACTAAGTCAAGGATAGGGTACTCTGTCATAGTGCAGTGAGGACTAAACCTCATCCAACGGGCCAACGAGTAGATGTTCCAAACAGGAGGAGGGTATGAAGAATGGAAAATTCCTGTATTATACTTGAGACTCTATGTAAAAATGCTCAGTCCTGGATCCCTTCTCTAGCTGAACTTCTCCCTGAATCCTTCCATCATTGCTGAATAAGAAAATTCCCTAGGGAGCTTTGAAACATGGATGTCCAGGCCCCATATCAGATCAATTAAATCAGAATTTCTGATAGTGGGACCTGGGGAAAAGGTCTCTTTTATTCAAGATTTCACCACATGATCCAATCTGCAGCCAGGATTGAGAACCACTGCCCAAGGTGATCTCAGTCTCATGCACTAAATACTACCTATTTATAGCAATGACTCCCCCTTTTCTGGTTGAGCCCTGACCTCTGTCTTGAGTTCCAGGTTTGTGTGTTCTACTGCCTACTTGACATCTACCCTGGGATGTCCCAAAGGCATCTTAAATGCAGTATATTCAAAACAGAATTTTTTATTCTCCCCTCCAAAAAAATCCTATTTCTCTCTAATAGTCCCCCATCTCAGTAAATGACACTAGCCACTCAGTTTCCTAAGCCAAAAGCCTAGACATTTTCCTTGATTTCTCCTTATCTCTCACTCTCCACATTCAATCCATTACCGAGTCCTGCCATTTCTTTCTGAATGCTATATCTCAAATCGATTCAGTTCTCTCCATTTCTACTGATATAACCTTGGCCTAAGACTCTAGCATTTCTCTCTGGGCAGCTGAAAATCTGTCTCCTTTTCAGTTTCCCATCTCAAGAGCTTTCCATATTCCTGAAGTGCTCTCCCCTGATTCCTTGTAGGGCCCACTCTTTCTTACCCCTTAGACCTCAGAATGAACACCACCTCCTATGAGAGGCCTTGTCTGCCTCCCATAACCAAAATAGGTTCCCACCCTCTTGAACACACCCTCTCTTTATTTTCTTTATGGCAGTCACCACAATCTATAATTATCTTGTGTATTTATTTTTGTCTCTCCTGTAAGACTGTAAGTCTCATGAGAATGAGCCCTCTGTCTTGTTTACAGCTATAATCTCACAACCTAGTTCAGTGCCTGCTACAGAGTGGGTGCTCAGTAAATATTTATGCAATAAGTGAATGAATGAATATTCTCCTCTTTTAGATAAATTCCTTGAGTGAAAGAAAATTTTCTGGTCCAGGACATCATATTATATATATCATATTCTTTCCCCAAAAAAGTTCTTCTTGTTTGACAATCTAGTGAATCTAGTGGGCAAAACCTTTCTCTAGAGATAAGCCCTTACTGGTGCTTCCTACAAAATTTTACTGAAGGACATTCATTTAAGTAAAAATTTGCTTTCTTTCTGGAAAACCCTATTCACTTTCACTGTAATTCTTAAGCATTGTTGAAAGTCACTGGGAATCAGAGAGATGAAAGGGCAATAGAAATCATTTAGACTCTAAAGTTTAGAGTAACATGCTTCTTTTATGGATGAGGACCCTGAGTCCCTGAGAGGGGACATGCCTTACCTAAAGTCATATAGTTAGTGGCAGGACCAGACTCAGTTTTCCTGATTGCTGGCCTGGGGCTGTTTTCTCTCCCATTGCCAACCAGCTTATTTCAGCTCATAATAGTTCAGCAGCAGTCATTCAGGGGAAATCATGATCAAAAATCAATTTAAAATTAAAAACAAAAAAGTGGTTTCCAGAAAAGATTTCTTTCAAAAAGTTGAGTGTGTTTAGCTGAATATGACTTTTGTTGCAATAAATTCAGGGGCACAAGAAGAAAGCATAATCAAAAGGTCACAGCATTCACACATCCTTAGAGCAAAGACAAATGAGAAACAGTTAAGTCCCTAAGCCATAGTCTAGCGAATCACCCCATTGTGCCCTACCCACAATGAAAGTTAGTAATACTACCATTATAACTTCTGCTTTCAAAAATCACACATCTGAAACTGGCACACGAAGACTCTGAAAATGTGGTCTGTGAACTATGAAAGTAAACTTGACTCTGTGTGATGTGACCCATTTTGCCCATTTTTATGAAAGTTGATTGAGAAACATTTAACAACTTCGGAGAGCTACGTGGCTCCCCAGCCAGAAACTTACATTCTCTGTATTATATCCACAACCTGATGCACTGCACCAGTCAGCGCACCCTGAAGAATGTCAAAATGCACTTACAAAAAACAAGGCACTTTTCATGAAGAGTGTGCCATGTGATGCCCAGTCTACCCTAATATGGCACAGCAGAATCATTTTGCTGATCACTAGGGCATGATGTTTGGCAGCTCATCTTTTTGGAGTAGTATTTTAACTTGATTTTAAAAATTCCCTAGGTATTTACCTGTATCCTAAGTATCATGAAAACATAATTTTTAAATAAAATAAAGTTTAAAAGAAGATCTGTAATAGAGCATCAATAAGGAAGCAGTACCATGTCCATATTTGGGTCAGTTAGTGCAGCTAATGTGTACTGGTTATCTACTACATGCAAGCCTCACTAGGTATTGTGAGGAGGAGAGGATAGAAAAATATATAAGATAATATCCTTGCCCTCAAGGAGTTCACAGTCTAGTGGGGAAGAAAGCAATTAAATATAACTGAAGAGAGGCTGTGGTGAGGGCAATCACTAAAATGCCATGATTGCGGATCAATTGAGAAAATCTGAATATGAACTGTTTTTAAATATTAAGGAAGTGGTACTTTCTGTGATTATGTAGAAAAATGTCCTTCTTATTCAGAAGGGCTAACATATAGTTAGGGGTTAAATATCATGGCAACCAGTATTTGCTTTACAATATTTGGGCAAAATAGTAGGTGAGGAAATATGCCAAAAAATAAATAAAAGGTGATGGGTAGATAGTATTGTATTCAATATAATCTTTATTTTTATGTTTGAAATTTTTCATAATAAAAAATTTAAAAAGTATTGAAGTATTATAGGAAGTGCAGGGGAGCAATTGATTTTGACTAAGGGGAAAGAGGAAACCTCACTGACAAAATCATGATGCCTGTCCTTGAAGGTTGACTAGGATTTTGATAAGCAGAGAAGAAACAAGGAAAGTTAGCTGGAAGAAAAATGATGAAAACCTGATAATAAATATCTTGTGAGATAAGATGATGCTAAATATGTGTATATATATATATATATATACACACACACACACACACACACACATACATATCCATGCACACATATATATACGCTTATCTATATATGTGTGTGATATCAATCTAAACAGACGCACACCATTCTTCAAACCACTTTATAACTCTAGTCTTACTACTATACATTAATTCTTCTAAGCTATGCAGTACCTATGGGAATCTGCCCTTTAAAGACAGCTCTCAGCCAGGCACAGTGGCTCACACCTGTAATCCCAACACTTTGGGAGGCCGAGGCGAGCAGATCACCTGAGGTCGGGAGTTCGAGACCAGCCTGACCAACATTGAGAAACCCCGTTTCTACTAAAAATATGAAATTAGCCAGGCGTGATGGCACATGCCTGTAATCCCAGCTACTCGGGAGGCTGAGGCAGGAGAATCGCTTGAACACAGGAGGCAGAGGTTGCGGTGAGCTGAGATCAAGCCACTGCAACAAGTGAGAAACTGGGCAACAAGTGCAAAACTCCGTCTCAAAAAAGAAAAAAAAAAAAAAAGAAAGAAAGAAAAGAAAGGAAAAAGACAGCTCTCTTAATGAATAAAACCATACTTTGGCAGTCCATGAGCCTCATCCACCATGCATTCAGACTTCACTGGAAGAGAGGGGTAACTGGGGAGACATGAGCTAATTTTGCTGTCACCAAGTATGTGATTGAATAAAGTCTGGTCCAATACTCTAGGGCTCAAGCCACAGGATGTAACAGTTTCAGAATGTTGTGACAATGATCCCTGGAGTAAAAAGGAAGAGAGGAGAGGACTTGCATCAGAATTACTATTTCTCAGAGAAAATTGGTTATATGTCCACAGAGCTGCTATTCCACAGCAGTTTTGGAAAAAAATAATGAGATCCTTCACTTCTAATCTATCCTAAAAGTGCTACATGAAGGAGTGTGTTTGTAGGGAAGCGTTAGGGAACAGGTTGACTAATTTTAAAGTCACGATTGCATTCCACATGTAATTGTTGCATTTCTACTTCTAAGGATGAGCCTTACTGTATCTTAGGGAGTTCAGTCGATGGTTTCCAGCAAAAGCAATAGCACAAGGAAGATTACCCAGACTCAAGTACATTCTTAGGAAAGCCACGCAAAGTTCTCATCCACATACTTTATTATAACTATTGAGGCTCTAAATTTAAAAACTTTGATTTTCTGCATTCCTACATACATGTAAAAATGAAGATACTACGGAGAAAAGTGAAAGTCTGCTCCTCTGTTTACGTTCAGATGACTACATTTCACTGGTGGTTTGTGAATGTCTAGGAATCAAAGACCTATACTCTTGTAATGTTTAATTAAGCCCTTTGCCCCTCCCTTCCTCCTCAAACCATCCCAACCAGCTTCTCTTCTGATTTCCTTATTTTCATCATCATCATTTTCTAGTCTCTCAGACTCAAAATCCAGCTTAGGCATATCTTTGTCACCTCCTTTCCTAGACCCCCATCATCCACTCCAGCCCATTTCTACAGTTTCTTCAGGAATGGGCCTCCACTAGAACCCTCCTAACCTCTGGCCTGTGGCTAATACAACAGAGTAGCAGCCTGGCATATTTGGAAGGGCACCAAAATGGAACCCTGTTGGTCTTAGCTTCCTCGTCTACCAAAAAATGAAGAGTTAGTTTCCATAATTTCTGAAATTCTTTCTGCCCCCAAATCCTAACATTCATGTCACTTACCTGCTCAAAACCTTTCAATTGTCTTCCATTGTCTATTGAATTAAATAGAGCCCCCTGAGCCCAGCAAATAAGGACCTGGAAAATATGGTCGCAATATGCGTTGTCACTCTCATTTCCAATGGCTACAACTGTACTGCTCCCAGCTTGTGCTCTACTCACACTGGTCTATCGACAGTCCAAATACACCCTGTGCCTTTGCTCAAGCTGTCCCCTCCACTTGGAACACCCTCTCCGCATCAACTCCGTTTGGCAAAATCCCTTCCAAGCTCAACTTGGTCATCACATTGTTCTGGTGTTTCCTGTCTCGAGAGCCTTGATGATCCCTCTGATTTATATCCCAGCAAGCTGACAGCAGCGACAACTATGTTTTGTCTACTACATGTGGTTATGCTTATGTGCAGTAGGCATCCAGTAAGCATTCACTTACTATGAATTGACATAAAATATTTATACAAAATTTCAAACCCTAATATTTTAGATTTTCCTAGACTTGACTGAGAGCCCCTTAAGGATGGGTGTCACATTTTATGTCTAGCACAAACTTGGAGCCTAGGTACAGAGAAGTCACACAACAAATGATTGCTGAATTAAAAAATAAGAACATGGATAAATTTAAAATTATCTGTACTTTTGTCCAGTAAAGACAAAGAAGACAGAAAAAAAAAAAGCTGGTTATTGGGAAACATTTCCCACAGTAAAATTGATGAGTCTATAATCTTTGCTGGGAAAGGCTGCTGCGTCATCTTTTTCCCTAAGAGTGCACTGTCTGATTCAGGTCAGAAACTATTTCTGGACTAGAATAATGAAATGGGCTAAGAAACTGTCTTCATGTTTAAGGCCTCTAGCCCTTTGAGCCGCTGGAAATTAATAGCCATGCAATATGATACAGGATAGCTCGTGAGTAGAGACAGCCCTAGAACAATGTTAGTGTGTGGCTTCAGACACAGGACCACAGATCATAAACAAATCTGCTTCCAGAAGATTCTTCTCTGATGGCATTTCAAAAATGAGCTAACAGAGCTTCTCTCTAAGGGCCCTTCTTAATACATAAACCAATTTCTAAAGGAAAAAAATCATAATCACTACCACATATCTTCAAGAGTCCCCTTTCAGCTCTTAAACAGAGTCAGGCACGTAAGATTCGGCGTTTATCAAGAGAGAAGAGAGGAAGAACAATTTCACCCAAGACAGGTCTAAAGCCTTTCCAGTCTCTTGGGTGAAACATAATTATGGGAAGAAAAATATAATCTACTCAAGAGACATAATTACATGGTTAAACCATAGACTCCATAGAAATATTCTAGGGACTCCATTTCATAGAAAAAATGTTAAAAGCTGAGTTTGATTTCTTTTAATACTAAAAGGCACCCATTTAGACCAGTGACATAAAGTTCACTATCTCAATCTCATATGTAGTCATATTTAAATACAATTAGATGTGTGTGAGAGAGAAGTGAAGGCCTGCTCCTTTCAAAATTTAGGCTTCTAAGGATTGAAGAATTCGAGATCTTTGAATAAATTCATAAATAAATAAAAGAATTGTACAATGTTAATTTGAATGTCTATAAATGCAAGTTCCTTTATAACTTTTAGGTTTTAGGCTGTGGCGAATCACAACAATCAAAGCATACAGTGTCTGGGAGAAAGGACAGTTATCAGGCTACGCCAATATCAGTCAAACTTCAGGAAATAAATTATAATAAACACGTGCTTACAGTATAATCCCTTTTCTTCAGATAATGGACTAAAAAAACTTGAGACGTCTGAAGAAAAAGAAACTTCATAGGAGGTAGGAAGCAAAAAAGGATTAAAAAATTTTTTAAAAAGATTGGATGAAAGCATCATGGAAATATACAAGATGAGAAGTAATACTTTTTGCAGGCAGGAAAAAAAGAGCTAACCGGGAATCCGGCTAACTTCGCCGTAGCTCCTCTCCCATGTCCTAATACACCTCTAACCTACTATGCTTCTTTATTACAACTCTACTGGTATTTTCTCATTTCAGACCTACTACTCAAATTTGTCTGCCTGTTGTTTCCAAGGGATGCTTCCATCCCTCCTTACTCCAATTCAAAGTAAAATTATATGAATTAGGATTTTTCAGAGTTGTAAGAGAATATAGATTTCATCAGACTGGGTTCTTCATTTTAGAGAAATAATTAATGCCCAGAAAAATACTGAGACTAGCTTTAAAGTCATGGAACTAGGCAGTGACACTGGGAGGCAGTCCCCTAAACTGCCTGAGCCTCCTTTTTCCTATACCAGGCTGCCACTGAGGGAAAGAAGAAAACGTGGAGCAAAGAGACCAGAAGGAGACATTAAGAAAAAGTGCAGAAGCTTACTTCAAAGATGTTATTACATTATGCCCAGTCTCTCTGACTCCGTTTTATCACTTGTTCTCCTACTAATTACAACTGAACATTCACACCATCCTGGACCATGTGAATCTTTATCTCTCCCTTGACTTTATGGGAAATGAACAAAAAAACTCTTTCTCTATGTCTACACTTTACTTCCAAAACTTAGTAAAACTTGAGTGTTTTAGTTCCAAAAACATTTTCTTTGCCTTCTTTTTCTGTAACATGTTCACACATACCACAGTTCTTTGTGTTTCGAGCACTTATAGAGACCCCACTGAGAGATGCAAAGATTTTTTTAGCGGTAACATTTTTAGCAATGGAAATAGCAGTTTTCGTAGTTGAACAAAAAGCATCACTGTTTATTTGCCAATCCAGCTAAACATGGATGGCATTATTCTTCAAAGAGTGCAGTGACAACTAGCCTACAAACAGACTGTCACGCAATTCCTGGATCCTGGCTCAATTTCCTTAGCATGCGATCCTTTCTATTTCTCTTTCATTATTAAGGTTTTGTGCATATTTTATGTGAGACAGAGAGTGAGACAGAGACAGAGACAGAGAAACAGAGAGACAGAGTGTTTTAAGCAAAAAGAAACACTACACAGATGTAATTAAAAAGGCAAAGGGCTCCTCTCTTGACATTCACTGCTGCAGCAGCAGAACATCATTCTCAATTTTCTCATTTCTGTAACAGGAAGAAAATGTTAAAAAGTAATAACCAAAGAAAAAGTCAGCCAACTCCCACAGCCTGGTCTTGCTGTGCTGAATGGCAGAGAAGATCACAGAGGAAGAAAAAAGAAAAAGACAGAAAAAAGGAGGCGGAGAATTTCTTGCTTAAACTGGACCTAGTCCAGCTGGCAAGAAGAGGTGGTTTTCTTAACGCCTGCAAAACCTGATTACTTTTTTTAAAGGAATGAAGAAGAAGGAGATGTAAACACAGCCATTAAAACAGATTTAAGGTACTTAGTTTTAATCTAGTCTAAGACCTTTTCAATTGTATGCTGCTCTGCAATTCTCTGCTTGCTAGACATTAATACAGTGCATAGGCACATGTCAGTGTCTTCTAACCAGTGAACGCTTTCAGCTGAGCTCTGTGGTTACCCTCTCAGGTCAGGCATGGAAGGAACAGCAGCTTAAGCAATAATGGATGCATGTCTGTTACGTGCTATGTCTGTCAGAAGTCTGTTTTACGACATTAAAGGACTATTGTGTTTATATCTACACAACAGGTCTTAAACAGATTGTTTAAACATGATTAAACAAGAGACGTCTTTGAAATAACCCCCCTAATAAAATTCAGATGGGTAAAGAACTGAAAAATGCAGTCAACAATATTTTGAAAAATCATTTCTCTCTAAGCTGCAAGAGTAACATGATATAAACTCCAAAATAAAACTGTTTTTACAAGTTAAACTCAAAGGATTACCTCATATATCAGCACCGCTTTCCAATGGAATAGCGTTTATCCACCTATCCATCCACTCTTTCTTAATGCTGTTGCACAAGTTGCTAGTCTTGATAGACAGATAATTGCTTTATTCAGCCAGGTGTAATGAAGGGGAGTCTATTGTGTTAATCCCAGTATTCTTATCTTCTGTGAACTCTGAATAAGGAACTGAAAACTCTACCTCTTCATTTCAGAACTACTGGAGTTTACTCACATTCAAATCTGTTAAAGTGTTCTTACATGCCACTCTGTCACTAAAGGTGCCAAGTATTTTGAGTAGGATCAAGTTATCGTTATATAAAAAGGAATCAAATGTAGTGTTAAATGGAGTTAGAAGATAGCAAGTTTTACTCTTCTTTTCAAGGCACAACAGATTTTTTTAAAGTGTATTATTCTCAAGCCAAAGGAAGCAGGTTGGTGTGGGTTAATATTAAAAAACATCCTTCGAGCGATTACATTTAAAACCTTTTTTTGTTTTTCAAAAGCAAGTGTAGTGTTAAGTTTTGTGGATATCTGCCTGCTGGCTTCATGCTGAATTATTTAATCAATAATGACAGTTTGGCAAAATGTTTTTCTTTGGTCCATATGAAATATATTCCCTTTTCCACATATACGTACATATATGTGGTTATAAATTTATATTATCTCTATTATATGCATACCTATGTGTACAGAGAGGAATAATCCAGCCAGAGGAACAGCGTTACTACTAACATTAGTTCCATGTCTCTATCCAGGTAATTAGGGATACCGTCCTCTCAAGGCCCCACATGCTTTATACTCTGCCCCATGACATCACAAACACTTCTGATCACAAGCATACCTTTCTTTGCAATAGAAACGTACCTTTCTTTGCAATAGGAAGTTCTCATCCTTCAGCCTAATTAGATGCCTTCATTTTAGTTCAAAATGATACATACCGAAGAACCTATGAAGCTCACTGGAAAAGAAGTAATGCAATCTGGAAGAATGGGATAATCCCTGAAAGAATATTATCATTTAATTCTTTCTCTTCTGGGTCCTATCTCTTTCATGGACCTTTCATTGAGAATGTTCTCAGGAATGGCATTCTTTCTGCTCAGAGGATGGGCTCTTCTCAAGATTTAACTTGCCTAATGTCTCAACAAATCCTACTAACAACCCTTGCAATTCAACACAGAAAGTCTGTCCTATTGCGTGCACCTTAATCTCAGCTACTCTGGAGGCTGAGGCAGGAGAACAGCTTGAACCCAGGAGGTGGAGGTTGCAGTGAGCCGAGATGGTGCCACTGCACTCCAGCCTGGGCGACAGAGAGACTCCATCTTAAAATAAAAAGAAAAGAAAAGAAAAGAAAAAAAAAGTCTGTCCTATGGAATTGATGACTGCCCAAAATGCAGTATGAAAGAGAACATGTGACTGAAAGGAGACATGGGTTCTGCTACTAATAGCAAGTGTGAACTTCTCAGGTACAGAATTTTCTCATCTGTAAAATAACAGGTGACCTAATTTGCAATCCTAAGAATCAATAAAGCTATGGATTCCTCACCTGTCACTATGAGTTCCACAAATACACACACACACACACACACACACATTTACACACAATTAGTGAACTTAATGGAATAGTTAAAAGACCAAGGCAGTGTCTGATTAAAAAGGAGAATCTCATTTCTAATTCTGGGCCTGACTATACAAGGAGCAGGAAAACTTGGGAGTCTATTCCTAGCTCTGCTACTAAGTTAGTTGTGAGGCTGTAGGCAAATATCTATCATCTCTATGATTCAATTTCCTCCTATGACTCAACTTCCTCATCTGTCAGAAAAAAACAAAGTATCTACAACACAGGGATGTCGTCAGGACAAAATGTAATAAGAGGTGAAAATGTCCTACACAGGTAAAACCACTATGCAAATGTAATCTTCACTTATCAATTAAAATATCCTAAGCATTATTATGTTTCATGAACTATGCTAAACTAGGGTGCTCACGGTATACTGGAGGCATCATAAAAACAAATAATTACAGCAGTGTGATAAATAATATAATTAAAGTATGAAAAGGAAACCAAAGAGGAGCCAAAGATTAAATACTTGACTTTCAAGAGCAGTCAGGAAGGGCTCCCAGAGGAGACAGCGTTTGAGTAGACTTAAAGAATGAGTAGAATTTAGTCAAGCAAATGCAGAAGAAGATAACATTCCAACCAGAAGGAACAGCAGGTGCAAAGACACCGAGATGAGAAAGTATAGAGTGAAGCAATTTGGCATCGCTGGAGCTCAGCCACAGGTGTGTGGGTGGAAGGCAGTTGGGCAGAGCAGATGCTGAAGGGCCTTGTCAGTGTGCCACCAAGTCTGAACTTCATCCTGCAAATAACAGGGAGACACTGAAGTATTTTAAGCAAGGGTGTGCCATGCATTGGTTTACAGTTTAGGAAGATTGCTTTACTTACAGGGGAAGATAGATTTAGAAGGGAGTGCAGTTAGAGACATAAAACCAGTTAGGAAATTGTTTTTACGTTATAAGTCAGAAGATAAACACTGAGAGAGTATACTAAGCTAAATCAGCACTAAAAGATTTGAGGGAGTGAATGTGAGACATAGAATAGAGGTACAGACAACAGTACAGTGGAATAATTAGATGTCAGAAGTAAGGCAGAGAAGGTGAGTCTCAGGTTTCTGGTTTGGTCACCTGGGTGAACTGTAGGGCACTCAAAACTGGTAAAACTGGAGGAGGTTCATGTTTGGGCAGAGAAGTTTGGTTGAAGTAGAGGTGGGGAATCCCTAACGCTGTGTTGGCCATGAGTTTGAAGTACCCATGGGACATATTCAGGTGCAGACACCCAGGAAGCAACCTAGAAATACCAGTCTGAAGTTCAGAAGAGACTGAAGATGCATTTTCAGTGGTCATGGGAACACGAAGTTAATAGTGTCAATGAGGACACTCAGGGAATGGGTACAGAACGAGTGGAGAAAAGTGTCTAAAAGGGAACCCTGAGAAGCAAACACTCCTAGGGTGGCTAGGCAAGGAAGAGGAACACAAAAAGTGATCTAGGAAAGAGAAAGATGAGGAGCCAGTGGCGGAGACAACCCATGCAGTGGCCACTGAAACGGTTCTGAATCTGCTCTTCTGCTGCTTCAGGGACCCAGGGGAGCTTAGCAAGAGAACCTTTGTCTGTGTCCAGGCAAGGGACACAAAGTTAGGTCACAATGGTAAAAAGGATAACTCTCCTTCATTCATTCCATACCCATTCCTCATGCAGCCTCATCAATCCCAATGGCTTCAAGTTCCTATGACTATGGAAAATGCATTTCCAGTTTCTACCAAGCTTCAGATTCATATTTCTAAATGCTTCCTGTACATCCTTGCATAAGAATACCTCTAATGATATTCATTATTTAAAGGGAAAGATAGATTTAGAAGGGAAAAATGTCTAAATACTATTAGAGGTATTCTTATACAAAGATGTATTATTTTCTAATATTTCAAAATGGAGCCCTAGACTGGTCTATAATTTTATATACCAGGTCGCAGTATAAACTTTTATTTCTTAACACTAATTTGAAAAGAAATGCATGCACAGTGTCTTCTGAGTTCAATCTTAGTCATGTTATTTTAAACAAATGGGAGAATTTTTTACCCAGTCTAAAAGCCCTCCCAACTGCATGACAATCAGCCCTTTCTGGGCCAAGTCACAAGTCAGACAATGGCTCTGTATGTGTCACTTGCACAGGCCAGAGAGTAGGCAAAATTTGTTCTCGTCCAAATATTATATAGGGAAAGCCAACATCAGAGTCAGCATCAAAGATGAGGGAAATCAAAAGAAAACATGAAGCAACAACAAAAATCTCCAAAATTAACCATCCTCCCCAGCCTATCTTCTGAGCAAGGTCCTTCCTCCCCAAAGGCTCCTTGAATCTCATGGGGCAGTATAGCTGACCACTTATCCTACCATTTGCCACTCCAGTAAGCTTAGGAGAAATATGGAAACAAAATAAAACAGACTCACTCCCTCTTTTCCATCCCATTTCTGCATTCTCATTTCTGTTGTCTATCAGAAAGTAACAAACCCTGAGCAACGTATAGTGGAATGGAAGAACAGAATCCATCTGTTATGGATGGAGAAATGGCAGGGATCCAATGCAACTAGTACAAATGATATCATTTATAGAGCTGCAAACTTAACTAATAAACACATATAAAAGGGCTTGAGAAAGAAAGTCTGAGCCACCAAGTTGGCCTGAAGATTTTTGGACCTCTTACTTTTCCCTATAAAAAACAGAACACCAGAGGTTGCTAAAATCTAGAACAATTTAGAATGTCCCTTGAAAAAACATGATTATCATCGTTTTGTAATGGGCTTATTTTCTAGTATTTCAAGATCAGGCCCTAGGGCTATAATTTTATGTACCAGTTCACCGTATAAATTGTTATTCCTTAACACTAATCTGAAAACAAACTTCAATATGTATTTAAAAGACTAATTCAGATACCTGATCTACTTTGTTCAACTGAATCATATCAGTTGAATATCTAGAATGTGCAAAACGTTATCATATTGTAGTGGTACAGCTCTAGTAGGGGAGATCAATAAATACAGAACTAAAAAATGACAGAATTGTTAAAATACTAGAGAAAGTGGCATTTAAAATTAGCTCTGAATGTTGAATAGGCCCTAGATTAATAGAGCAGATCACCACTGAGGTGGAAGGAACCACCTAAGCTAAAGCACTAAGGCATGTGATATTATATCTCCATGCCATACCTTCCATCAGTATACCTGCACATGGAGCCAGGGATAAGACAGTGAAAGACATATAGTGTTAGTCTCCTAAAAGTCATCATCTATCTACCTAGAATTTTATAACCAAGAATTTCTGCCAATAAGTCTAATTTCTAATCTTCAAGATTCAGCTCAAACGCCTTGACTTCAATAAAACCTCCCCTCCACCCTCAAATAGAAGTAAAAATGTTTCTGAACTTCCATGTCACTCCAGTTGCCACTTTCTTATGCCCTTTCTCATGTTCTATCACTTTCTGTCACATAATCATAGTTATTAATACCCATGTCTTATCTCCTAAAACAGATTAAGCTTCTTTTTTTTTTTTTTTTTTAAGATGGAGTCTTACTCTGTCGCCCAGGCTGGAGTGCAGTGGTGCAATCTTGGCTCATTGCAGCCTCCACCTCCCAGGTTCAAGCGACTCTCCTGCCTCAGCCTCCTCAGTAGCTGGGATTACAGGCACGTGCCACCACACCCGGAGATTAAGCTTCTTTCTAGCCCATGTGATGGGCCAGAGATGGGTCAGAACTCAGTCATCATCTCTGAATTCCCACAGCCCTTTCTTAAAGTGCCTATGGTAGGTACCCAGTAAGTGTTTGTTGAATAAATAAATTATTGAATTCAGAGTGTGATTCAGTGACCAAAGGTTCTATGTGCTAGCAACCATTCTACTTAATAAAAGCAGCTCTCACTACAAAAACAAATAAGGCAATAGAAAAAGCCATCTCAACCATTCACAGTCATAGATTATTTTGCCTTCTTCCTCTAGGATAAGAAATGAAAAGCTGGACTCAACATCTATTAAGTACTCCCCGAGAGTCTGATGCTCAAAGGGACATTTCAACTCCCCAGCATTACCAACAGCCAGACTAAACTCTACAGACTCTGATAAGATCCCAGGCTTATTAACAGATGTGAACAAACATCGATGGTTTGTTTATATTTCTTCTACAGCAAAGACTAACCAGGAAGACTGCCCACTCCTCTCAAAAAAAAAGATAAAATCCACAATGATTTCTCACAATGCACACATTGTATTGTCTACTGAAATACACACACACACACACACACACACACACACACATATATAAAACATAAAAATATGGTGGCCATTGTTTAATATCTTTTCCTAACTTAGTTTATTCCCAAATATTCCCTAGCCATTATACAAACTAAACTTTTATTCACTTTACCTTTTACTCTACTATACCTATCTCTAGGGCACAATAGCACTGTGACAAATTAGTTCAGAGAAAGTTTTATAGCCCCTGATGCTGGGCAAAGGGAAAAAAAAAAAAAGAAAACAGAAAAGCCAACTAAATCTGCACTAAGGGTTTGGACAGACAGAATGCAATTAACCTGACCTTAAGATGTGTTTTCAGGGTTGACAAATCATATTTCACTGGATTAAGGGCAATTTTTCTTTTCTTTTAAAGACAAAATCATTTGGCGCAGATAATAATTCAGACATTTACACCTGAAGTGGCGGTGCTGCGGCAGCTGAGCCTGCTTCTTTCCAGGACCTGGTGACCATGGTGGCATTTGTGAAAACGGAAAGAAAACATCTAACTTTCACAACTATGACCGAGGAAGAAAACTTGACATTCATTCCCACATATGTGACTCCTTTCAAGAACTCCTGACTCAAAATTTCAGAGGGAAGTGGCCCTGTAATAACATCTCTTCTGAGAATAGTGCCATATGGTTTTAACAGAGGTTTATTTCCTGAACCCAAAGAGGGCTGCTGATTCTCAATCCAACGAAAATAATTATGCAGACAATTTCACTCTATTACTTTCAGTGAAACCCATTCTGTGTGGTCCACACATGCCTGCTGACACCTTCAAAGAGACATTAAGCCATTTTTATGTACCATACCCTTAATGGGTGGAATGTAAGGTAAATTTCCTTGAAGATTAGCACCTGTCGTCAAGCATAAGGCAACACCGCCGCCACCGCTCCCCCACCTTTGAGTACCACATGTTAATTCTCAGAGTGGGTCAAAGAAAAGGAGAGAGATGTGTCCATCTTCCAAGTTAAGTAACAACTTATTATCAGTTAGATATTAAGGCAAACATACACACAAACACACATACACGCGCACATACACACGAACTGGAAATACTACATCTCCCAAAGTCAACAGCACTGCTGGGAAATTACTTCAGACACAATTGGCAGGTGGGAGGAATGGGGGAGGGTGGAGCTGGGGGGTGTGGGGAACCACTCCCTTGTGTAAATTCTAGCAACATTCAACTGCTAACCTTAAAATAATCAAGAGAATAGGAAAATAAAATCCCTTCAGCGCAAAGGCTGAACAACACAAATGCTGTATAAATAAAGATTTAAACCAAGGAATACAACTATTAAATAGTTCTTTCAAAGAAGACCACCCTTTAAGCCTAAGAATATTCCCTTAAGAACAAAATATGCTAACTCACACCAGGTTGCCCCTGAATCTCAATTTTATTACACTAGCTGGGTATGAAATGAACTGGTTCTCCCTTTCAGACGACTAAAGATTATTGAGCTTGAAAATGAACTGGTGAAAACAGGCTTTTATTTTGCCAACATACTTGGCCCATTGCAGAAAGATACCCTTTTCCTCCCATAAGATCTTTGCTTTCTAATACCCACCCACCTCTCTTTGAATCAATACAGAAACAAGCAAAAAAAATTACAGTTTCTCTAGATGTCCACGGGTGTTTCACTAAATCGAACCAAAATCACGAATACTCTTTAAAAGAGAGAGACAGAGACAAAGACTATAAGGAAAGCAGTGTCCAGGCCACAGGGTCAGAGCAGGAACCAGATACAAGCCAGCACAGTATTAACCACAAGGCAGGCCCAAAGGCTGCTCCGGGACTGTTTTCTTTAGACTGCCTAAAAGTCCTGCCAAGAAACAGACGGATGCTGCTGAAAGAATATCTTCCACAGCTGGGCATCTGGGTTCAGTGACAGACAGCCCCGCTCCTGTGTGTGTGGCCTGCAGAACATATCGAAAGCCTAGGAGGGAATATTTGGCAGAATGGGAGAAAACCTAAGGATGTTCTTTCTGGGGGAGAGGGGAATGTAATTCCAACATCATATACATCTGACTGAAACTTTGCCTTTGTTCCTGACACCCAGACTTAAATTTTGTTTCTCACTTTTGCTATCCGTTTCTGATGTCTGCTTACTTATTGGGTAGAGAAAGCCCTCTGCTCACTTTCCTTTCCAGTAATACCTTTACATCTAGTTTTTGCACCAGGCAGCACTAAGGCTATTTTGTTTTTAACAATCCAGGGGACTATTTAGATAAAAAATAAACTAAAAATCTTGAAATTTCTTAAAAACAGAAACAATTAAAAAATGGCCTAGTCGTGCATGAGAATTACTATCAAACAAGCTTCAGTTAATTTTCTTAAATTAAAAAAAAGAAGAACCAAGAACCCACTTACCTTCATTCATCAGATTTATTTTCTTAAAGCATAAGCAGTATCAAAGTTTAACTTTAATAGTATACTGGTTAAAACAGTAAAACAAAAACAGGGCTCTATCAAAGAAAAAAGACCAGCCTCTACTATATGCCCTTCAAAGGAAAAACTCAGCGCTTAATAGAGAAAAGGAAGGTAAATCTGAGAAATTAACCATTAATAGACAATACCTAACTTCCGATTTTGATGGAATAATAGGACACTGTCTTCATGATTATCCTATTTAAATAGCTTTGAAAATGTTGGCCGGGCAGCGGTGGCTCACGCCTGTAATCCCAGCACTTTGGGAGGCCGAGGAGGACGAGGTCAGGAGATCAAGACCATCCTGGCTAACAAGGTGAAACCCCATCTCTATTAAAAATACAAAAAATTAGCTGGGCGTGGTGGTGGGCGCCTGTAGTCCCAGCTGCTGGGGAGGCTGAGGCAGGAGAATGGCATGAACCTGGGAGGCGGAGCTTGCAGTGAGCCGAGATCGCGCCACCACACTCCAGCCTGGGCGACACAGCGAGACTCCATCTCAAAAAAAAAAAAAAAGAAAGAAAGAAAATGTCTGGGGCGAGGGATGTAGGTACCACTTGAGTTCTACATGCACAGGAAAAAATATGCACAAAACACCCTGCTTTTCAGGAACTTAGAAAGAGGATGATTCCCTGACTTATATCCATAAATATCTCCCAAACGCTAGCACTTTGTTAGGAAGTCATACACACTCCTTACAACCAGGAACTTATTTGTTCTGGACCTACTTTTTAATGTAACAAATCTGGTGACATCAATGAGTGGAAATCACTTTATCAAATTTAAAAGTTGAGGCACCTTTGCTAAAAAGAATGGGAAAAAATGCAGTAGTAATTTTCCACCCCCATTCCCAACCCCCAAGTGTCCACGTCCCAAGATGGCTCCTGGGTTGGCTTTCTATCATCTTGGCTCTAACTAGCAAAACTGAAAAGCTATACCGTTATTATTCCCACAATGCCATTATTATGTAAGCTTTTGTCAAATCTCAAATTTGGGGCCTTGAATCCACAAAGTCTAAGCCAATTTCTCTGGGACAGAGTGGTAGAGGAAATGGGTTAAAATGAATCAGTTTAATTTCTATGGAAACTTTTTTGCCCTCACAAAAGCCACAGGACTCGCCAGAGTCTTGAGCTAACAAGTATAAGAGCTACAAGAGTTTGAGGCATGTCTTCAGAGAAATATATTACAAGGGGAAACAGGCCTGTTAGTGAGACATTTTAATGCCCAATCATGGTGCTACAAAAAGGCACAGTTTCTGAGTCCCAAGGGAAAACCTCATAGAGACCAGGAGAAGTATTTCCGGTACCAAAGAAAGGACAATCTGATCAAAAGACAATCTTGGACTCACATGGAGGCCAGGTTGCTTTTTCTGAGTATCAGGGTCCACAGTGATCTCATCCCCCAAATCTGTGGTACTCTTGTCTGTATCACTCATGTGACATTTATCATACACTTCTTTGTAATCTCCTCTGGCAGATGCTTAACTTCCCAGTTCTACGTAAAATCCTTGAAGGCAGAGTACATCTTTATACTCCATTGTGTCTCTCAAACTACAAGAAGAGCTGGTTTTTAATTGACTGATTCAACCCAAGTCTGGCATTTTTCTATCAAGCTGGGCTCTGGGCGAGGCTCAAATGCATCTGAGGCAAGAGATGGAAAGAAAGTAATGAAAATTAATCATGTCATTTGGCCATATCATTTTCTTGGATCACTTTACATGGTCTCTACATTCAAAGACAAATACTTCCTACTTCAGAAAAAATTATAAACAAAGAGCTGTTAAGTTTCTTCTTGTAAATAGTAACGAACTTTTGTTGATTAGCACCTATGGTTCGACTAATTATTTAATAAATGAAAACACAACCATGAAAACTACACATTGCCAGAGTACTGCAGTTGGATTGGCAGAAAAAATATCTACTTTTCCAGTGGCGATAGTGTGTGCAGTAGCTTAAATGTGTTTTTCATTGTCAAAGGGGTCTGATTTCTTTCATATGGATATTGTTAGGAGGCTGAGGGTTCGTGACGGAGTTAAGATGACAGAAAATGAAGCCATGGCAGGAAAGACTGCACAAATGCTTGATGCTCCTCTAGTTAGAGATGAAAGGTGGGTGGAGTGAGCACTGGGCTTTCCTAGCTCATGTCATTGGAGAGGGATACTCAAAAAAGTTGAAAGCTTTCAGTTCTTGGAAATCTCGCTTACTCTTTAGACTCTATGTGTTAGAAGGAGATCTTGAGGGAATTACCCATAGTGGTTTTGAGGTTTTTGAATAAAGGGAGAAAACAGGGAAATTGTACAGGCATCCCAATTGACTTCACAAGTTGATTTGATCTGTACATTTCAGAATTGAATGAAAAAGAAGCACTTTCTCCGTATTTTCTCTACAGTGTTTGAATGCTGGTTCTTG
Source organism: Homo sapiens (assembly GCF_000001405.40). Lineage (NCBI taxonomy): Eukaryota > Metazoa > Chordata > Mammalia > Primates > Hominidae > Homo > Homo sapiens. The sequence goes on along the minus strand of NC_000006.12, from coordinate 45,469,555 downwards.
CTATGTGTAGAGAATGATCTTATCTTTAATAATAATTCCAGTGGACACATATTCATAAGTATGTGTACAGACCAAACCATAGGCCTATAGGCTATGTGCTTTTCTGATATTATTTTGTACTATTAGAAGTTTATGACATGAGGATAAAATGTAAATGTTATAAAAACAAAAGTAAGTTTTAAATGTTAAAATAAAAACCAACCTTTTCTTTTTTCTTTACAAATATTCTTTTAAAATTAACCATTCATTTACCCGATAAACATTCACTGGGCACCTACTATGTGCAAGACACTTTGCTATTAATAGAAACACTGGGGAATATAACCTCTTATAACATGTAAATAACATAAAGGGTCTATATCCCCAAGGACCTTACAAGCTGGTAGGTAATAGCTGTACACAAATAACTAACATGAAGCAGTATGTTTTAAGAATTCTAAGTGCCACATCTGGATGCTGCAAAATTTTAGACTGAAGGAAAATTTAATGGGGTGTATGCCATTCAAGCTAAAGAGATAAAATTTCAAAAGGCAGAAATGAAAGAAATATATTCAAATCAAAAGGTGCCACATGAAAAGAGATGTGCAATTGGGAAAAGGCAAGGCATGTTCACCAACAGTGAGAGCAGTTTGGCTAAAGCAGTGGTTCTCAGCTCAGGTAGTACAAACTCCTTGGGAGTTTGGGAAATATGTGGAGGCAGTTTTGATTGTTACATGATTGGGGGTGTGCAGCTGTAATCTGGTGGGCATAGGCTAATGATGCCAGTTGTCCTGCAATGGGACAGTCCTACAGAATGAAAAGTTTTTCCACATTCCTCATGACTTTTGGGACATACACCAGACATTCAAGTAGGTGAAAAAAAATCTGGTTATAATTACCTGAGCCTAGAACCTAGTTCTACTTAAATATAAAGGGATTTTTTTCCCTAAAGTTTTAACACATTGGGTTTTCTAGGAATAAAACCATCTAGAAACCAAAGACAAAGCATATTTTGTTTCATTAGGAGCTTCAACAAGAGTTGCTCTACATTTCAGAAAATCTTCGCTAACAGTAACATCATTCTTAGTGTTTGAGTTACTAATATGCACCTGCATCAATCTTGATTTGTAGCTGTCATATTCAAGGTGGTTTTACACATGTTCAAGAAGCTGGCTAGTTCATTGTGTTTTCTAGCATGTTCTCTAAGTATTTAGATATTAAAATATATGAATATAATTTTGTTTTAAATTAGGTTCCTTTATTTTTCTTTTATACTATGGTAATGGCATCAGAGTGATCTTTCAGAAATTGTGTGGATATATTTAGAAAATCTACAGATTTCATTGAGGATAGTAAAGAGAGATTATTGAGTATTCGTTACAAAAAGGAGGTGTTGGCCCTAATACATTTGAGAAGTACGGGGCTAAAATGTGTGTAAGAAAGTGACTGCAGTTGTAATGATAAGACTGGGCTAAGTTATTCTGGGCATAGGGAAACAGCCTGAGAAGCCTGTACTTGGTTGAGTAGCATGTGGGGCACCACAGAGAGTTTCACAACATGAAGGCCTCAGGTTGACATGATCAAAGCTGAGATCGAGGAAAACTGAGTTACAGCACTGCATGAAAAGAACTTTAAGGAGAAAGAGGCTGGTAGCTAGAAGAATAATTGGTAATCACTACAATTCCCTATATTAAGGTAAGGAAAGGTTAGTTTTTACAGAGATATATTATTTAAAGATCAAAAGGATTTTGTGGCATTAGTTTTAGGCATAAGGGAGATGGGACATTGAAGACGGCTAGAATGAAAGATAAAGATTTGGGAGTTGTTCATTAAGTCAAGGTGACTGCTCACATGATAGTGTCTTTGATGAGCAAGCAAGGAAACAGGAAGAAAGGAAAGCCAAGTCAGAACTTTTGGCAATGTCCATTTGTCCACTTGTAGGAGGTAGATGAGTGGCTGGGGGCGGTGGGGGTGGCGGTTCTAAAAGATAAAGCAGGCCTGGTGCAGTGTTTCATGCCTATAATCCCAACACTTTGGGAGGCCGAAGCAGGTGGATCACTTGAGGTCAGGAGTTCGAGACCAGCCTGGCCAACATAGTGAAACCCCACCTCTACTAAAAATACACAAATTAGCCAGGTGTGGTGGTGTGCGTCTGTAGTCCCAGTTACTTGGGAGGCTGAGGTAGGTGAATCGCTTGAACCCGGGAGGCAGAGGTTGCAGTCAGCTGAGATCACGCCACTGCACTCCAGCCTGAGCGACAGAGGGAGACTTCGTCTCAAAAAATAAAAGTAAATAAATAAATAAATAAAAGATAAAGCAAAAGAGAAAGAGGACCAGTCATACAGGCAGGAGAAAATTAGAATATGATATGGAAGAGACCAAGGATGGAGGCAGAAGGGGTCACCAACAGGATTATACCTGCAAAGAGGCCAAGGATCATGAGGACTGAAAGTCGGCCAGAGTAAGGCATGGACCATGGCTAAGCAACCTTCAAGACAACAGTCAAGCCGTGGGAGCAGAAGCCAGACTGCAGGAGGCTCAGCGTGAGTAGGCAATGAGGAAATGAAGGCGACAAGTCTAAGTGACTCTTTCCAGAAGTTTGGTGGTTAGGAGCAAGAAAAATAAAATATCATCTCAAAAGAGTAAGAAAGGAAAGGGATGTTTTAGCACAATCTGACCAAATAAATATTAAAGCATTGCAGGAATTGTTTGTCAGTTTCTTATCTGTCGAATAAATGAACTGAATCAAAGCAGCCTTTGTTACAACTCTAAGGTTCTATGATGAGCTACTCAGGCATACAAATTACACTGGTTAAGAAATGAAGCATTCCTAACAAAAATCTGTTTAATGGAAATAGGATTTATCTCTCCAGGAGACAGAAAGAGGGGAAAAGATAAATTACGTACTCCTACTGGAATCCTACTAAAAACTACACAGCATTAGAATACTGGAAGGTCTCTCACCAAGGCCACCTGTGAAGAGATGTCAATGCCATCCTGGCCACCCTTCTTGGAGACCTGAAAGATCATCACACAACCAGACTGGGAGCTGTATTGTAGCCTGGCAAGGGCTCAGGCTTGGATGTTGATGCTGGATTCCAGTCCTGACTCTGCAGGTCACTGGGTTTGAGGACTTGGGCACACTACCTAACTTCTCCCCATTTTTTTCTTCACATTTAAATTGAAATCACACTAGTACCTCAGAGGGTTATCGTAAATACTTTATAATATTAGTTATTATTTTTAGTTTTCTTTTTTTTTTTAAGACGGAGTTTCACTCTTGTTGCCCAGGCTGGAGTGCAATGGCGGGATCTCGGCTCACTGCAACCTCAGCCTCCCTGGTTCAAGCGATTCTCCTGCCTCAGCCTCCTGAGTAGCTAGGATTACAGGCGCCCACCACACTCGGCTAATTTTTTTGTATTTTTAGTAGAGATAGGATTTCACCATGTTGGCCAGGTTGGTCTCGAACTCCCCGCCTCAAGTGATCCGCCCGCCTCGGCTTCCCAAAGTGCTGGGATTACAGGCATGAGCCACTGCACTCGGCCTATTTTTAGTTTTCTTAACATCTCAAGATTAGAGCTACTGCTGCAATTTAGCAGGCATGGAACTAAGGCATAGAAAAAAGAAGTAGGGCGGGGTACAGTCGCTCACGCCTATAATCCCAGAAATTTGAGAGGCCAAGGTGGGTGTATTGCTTGCGTCCAGCAGTTCGAAACCAGCCTGGGCAACATGGTGAAACCCTGTCTCCACTAAAGATACAAAAAAAAAAAAAAATTAGCCAGGCGTGGTGGTATGTGCCTGTAGTCCCAGCTACTCAAGAGGCTGAGGTGGGAGAATCACCTGAGCCTAGAGGCTTCAGTGAGCCAAAATTGTACTTCTGAACTCCAGCCTGGGCAATTGAAATGAGATCTTGTCTAAAAAAAAAAAACCAAAAAGAAAAAAATAAAAATAAAAACAGAAAAATTAAGTAGTTTTCATCAAGTTCCTACAGATACAGACCAGAAGGCAAATTTCTAAAACATCATATGACCATATGACCATATCAACTAGACAAGGCCACTTTTTAATTAACTGAAAAGTTTATACTTGTTCAGATTAATTAAATATTAATATTTATTATATAAGGTATGCATAGTACTAAAATTAGAGTCCTTTGAGAATAGGACTCTTGACCAATAATATTTATTATCCAGGCAGAACACCCTCAAAATATCATATAATTAACCATGAAGGATTAATATTTCAGAAGGATGAAATAAGAGTTGTCATATTTCCATTTCACTGCCCTTAGATGATCTTGCTGAGCAATGTCTCTGAAAGATCCTCTGGGATTATAACAGGAACTTGGAGTTTTCAGAGTATCTATGGAATGCCTACAAGAAATGGATGGATTGGCCAAGGCTTATAAATACATCAAAAAGCAGGTAACCTTATTTCAGAAGCATACTGCTCTCCCTGAGCCACCGAGTGATTTATAAGGAACCATGGCAGAGACAAAAGAAAGAGTCACATATAAATTCTAAAGTATTTCCCCAGCTTATAAACATTTTTTCTTATAAGGCTCAAAAGATGGCAAATCTTGTATATACTCAAGAATCAGCACCACTCCCAGAGTTTCCTTGTGTTTGAAAGCAGTGAACTGGCCATATGATAGATAAATGTTCCAGACACTTAAGCAGCTGCCACAATCCCACTGTGCATCAAGAGATATTGTGATTCACACCCACCAGAGGGTTTGTCCAGACAACTTTAAAAAGCTTAAATCCTACCAAGGCACAGTTAAATACCTATGGTTATGAAAATGACAGCTTCTGATGTGACTGATAGGAAAATATTCATTAGGGTAAAATGAGAAAAGTGAATGAACAGGCTACCTAGCTGCTCAATCATATACAGATTCTGAAAGAGGAAATTCCTTTGTTTTCTGTAAGAAAGTGAGTTTTGGATAATGCTCGGACATTGACCTAAGCTGGTTTTTCCAGCTCTGTAGAGAGTAAAGCAACAGATAGAAAAATCTGGTTTGAAGCAGCTCATGCAACCCAAGGGCCGCTGTAGATAGAGTTTTAGAATGCTGACACTTATCAAAAAGAAGTAAAGGACTTGTATTTCACTTTACATTATTCTCATGTCATCATTCTAGCCCATCATCACTAAAAAGAAAAAAAAAAGTTTATATTTAGGGTATAAATGTCTTGGGTTTAGCAATCAATTAACAGTTCACTTATTCATTTGAAAACTTTACTGTTAACTACTACCTGACAGATACTGGGCTGGGACCTTGCACATAAGGGTGAAAAGACACAGTCCCTGATACACAGAGAACCAATAAATGATCACTTAGGAGCCAAACTGTCTCTGATGTTGTAAACATTTTTTTTTTTTTTTAGACGGAGTCTCGCTCTGTCGCCCAGGCTGGAATGCAGGGGCGTGATCTCGGCTCACTGCAAGCTCCACCTCCCGGGTTCACGCCATTCTCCTGCCTCAGCCTCCTGAGTAGCTGGGACTACAGGCACCTGCCACCACGCCTGGCTAATTTTTTGTATTTTTAGTAGGGACGGGGTTTCACTGTGTTAACCAGGATGGTCTCGATCTCCTGACCTCGTGATTCACCTGCCTCAGCCTCCCAATGTGCTGGGATTACAGGCGTGAGCCACCGTGCCCGGCTGATGTTGTGAACATTTTTCTAATTTCAAACACAGTCCACAATGAGTCCAACTCATTGTCAAATTAGTCTTATCTCACAAATTAATGAAGATAGAAACATTTCCATTAATATGTGTATTTCCAAGACAAAGTAAAGATCTGGATGCAAATCCCTCACTGTACTGTCTCAAAGCTGACCCAGAATAATGAATAAACTGAGATACCCTATTCTTTCCAGGGAAAAGTAAACTGAAAGAAAAAGGGAACAAAAATAAAAGGAGGGAGAATTCATTTTTTTAAAAAAAGCATTTAAACAAATTTGAGTATCGCTGTATAGATTTCTTTGCTTTACATTATCATACTTACACTGAGAAAATCCATCAGTTTTAGTTCTACTGGCAAGACAAAAGGAAAAAAACCAGCATACACCAAATGAAATAAAGACTAAAGTTGGAAAGAATTTTTCTCCCCAGCTAGAAAGAAAATATCTCCTTGTTTTGGAATAATAAGGTCACCTAAAATGCCTTAATGGCAGTCTATTTAGCATATGGTCCACCTTATAACATTACTTTAATATTTGATGTCTTAGTCAATTCATTCTGTTTTTAATATGCCTGAGGATGATATAAATGCCTCCTTGTACAGACTTTTCCTCTTGTTTCTGTATGGAAAGATTTTATTTCTGTTGGAGAGTAATGGTATGCATTTTATTTCCATTGGAAAGTATCAGCATGTATTTTATTTCCTGTGCTTACAAGACCAAAAAGAAAAGTGACCCAGGAACTAAACCATTTGGTAAAGACTCCTTCTTTTTAAAAGTCATTGATCAATATTTGGTAGAAAGAGAAACTGCCTGCGATGTGCTCCTTTCAGGTCAGATACCCAAGTGGCTGCTGGTCTGTAAAGGTGCCTGTGCCACTGTATGCATCCTTCACATAGGGCCAGATGGGGACAACTTCAGCCTCAGGTTCTGCCCAGCCAGCAGAACTCTGGGGTTAGACAAGCAACTTGTTCCTTTACTCACATGAGCACAGAGGGACAATACTACACTACGACTCACTGTGGTAATTGATGATGCCTTCCAGACATCCATGTCAAAATTAACTTGCAATTGATGCTCACTTGCTTAAGTTTCATTCAAGTTCAAATTATTTGCTCTGAAAGGGAACTGTTTACTTTTGTACACACTTTGATTTCAACCTCCAAAACCATTGCTAGAAATTAATCTTAACCACTGAACATGTGCTTTAAAACCCAAACCCAAGTCCGTCATTTTAACAACATCAATTACAAATATACTGTTTTAAAAACTCTATTGTGAATAGTGGCATATTGTCACCACACAAATCATTAAAACCAGAGTCCTAGCCCTGACGAATTATTCAAAACTACAGTTCAGAAATTAGTAAGCACATTATTTCATGCTTAAGGTTTGTTTTCAGCCAGTTTGAGAGCTCATTTATTCATGTATCTGTTTATTCTCACCTAAATCTCCAGGTACAATGTTCTGTGGTCTTCTTATACATCCCTCCCACAGATACACATAAGACCTATAAGACTATCGATGTCAATGAGAAGCAATAGCAGAACTGTCATACCCCATCAGCTTAATGTTGAGTAAACGGTGGAGTACCAATGCCGCCCCCTTCTTATTTCCCTGGAAAGGATCCAAGCAGCACTTTCACTGAATTAGAAGTAGAAACATGGGTTGCTTAACATATGGATATAAATAACTGCAGTGCACCTCATTGATTCTAAATCCTTTCATGTATTTAAGGCAATTTCCTTAAAGCAGACTGTCAGGAATGGAACCTCTTTTTTCTCTCTTTATTTTTAATCAGGGTTTCTCTGTACATTTTGCTTTATTTATCTGAATGTCTTTTTTATTATTTGTTTGTATGAGGGTCACACGAATGGCTGGGGGGCTTATATTTGACAGAATTCTTTAGCAGCTGGACAAGCCAAATCTGGTCATGTGTTCTAGCCACAGCTGCCCTGGGAACATTTTTAAAGCTAGTAATTTATATTGTCAAATCACATTTAAAAAAAAGTTGCAGCAACCAATTAATATCGATAATTCATTTAATAAAAATCATTAATTCACTTAGCAAATTATGTAGTAGGCACCGAAGAAATACAAAATCTAATGGACCTAATCCCTCAAAAAACAAAAAAAAAAAATAGTAAGCCTCATTCTATCACTATTTGGCTTCCTCCCACACATTTCCTGCCCTTAAGCATGTTTGTAGTCCATGCTTAGAACAGAGCTTAGAAGAGTGCCCAGACTAGTGCCAAGAACAGCAATGGTACATAGTAGGTGCTTAATATTCTTGTCGATTGACTTCAGACTCATTTCATGAGTGTTTCCCCATCTTAAGACATTCCTTCCTTTTGCACTTTCCTTCTCCATGATGTTGATACTGACTTTAAATGGCATATATATTTCCTGGGTCTCATCACACTGGGGTTGTGCGAGTACTTTTCCAGCTGGCTTCTTTGCCTCTATACATCCCTTCCCTTCTACGTCTTCCGTATATTTGGTTCCTCTTGTTTTCCCCACCAAATCAAAATATCTCTGTTGCTTCACAACACTGGAGCACTTCTGTGGACAGAGGTAGAATGGATCCAGTCCCTGTAATTCCCTGTCAGGTGGCAATCCAAAGCCCTCCCTTCAACTATCTTGTTGGGGAGTTCATGAGGCCACCCTACTGCCTGCTCCATTAACTGAGACTTTTCTGAATAGCTTTTACAGCCCTGCATCATTAGCCTGATTCTACCTATTCAATGTGATTTTCCTCTTCTCCCCAACATTCATCCTCTGTTCCAAACCAGCTGTTCTTACTTCTTCACATTCCCTGGTCTTTCCCTTCCCTGTGCCTGTAACACATGCCTTCAGTCCACCTAATCCATCATAACCATTTTCTTCAGGACCTAATTTCCTCCAAGTGATCTTGTCTTTCTTTCAAAATTTCTATTACACGCTAAGGATAGTATGACTTTTACATTTATGTTGCATTTTACAAATGACAAAATTTTACTATACACTATCCTCTAAAATAACCATTATAGGTAGGTGTTATTATATTTCTATTTTTCTGCTGAAGATGCCAAGGCTCTGAGAGACAAAGTGGTTTGTCAAGGGTCACTCACTCTTTTTTTTTTAAGAGTTGGGGTCTTGCTATACTGCCCAGGCTGGAGTGCAGTGGCTATTAACAAGTGCAATCATAGCACATGACAGCCTCGAACTCCTGGCCTCAAGTGATCCTCCTGCCTCAGCCTCCCAAGTAGATGGGACTACAGGTGCATGCCACCAAACCCAGCTCAAGGGTCACTCGTTCTTAACAGTTCAGCACAAGAGCTCCATTATGCCATATCCCCTTCCGGTTACTGCCCCATTTCCCTGCTCCCTTTAAACATCCTGAAAGTGTGTTCACTTTCTAAATTCATTGTACTCACCTCCTAGCCTCCATTTCTCTTAATTTTCAACAAATGATCTTTTGAATCTATCCTTGCACTGACATCTTTTTTGCCAAGATCATCAATGCCTTCCACACCGCCAAACTCAATGACAGTCCTTGGTCAGCAAAATTTGACACAGTTGGTGACATTCTTCTTGAACAGAGTCCTTTGCTGCCTGAATACCACATTCTTTGGGACTCTTCCTATCTCACTGGTTGTACCTACTCAGGGTCCCACATTGGCTCCTCTTCCTAATCCCTATTTCCAATGTTGAGAATTACCCCCAGGGATCTGTCCTTGGCCCTCTTCTCTATCTAAAATTATTTATTCCAGTCCTATGACTTTAAATACCACACCAGATTTGACCTAGAGCCTGAAGGCCAACTCATGGTCTAGCTCCTACTTGATCTGTGCCTTCCACGCACCATTCTCTGCCCCCAACTATCTCTGTGGCCTCATGTCATACCACTTTCCCATTCACTCACTCTGCTGCAGCCACACTGGCCTGCTTGCTATCCCATAACCATGCCAAAGAGCTGGGCCTCAATGCCTTTGCTCTTGACATTCTGCTACCTAGATATTGATAGATGGCTCGCTCCCTATTTAATTCAAGCCTCCGCTCAAATGTTGCCCCATCAGCAAGGCCTGACTGACCTACATGAAAAATCATCCACCTCCCTCCCTCTGTCCCCTTACCCTGGTTCTTTTTTCTTTAAAGTACTTATCACTATCTGCATATTTGCATATTATATATATTCATTTGTTTGCTTATTGTCTCCCTCTTTCAATAGAACACAAGTTCCAAGAGGGAAACAATTTTGTACATTTTGTTAAAGGCTATATTCCTAACACATAGAAGAATGTCTGTCATATGGCAGGGCTCAATAAACACTTGTTGAAAGAATGAACATGTGATAGCCGAATTGAATACACAGTGCCATCTAATTGTTTATTAATTATAGCACTATCTCCAGGACCATATTTTAATTCTTCCAAAGTAAAACTTTGTGCCTTATATTCCAAACTTGTGTGTAGCTGGCATACTTGTAGGCACACAGCAGGTGCTCAGTAAATACTGTGGCTGCCTGGTTGATGTGAGCAACGTAGAGAAAAGCAGGATCAGAATTTCAAGTATATTCAGCAATTCAAGTATATTCAGTTATTTTTAGGTAATTCTATGATTTTTACAAAGAAAATTAACTGTTATATCTCTGCTCTGTGGGAATACGGTTTTTGATACTGAAAATGGAAGATCATGATGTATGTGACCATAAGAATGTGTACAAATAACTATAAACATGTCAAGCTCTGGGGTTCTTTATGGCAAGAACCCAAGCTAAAGTAAATTCAACTGAAAGAAGAGTAAGGGTTGAGACTAAAGAGAGAATATGGGATGTCAAGAAATCCAGACAGAAATAAGGGCTGCTTAATGTCACATACACACAGGGAAAAGGAAATTAATCAGGAGAGGGGAAGGAAGAAGGCAAGTGGCTCAAAGCTTCAGGTTACTGTCAGGTTTTAGAAACAGAGAATACAGCTACGCATTTCTGTTGGCAAGTTTTTTCCAAGAGGACAGATTGTGGACCTTGAGGTTTTGCATCCATAACATTTGCCCTCTGAAACCAGAGACATTAACAAAAGAGCACCTCAGGAATTTGAAGGAGTCAAGAGGTTCTGTATGTTTCCAGATCATACTTAGAGCCACTTTTTCCCTCCTGCCACAGATTATTACATATGAGTTTTATGTAGAATGAATATATGAACCTTGAAAGGTCCATTCAGCTAACTGGAAGATTCCATTCGCAGTTTATTTTTCATATATTTTTACTGAAATGTCTTATACCAGAGAGGAAAAATAATCAAAATTTTATTGTTGATTTAATTTATTTACTTGGCAAAAAGGATTAGAAACTGAAGGAGATCATAATGTATTTGCCAGTTAACACATTGGTGACACGGAATAAATGTATAGTTTATCAAAATTGTCACAGCTGATTCCTTAGTAACCCAATATTTCTATCTGATTTCTCAATGTTACAAAAGTGAAACACAGACTCTAGGTAGTTTCATCAAGAATGTAAGATGCTTAACAAATACTCTTCATTGCCTAAAAGTTGGCACTGTTTTTGTTTTTAATTTCCTACCCCAAGCCGGGCACGGTGGCTCATGCCTGTAATCCCAGCACTTTGGGAGGCTGAGGTGGGTGGATCACCTGAGGTCGGGAGTTTGAGACCAGCCTGACCAACATGGGGAAACCCCGTCCCTACTAAAAATACAAAAATTAGCCAGGCATGGTGGCAGGCACCTGTAATCCCAGCTACTCAGGAGGCTGAGGCAGGAGAATCTCTTGAACCCAGGAGGCGGAGGCTGCAGTGAGCTGAGATCGCGCCATTGCACTCCAGCCTCCAGGCTAGGCAACAAGAGTGAAACTCTGTCAAAAAAAAAAAAAAAATCCTATCCCAGAATTTATCATTGCATTTGATTAGATCCCATATAGACTGTCAGAGAGCCTTCATTGCCTGTTAAACCTTCATATGCCTGTGAGCTTCCTTGTCATATTAACCAGACAAATGCATTTTAGAGCCACCTCTGCACACTTTTCACAAAGCTTTTAACCACAATGGCTGACTGGGCCTCTATGTTTTTCCACTCAGTCCCAGGCTCTCATCAGCCAAGCTGCCATTGCCCTGGCTTATTTCTTCTACTTTGTTCTATGGGCCAGCCTCCCCAACCTAGTCTCCTACTTTTCTCTACTTCACTTAGCCTCCTTGATGTCAAAAGTCACACTAGAAAGGCTGCTTTAGTTTTTACAAGCGTTGAATAAAAAATAATAATAATTCAAATTGCATTTTCAGGTAGACTTTTAGTAGCTTAAGGCAAAGCATGTGCCAAGAAGAATGCTTCTTCTTTTCCAGATATACTTATGAACTGAAAATGTTATACTTTTCAGGATTTTTAGAGTCTTCAAATCTACATCCTCTCATCTTTCATGTTTCTAGAATTCCAAAAATAGGAAAAAGCATTGTCTGACATGGGATCTTCCTTCCACCTTCCCTTCTCCAGTCACCCTATCTCCTATGGAGATGGTCCAGGAGGAAAAAAGAACTACCTTACCTGCTGATTCAGCCATCCCTGCCCTGACTTGCAGCCTTCTTCTGTTGGGAAAGGTTAAGCATTACCTTTCCCTTCCATCCTTAGTAATGAACAAGCTGCTACACTAAAAAGGCAATGTTTTCTTTTTTTCTACATATCTCTTTTTCTCCATTAATTCTGCTTTTCTTTGATCCTCCACCAGAGCAATTCAGAACAAAAACTACAACTATGTAACCCCCAAAATTGATTTGAATTTTTTTTTCTTCACATGTATCTGATTCCTACTTACTTTTGCCCCCTCCTCCCAAAAAAATGCATATAAAAATTGGCTAGCTTCTAGTTAGAGTAATCTGAAATTATTTTGGATGTGGTAAAATAGTGACATCTTACACATTTTTCTTCAAATTCACAGCAGGAACCTTTTTTCAACTTGAATTTGATTTGAATCATACTAACCAATTTCAAATATGAAATGTTCAACACAGATGTGTGATCCTGGGCAAGTTCTCTAATTTCTCCAGCCTTCTTTATCACTTGAAAAAGGGCATCTTCTCTGTCTGCTTTACAGAGTTGTTGTGAAGTCATCAATGTTATTACAAACTTTGTATGCTATGCAAATACAGAATATATTATTTTCTGAAAACCCAGCCCATAGGGCAGGTCTGAGCATCCTTTGCTAAGGTATACATAAGCCACTCCAAAAGATGACATAAAGAGATGGAGCCTTGAGGAAGTCTGAAGAGGAAACCCAAGAGACCCTCAAAGCATGCTTAGAGTGCCCAACATAGCATATTCTTATTCGATTAGCATACCAAACATCTTGTGAGCACCTATAAAACAGAACAGAGATAAAAGGAAAAAAGAGACAAGAAGAAAAGCAAGGAGAAGAATGTACACTTCATATGAGTTGTCTTCTGAGGCAGGCAACCATATCAGAAAATAATGCAGTGGGCTGTAATGTTTTTAAAGGAATAGATTTTATACCAATTTTTGTAAATCAATTTTCAAAATGTTCATTTTTAATCGAACAGGATTTACCATTTTGCGATTAAGACTCAGGGTATAGGTCAGTCAATTCCTTTGAATAATTAAAAAATAAAATCAGTTTAGAAAATGCAAAAATGTATAAAATAAAAAGTATATGTGAATATATATTCATACATACAAATACATTTAGGAAAAAGTAGTAAAAGGAATTATGTCAAAATATTAACTGAGATTATCTTTGGTGTTGAGTTTCAAATGACTTTTTACCTTTTTTTCAATGCTTTCTGAATTTTCTGAAATGTTTACAACAGATCTTCCTGTATACTAATTAAATTAAGTAAATGTTATTTCAAATGTAAAAAGAAATAATTGGCAGCACTGAGCATCATATATATGCTTTTGTTACTAGTCCTAACAATGTCGTATTTTCACCAAAACAGAATTTTTTCCACATAATCTAAATTATCAAAAACTAAAAGTATGATTACCTCTCTACAATGGCAGGGCATTTATCTACAATGCTATTAAAGACTAACAGGATAAACAAATCCTGTAAGGTACATGAGAATATTCATTTCTTGTGACCAATAATAATTGCAGTTTCTCTAAGAAGAAAAGATGGCTTAGTAAAGATAAGCAAAGCCCAATGAACTTAAAGGCGTATTGCTGATTGTCACGGGAGTCTCTCTTTACCTTGCTCCTTCACCTTCCACCCTAGTCCATCACACTTCACACTGTGCTAAAGATAAATAAAAGGACTACAAATTAAGCCCTTTATGGACCTTTACGGGTGCTAATCTCGGGTTTATACTCAATTCTGCTGGAGGCCCTTTCAAGTTAGACTCTCAAAGTTATTTCAGCAGCACTTAGCATTCTCAAAAGCCCTGGACAGAGCAGCCATGGTGCAAATGTTTGCTCAATTAACGTAGAAATAAACAATATGGATACGTTATTAAAGCTGATTTTCTTTCCTAAAATTACCTTCTTTTAATTACCAAGCTCACCAAGAACAAAAGCATCTAAATATCAACATTAGAATTTTACTGGAATATAATTATTTGTCAATTAAAAATGAAATAAAACTTAAAAAAGAAGAATTTCCCTGAATTTCTACAGTTACTTTGTAAGTTGTATAGAGGTCTTGGGATTTAAGATGCTATTGTACAAATAATATTTTCTAACGCAGTTGTTTTAAATAATTTCTAAACCACGAGCTTTCCAACAGCCTGGCCACATTTATGTGGAGGAGAACGGTGAGACTATGTTTTCTTTTCTTTTTTTTCTTCCCAAAGTCTCACTGTCGCCCAGGCTGGAGTGCAATGGCACGATCTCGGCTCACTGCAGCCTCCACCTCCCAGGTTCAAGCGATTCTCCTGCCTCAACCTCCTAAGTAGTTGGGACTACAGTCGCCTGCCACCATGCCCAGCAAATTTTTATATTTTTAGTAGAGACGGGGTTTCACTATGTTGGCAAGGCTGGTCTCGAACTCCTGACCTCAAGTGATCCACCTGCCTCAGCCTCCCAAAGTACTGGGATTACAGGCATGAGCCAGCATGCCCGGCCTGAGACTGTGTTTTCCTGAAGTGAAAACTATCAAAATCCATTCTAAGAACTGACCAAATAGCACCAGGAATAGAAGTAGGAATAGAACTCAGCTATGGTTCAGCTGGAGGACCTCATTGCTGTAACAAAAGTACATACACACACACATACATAGATAAATACCTACATACATACATAATCTTCTGATAGACTTTTTGGAGCAATTTGTCCCAATTTAGAAAGGAATGAAAGGAGACATTTATAAATTAGCCGGAAATGCCACCTATTCCTTCAAACACAAGGATTTCTCCCTTCCCCATAAAAGTTTTTGTTTACAGCTAAGAGATGACTCATCCTGTTGAGTTCTTAGCAGAGAGGCATTTAGCAAAAGTGGTAATAACCAAAGGCATCTATCTAGATCATCAGATTTCCTTCCTCTGGTCAGTTTGTGCCACAAATCTCATGCTACGAAAGCTACATTTCATCCTTCAGTGTCAGATTTTTTCCAATTCAGTTGCAAATTTTTATTTATTTATATTTCAGTTTTCCTAACAAGAGAATAAAGAAATGGTGCCTCCATACCACAGAAGGGCTTCTCCACCTATATCTGACAGTGGGTTGACCCTCAGCAAGAATGAGTGGTTGGGGCTGGTATGTCTTGCAAAGTCCTTTTCCATTAACTTACTTCCATTCAAATGCTACCACTGGGCTACGAGGTGACAAATTAACTACAATCAGTTTCTCTATTCACCATCCTCAGCATAGCTCCAACACAATCTAGAATGAAAGCAAAGGAAGAGGCATCTCTCCTTCTCTTCATTCAGGCTATTTGGCTCTACCAAGGAACTGCTGCACCAGGTCTCACAAAATATAGAACCAATATATAATATACAGAAAGGGGACAAAAATATGTTCTGTAAAAAATAAAATGAATGTTCATCCTGCGTTTTGGACCATCAGTGCTTTCCTAATTATACAATCCAAAAACTCTTGGATCCCTGGCCCCAGCAAATTTCCTTGCTATATCAGATCTGTGCCAACAATGTAGACTTTCATAAATACCCAAAGAGAGTCAATGTGGGGAATCTCCTGAGACATGATCAAAGCACAGGACCTTCACTGACACACTCTCCAAACCATCCACTTTTGTTCCCTTTGAATCTCAAGACCTTCATAAAAGCCTCCATCCTTCTTGATTGTGCTTTAGGCATTATCATGGCCATGTGTCCAGCCTTCTAGAAAGCCCTGACCACTGAAAGCTCTCACTCTGTCTCTATCACAGTACCTCTTAAGGAAAGGGAGACTGGTTTATAAGTCTTAAGTAAAGTCCTCAGGGGAGAACAGATAATCAAACACTTTTTGTGGGTATACCAGTGGGTGTTCTGTTGCTTCAGATAACCTAGTATATCCTCAGTTTCACAGCTTATTCCTCAGGAAAACAGAGCCAGCCTCAGTTACTGCAGAAAATATGGAACTGGCCCTCCACTGTCCCCACATAGGTAATGAAGAGACCTTTCCTATAGCAACGTGTTTGAGAAGAGCGTTCTTTTTTATAAAGATAAACAACAGGAGGAAACCAAACCTCTCTCCAGCTGATTTTCCTTCCCACTATCAATCCTGTGGCCTCACAGCAAAAAAGGAGGGCCACTAATCCCCTTTAGGTTGGCTTTTCCCATGAAGAGACAGCTGTAGCTTTTACAAATCTTTAGAAGAGGTTTGAAAATAAATCATCTTGGGGGGAGGGGTGGGGGAGACCCAAATGTAAAAATCATAAGAAGGACATCAGAAGTGCCAAGGACCACTAAGAAAATGTCATGGACAATGAAGAAAGGAGGGCAGTGGAAGAAAGCAAGTTGTGACTTCTGACCCATCTTCAACTGTGGGTGGTTCTCCACCAGTGATGGTGCTTTGGAAGGGTAAAGTGTAGTGGCTAAGGGTCTAAATGTTCTTAATGAGCCATGGAGCCCAAGTTATTTTGGGAGGAAAGAAAAATAGGCTTTCTGAGTATTTTTCCTTTCCCCTAGCCTGGCACCACACCCACTCAGCCTTCTTCCTTGTTGTGTCACCTGTTTCGAAGTCTGTTTCTTTGGTCTCTTGATTATTTTTTTCCCTTAGAGAAAATTGTATGCACTTAGTTCAAAACAAGAACTCATCTAAAACACTGTGCTCGTGTGCATGTGTGTGTCTGTGTGTGTGTGTACATGCTTTGTTTCTCATCGTTTCATCAATGAGCTATCAGTGAGTGCTTAAAGCAAACCATGTGCAGGTGTACTAATTAATTATTACAAAAGTTGCTCAGACAGGTATTTAATAAGCAAAAGAATGAATTAAAAAATAAACTTAAAAATACAAACTCTGATGCTTGGCTTCTCCAAGAAAAGTTAACCCTGAAAACAGGGCTCTTTCTTTCCTGCAGCTCCAGCTCCAAAGCTGAAAGGAATGGTGTGTTCAGCCAGCCTTTCTCAGACTTGCTCTGCTCAACTTCACTTCTCTGCCAGTCTTTAAATGCATGAAGGTTTCTGTTTTCAGAAATAAATCCTGCCTATTTCCTCTCTGTTTCCTTCCCTGTGACAATAAATTCCTTGAGGTTGATTTTTGGATTGCATCACTCAAGCTCCAGGTTATACGAACTTTGGTGTCACCTGGAAATGTTTTTAATTTCTCCCCATAGGGAGGAACAGACAAAAATGAATCAATTTCATAAAGCCCCCTACCTTTTCTATCTGGAATATACAAATCAAATGAACGTGGGTTTTTCTAACAATAAAACATTATCCCCCTCAGTCCAAAATTAATAATGCACCTATTCTGATTATCAGTAACAATTTTTTGATCATATGGCAGATCTGTTTCTCTTTTTGGTCATATTTTTCTCAATTAAAGATTCTAATGGCCACAGAGTCAAGACAAATTACCCTCATTATTTATGTCCACAAACCTCTGCGAGTCTGAGCTTCAGAATTATAATGGAAAACAGAAATCATGCCTTTGATTTTGAAAGCAGAAAGGTGGCACTTTGTTGCACTTTATAAACACACAGAGAATCACTAAAATGGAAGGTATTTGAAAAGCCCTCCATTCAAGCCCTCATCCTTCAGCAACCTGTACTATTTAACAATTCTTATAGTCAAGAAGTTCTTCTTTAAATCTAACCTAATTCATTTGAAACCTATTCTTTCTCTGACCTTGCCAGAAACAAAACAGCTGGTCACCATACATAGCTTAATAACTCTCATAATTTTGAGTCTGTTATTAAGTCATTTTTCAGTCTCCTCTTCTTGAAGCTAAACGATCCCAAGTCTTTCAACTTATCCTCATAGGTTCAATTTTACAAGCCTTTAATCATCATCAATGCTCTTCGCTAAACATTCTGAAGTTTTCCATGTTGCTCTTATGTTTTGAAACCCAGATCACCTTCGGGATTGCTTCTCATTGTCCACATAAGCCAAGGCTTTACTGCATGATACATAGTCCTAAGAGAATCTACTTATATAGGTAGCCTACAGCTTTGTTTGGGTTATTTTTAGTACAAGCCCACTCCTATTGCTCTTCATCTAAGAAAACATGTTATTCGGGACCCAGAATTCTTACGGAGCCCCAGCTACAGACAAGCCATTCCCCCTCCACCTCCTCCCACTCGATTTTTCTCACCAGAGCTCTTCAAGGTCTTTCTCAACCTGCTTTCCCTACCAATTTGGGTCTTGTGGTCCTCTGCTATAAAATAAGTATCTAGCTAATCTGATTTGATTCACTTATTTAAACCAAGTTGTTCACCAAAAATGGCTTAGAATGTGTTATCCTTTGTAGATAACATCTATGAACATCCTGTCCTCGAAGCCTTAACTCGAAGAAGAATCTCAGGCACCTGGTGAGAATGATAAGAGAGTGGTTTGGGGCCAGGAGGGATGAACATGAAGAGTCCTTTTGTGCTCCTCTAATTACACCACACCAGCCTTGGGTACAATTATAAACAGCCACTTTTGGGTGTGTGAGTCCAGTCTACTTTTTTTGCAACCTCTTCCCAACCATGTAGGCATTGCTAATGCCCTCTCACCTTGCAAAATTAGATATTAGATTCTGATACTGACTGTGTTCAAGGTTTGCACACAATGTACCTTTTGCCTTGATGTCTCTTCCCCCAACTCTTCCTCAAACTGGCTTCTTCTCACCCTTTAGGTCTGTGCTCCGATGTCATCTCCCCAGACAGGCCTTCCTTGGACCACTCTTCAATAGGTTCCATCCTGTTCCCTCCCACTCCATTACTCTTTACTATGACATCAGTTCCCTTTACAGCACTTATCACAATTTGCAATTAGATGTGATTATAGAGAAATGTTTGTTTACTTGTTTCTTGCCTTTTTTCTCTACAGAATGTAGGCTCCTCAAAGGGAGGATCACGCCTGCCTGGCACCTGGCTAACAGTAAGCACTCAAAAGTAATTTTTTGAATGAATAAATGTTCCCATGCCGGAAATATTTACATTTTAAAACACATCTCTAATTGTCACCAAAAAAAAGGCTCTGTCAGCTATTTTAAAGGGAGATGGTATTTTCAGTGGTGGGACAGGGTTGGGGGAGGAACGGATCTTTCTCAGATCCATCTAGTCCCACATCATTCAGGCAGCACAGGCCCTTCACATCACAGAGGCAGCCATTAACTGGAAACAATTGTCGGTTCTATTGTCATGCTCCTTTTCCTTACAGCAATTATCCTCATTTCCAGTTATTCGCTCTCCTTTGAGCTTCAATGTGGTCATGCCATTCTGTAGCATTCCATCATTTTCCTGATGTTATTTCCCCAACTTCTGTTATCTTTCATAACAGTACCAGCATTATCTATCACAGAATATCTGGGAGATACACATCACGATGTTAGTAGTGGTAATCTTGGGAGATGCAATTATGAGTGATCTCTGTCTTCTTCTTTGTTATTATTAGTTTTTATTTTCTAGTGTGCAATTTTTTCACTTGTGCAATTTTTTAAAGTTAATTTTTTTTAAGTACTAAATTCATTTCACTGGTATTCAAAGTAAGATTCTATTGAGGTTAAGTTATACAATGTATTATTTTCATCTCACAAAATTCAGTGTTTTCAGCTGTTAAAATGAATTCAATACTCATTCAACAAACATGCCTATGTCCATGAACTGCATGCCCACTCTGTGCCAGGCCTTATAACTTTGACTTCTGTACTATTCAGCGATGCTACTGCAGCATTAAGCATGCTTCTTATGTAACACTGCTTCATCACATCAACCAAGAATCCCCTGGGCCCAACACTTACACAGACTTGACAAACGGCAACAGGATAAACAGGAAAATATCTGGAATCCTTGCCTGTCTCTATAAATCATCTGCTGACTTGCAGAGTAACATAGGACAAATGAGTTCTCAGGTGTCCATGCCTCAGTTTACCTATGTGTAAAATGCATAACGCCTCCCTCAGAGAGATGTACAGAGAATCACTGAGGTAATGTCTAAGCATTTGGAACTCCTTGGCAGAAAGGCGCTACATAATTACTAATTGGTATTTAAGCTGCCCTTCATGTGTGCCAAGTACTTTATGATCATTCCTTAGGAGTTACTC
Organism: Homo sapiens; assembly: GCF_000001405.40. NCBI lineage: Eukaryota > Metazoa > Chordata > Mammalia > Primates > Hominidae > Homo > Homo sapiens. The sequence goes on along the minus strand of NC_000006.12, from coordinate 45,449,266 downwards.
CCAGCTACTTTGTGAAGTTGCCTTCATGTCTATTTCCATTTGAAAGATGAAGAAATAGAAGTAGAGAAAAGTTTAGTGGTTTGCTTAAGGTCACAAAGATGGCAATGAGGTCTCAAAAGAAGAATTCCTGAGTCCTCCAATCCCCTTAGCCATAAGGGAATCCACCTCTTAAACACAAACTACCCTTACAGATTAATTCCCTGTTAAGCTACTCTGAAATAGCCTTCATGGTAGAAAACACATTGTCACTTGTTTTTGTAGGCTGGAGTAAACAGTGAGGGGGTGAAACAGAAACCAAAGCTCTAGAATTAGTAACCCAGACTTCACACTCACCCTTCTTTTTACACATCTATATTTCTCCTCACTTCTTGTAGAACAACCTGCATTTGGTACCTTCATCATCTCCTTGAAGGGCCCATCTTTGCCTACTAATAATTTCCTGGGCCAATCCTAAGGAGGCATAAGGCCCAGATTAATCATCCTGAGTATCCCCCGCAACCAAAATACATGCTAGCGTTTTTACCCAGATTGTATCTCATAAAATTTAACTCCAAGGAGGTAAATGAGAAGATGAGAATGCATGTTGTGGAGGGTGCATATGCATTCTGAGAGTTCACGGCAAGGCAGAAAGCACCAGCTTGCTTCAGTGTCATCTGATGTCTTCCCCACCTGCCAACTACTGCACAACCCCAGGAAGACACACACCGAGCCAGCACTGGAGTCACCCCATCCACCTTGCCCAGAGCTAGTCTCACCCCAGATCGTGGTCTCCTGGCCCTTTTAAACCATGTTCCTCTAGTCCACACATTATTTTCTTCCCTCTTCTTAATTCGTTGATTCGTTTACCCTACAAAAGACAGCTCTTGTGGTTCTGAGTCCTGTACTCTCACCAAAATGACAGAAACGTGTGGACACCAATATCTAAGGATTCCTGCTCCGGTTGCTCAGGGAGCAACAGCCACATGACCTCTGCAGAGCAAGTGTAATGGTGGAGTTCTTTAACATAAATTTGGATAAAAAGTTCCAAAGCAACTCAGTGCCTGCCCATGGCAAAAGTGTAAAATAAGGGATTTAATTTCCTCCCCGTTTGCTTTCTCCTCTGCAGGAACATTCCCTCTGACCTCCTCCCCACTCACTGACCCTAGACCTCTCCAGAGTTCTCCAGAGTGACAGGAGCTTAGAAACATTTCCCTTCCACCATCTTTCATGAATATTATCTGTCCTGTGTTCCATTTCCTTAAATACTACTCCAGCTAACCTGATAATAATGACCTGAAAGTTTCAATACAAAGGAATGACTGGAAGTGTGGATCTCAGGCACTCAAAGCAGACAGGCTTTCAGCAGAACGCCTCTCACATCACCGCATGTTGGCAGCAGCTAACACACACAACTGCTAACATTTTCAGGAATAAAAACTCTCTGAGAGTTTCACACTAACAGTTTCTCATTGAAGGAATTACTGAAGGATCTACATCAAGAAAAAAGCAAACTCAACTTAAAAGGAAGAACTAAGGTGAAAGAAGGAATGATAAGCAAATGAATCAATAAACATAATGGATAAATACAAGTATAAACATTTTTTAAACACCGATAATGACTAATCCAGGAAATATAAAACAAGGATCTACTAAAATATCAGATAACGACATTAGAAGAGAGGGGGTGAGACTGCAGTTTAAAGAATGCTAAAGTTCTTGTATGGACAGAGATCATGATTAATTTTAATAAGACAAATATACATATTAAAATGGTAAAGATAATACTAAAATAAAAGAAACACATTCAATGATAACTTGCAAACCAATAGAGTAGGAAAGCTAGCATGTATCTAGAACAACAGAAAAGGAATACTCTGAAAGGAAAACATTTGCAAAAGAGAGAGATATGGAAATACAGAACCCTAAAACTCTCACCTTTCAATAACAAAATCTTGCACTCTTAAGAGTATATCAGAACTGGAAAGCATCAGGAATGCTCATTGCTACAGTTGACCTGCAGCAAAACTGTGATGCCTGAAGTTGGCAACCACTGGCCTCAAGGCCGGCAAAGGTCCTGCCTGCTGCACACTGCCACTCACTGTTTACTTTCTAGTACCCAGGATTTCACTGACCACTCCTCCCCTATCTTCCAAAACCTACTTCCCAAAAAATGATTCTATGTCACTTGTTTTTATCTTAATAAGAATTTAAGTCTGAGTTACCTTTTCCAGGGGTGCTTGGGTTTAAGCCTTAAACCTAAATTTTAATGAAGAGTTTTGGTCTTCCAACAAATAGATTTTCACCACCAGTGTGCAGTAGCAGAGAAATTATGAGAACTGGAGCCCTTCCTTTGCTACTTACAAACACAGTCTTTTATTTTAACTGTTACATATGATCTTGAATTAATATTTTAGACCTAAATGGTTTTTATGCCTTTTCTTAATTTCCAAAATTACTTGAACAAACAAGAGCAATTAATTATTTTTTATACCTGCTTAAATAAAAACTTTAGAGATTTTATGTGAAGGCCAAAGATGTTCTTTAGTTGACATCATAAATGTATCCTATAAAAATGCTAGGTATGGACAGGTATGAATGGGAAAAGCAATACAACAAATCTTTTTTTTCCCTGCTATTTTTAAGTATGTCCTATTCACTGGTCTAGTCTTCCTTGAAGAAATTGCCATGGCACAAACAAAATAGAGGTGAACAGAATATTTCAGTGATCTATCAGGAATTATCTTTCTTGAGAACGAAAGGTCATTATTATTTAAAAAAAAAAAAAAGAGAGACAAAAAAAGGGGGGGAGGGGAACCTCTTTCTCTCAAGTCCCTGTCAAGTCCCTAACACTATTTTCAGAATGAATGATCTCTGACTTACACTAAGATACAAACTACTGACACATTTGGATCAAGCATGTATGTGTTTTTAGAACACATATCACTTGAAAACTTGCCATGCTATATTTAGTTAGAAGTAAATATATCAACTGGAACATATGCATGTGGAAACTGTGCTCTTGCTGTGAAAGCTACAGCACCTTGTTAACACAAGTCCAATACAATGAAAACGCATATTCAGAGCTGGGAAGCCAGGGAAGAGTGCAAAGGAGGGACACGAGCATGTTTTAACGGCTGTGATAATTTGCCATGAAAGGATGTTAATGCCATAGCTCCTTGCTGCAGCATGCCATGTGCTGCTGAATTAAATTACTGCCATGCAGTCTGCGAGCGAAGGAATGTGTAAACAGGCCATATATCCTTGCATCAGTTCCACAGAATGTTGCACAACACAAAATGCCTCTCGATGTGTCATTTCCTTCTTGGCTATCTTCCCAGCTCCTGACAGCCAGTCAACAAAAAAAAAGGACTGAAAGATATTTAAAACTGGTCTTCTCAAGAGCACATTCCACCAACCACCAGACATAACCTCCACCAGCGCTTCTGACCCATCCCCCCGCCCCCCTCATCCTTCTTGAAGAAAGGGAAACAGAGAACAGTGGGGTTTTCTTACTGTTATTATTCTCTTAAGTTAAAGATTTTCAACGATGTTTTATATACTGGTAGCCAAGTGATTAATATCTATGACAATCAAATTGCTGCTTGTATTTGCCAACTTGTAAATATCAAAACATGGCATTTACCCATAAATTCTATTCCTTGGGCACTTCGGAGACAGTGAAGAACCCAGGGGAAGTCTGAAAGTCAGGAAGTTAAGGGCTTCTCTACTAATGCTTTGTGCTAAGGACTAAAACCCAGGCCTGCAGCATCTGGGGCATGGCACAAAGGCTATCAAGGTTTTTTCAAATCATCCTCACAGACTGCAAGAATGTGAATGCAAGAACTGTGTCCAGAAGAATCAAATAATCTTAAAAAATACATCTGCTGTCCCTCTATCCAACATATTTTACATGTACCCTCACCTTATTTCACATGTGACCAATCTCTAAATAAGCATCTTCCTGGGCCGGGCGCGGTGGCTCACACCTATAATCCCAACATTTTGGGAAGCTGAGGCGGGTGAATCACCAGGTCAGGAGTTTGAGACCAGCCTGGCCAACATGGTGAAATCCCGTCTCCACTAAAAATACAAAAAATTAGCCAGGTGTGGTGGCACACACTTGTAATCCCAGCTACTCAGGAGGCTGAGGCAGGAGAATCGCTTGAACCCAGGAGGTGGAGGTTGCAGTGAGCCGAGATCCCGCCACTGCACTCCAGCCTGGGAGACAGAGCAAGACTCCATCTGAAATAAAATAAAATAAAATAAGCATCCTCTTTTGGTAAATAAGCAAAAGTCATGGGCTAGCCTTTGGCATAAAAAGTCTATTCCTTCACCCAACTAAGATGAAAAGTAATGGAGGATAAAAGCGAGCTGCCGCTGACATCAGCTGGAATGAGGAAGAGAAAAATGTCAACCCCTCCATTCTCTCCACCCTTCACCAGGCTGGAAAGCAGTCCCAGAACTAGGTGGAACAGCGTAAGAGAAAAATGAGATGATGTCTTGCCTACACCACCTGTTTCGTTAAGTCTGTTCACTCAAGTTTGTTAAGGTAAAACTTCTGCAATTGGACATGCCTCAAAAATACAGAGAAATAAAACTTCTCTGAACAATTACAGATTTGTTGATGAATTGGGCACAACTGAGAATAAGCAAACAGGAAAAGAAAATAGTTTAGCTGCAGGACCTAAGCCTAACAAGCTGAGTGAAGCAGGATACTAAGGCAAGCCTAGAAATACCAACAGTACCCTATACTTCCAGATAACCTCTCACTAACCTAAGCCCCAGACCCTTACTGAAGCTACACACAAAGACAAGCAGAGAAATGTTGCAGCCATGTACTCTGAGCTTGCAAGAAAGGAGCTAGATCACCGGAGGGAAAAAGGCAGAGCTTCTCCTTTTTCCCACCAGGTTGAGACAGGTGGCTGGCTGATCAGTGGTGAATGCCAGTGCCCTGGCAGGAAGTACACAATTCACAGCTTTGGTCTCTCCTTGAGAGTAAATATGGTTTACCTACCTGAGACCCGACACACAAAAATTTTTAGAAACCCACTCACATGTGTCAGGCAGTAGGTTTGCCAAGGTGCCAGCAAGCAAGAATTTCAAAGTTGGATGATACAAAGTATAAAACCTCTAATCTTGGCCAGGCGCAGTGGCTCACGCCTGTAATCCCAGCACTTTGGGAGGCCGAGGCGGGCAGATCACCTGAGGTCAGGAGGTCGATATCAGTCGGCCAACATGGCAAAATCCCGTCTCTACTAAAAATATAAAAATTAGCCAGGCATGGTGGTACACACCTGTAATCCTAGCTATTTGGGAGGCTGAGGCAGGGTAATTGCTTGAATCTGGAAGATGGAGGTTGCAGTGAGCCTAGATCAAGATCATGCCACTCCATCTCGAAAAAAAATTTTAAAAATTGAAAAAAAACCTCTAATCTTAACCATCTGAGGATTCATAAGATATTTCTGCTACAGACTTGTCATGTTGCTGGGCAAGGCTCATACTTCTTTTTGTTCAAACATCTAATGTTCTTCTCACTTGAGTAGTGATCTGCTAATACCAAGCACCACAAGGGAATACCCACCACTAATTCATCTGATATTTACCAAATCTGTTCAATTCAGAATGACACTACGATTAGACTAGTAAATTTGGAGTATTTTCTTTGAATGTCCCCTAGATTGAAAAAGCCAAGAGTCCTTTCAGAAGATGGCACCTTGAAAAGAATTATTTTTCCTGTTGTGACAATGACAACTGCCAGCTAAGCACTTATGTAAGTTGATGACATTGGTGTCATGAACCACATCCCCCAACATTCACACCATTGGTGGTTTTTTTCCCTTAAATCCAGGCTGCACCTGTGTCTTGCTTCAACCAATCAAATCTAGAGGAAGCAATTCCATGCCAGTTCTGAGCCTAATCCTTAAGAAGGCCCAACATCCTTGGGTGCAGTGGCTCACACCTATAATTCCAGCTGCTCAGGAGGCCAAAGCAGGAGGATCACTTGAGGCCAGGAGTTCAAGACCAGCCTAGGAAACATAGTGAGACCCCATCTCTACAAAAAATGTAAACATTAGCCAGGTATAGTGGCACTTACTTGTAGTCCCAGCTACTCAGGAGGCTGAGGTGAGAGGATGGATCACTTGAGCCCAGGAGTTTGAGGTTGGAGTTAGCTATGATCATGGCACTGTACTCCAGCCTGGATGACAGGGCAAGACCTCATCTCAAAAAAAAAAAAAAAAAAAAAAAAAAAAGCAAGGCCTGAGAACTCTCACTTTTGTACCTTAGGGAGCCCTGAGCTGCCGCCATGTGAGAAGTCAGACTCAGCGGGAAAGACCACATGGAGAGGCCACGTGGAGAGGAAGAGGATCCAGGATTATATGGAAAGAGATGCAGTGGGGCCTGCTGTTGCATCATTCCAGCTGAGCCCAACCATGCAGCCATCCCACCAAGGCATCAGACACATAAATGAAGCATGTGGGATGTTCCAGCACCAGCCACTATCTGATTGCAGCTACATGATAGACCCCAAGCCTGACAAATAGAAAAACCATCCAGATGAACCCCAATCAACCCACAGAATCATAAGAAATAATAAACTGGATGTTATATTCGAGGGTAGTTTATTATTTAGTAATAGACAACTAAAAAATACAGCAAGAGAATTTAAAGTATCCTATGTAAGCTTATTTACTTTTTCCATCCTCTGCACAACAAATAATACCTTCTCCCATCAGTCCTCTTCCCTAACTCTGAACCACTTCTATAGAATATGATGTTGCTAACCAAGTTTTCACATTCCTGTAGAAATTATTTAAATCAGACTGGAGGTGGAACCAAGTCCACAGATGGAACAAGGGATCCTAATAGAAACCGATGTTTCAAAGAGCTAGGTATCTAAATGCATTACTATTGCTGCTGCTGCTACACCACTTCTCCGGCTGACAGTTGTTCTTCAGAGCTAGCTTGCCAACAGAAGGTCAAAATGCCTTGCCTAAACACAAGACTTACAAATTTGGGATCTTAAGTATGATGTCATGTCTTAAAATGATAAGCTGGCAAAGAAAATAAATGGCATTTTGTAAAGATGTGTACCATTTTCATGTTTACGCTACTTAAGATGAAGGTTCTAATAAGTCATCGGCTATGTTCCTTTAAAGGGAAGTTTTATAACCGAGATGAATCACAACTGCAAAAGATCAAAGTTAAAAAACATCAATGATGCCATAGGGTACTTTTTAATCTTGTAATGAGTGATGATCATGTGCTCTTATGAAGTTAGTCCAACTGCCAACGCCAGATGTGTATATTAAGAAAAGAAGTTGTTTGTGATGTGACAGCACTGGTTCAGCTGCCAGAGACAGAAAACATAGAAGGATGAAACCTTTTGGATTTTTGAGTGAAAAGCAAGTCTTGGCAGATGTGTTGATAGGCAAGGCCTCACAGTGGGGTACTAGTGCCATAGCATCTGCTCTTGGACTTTGCTGCAAACAAATTAAATTTATCATCAGTTCTGCACAGCTTTCCCTGAGGAGCATGAATATCTGCTCAGGCATAATTTATAATACTTATTAGTGTCATTTACTAATGAGCAAAAATTAGTAAAGTCATCTGCAGGGGGAAAAAAGTAATATACTAGAGAACAGAATCTATAGATGTTATCTGTTTCCTAGAGGCATACCATAAGCAAAACTCTACAGCCAACGTCTGACACTAAAGAAAATTGATGTAATAATAGCTGACACTTAATGAACACTTACTACATGACAGTCACTGTGCTACCCATTTTACATACATTACAATATTTAACATTCTTGCAGCAACTGATGAGGAAGGTATTATCATTCTCACATAAAAGATGAGAAAACCAAGGCAAAGAGAAGTTAGGTAACTTGCCTGCCTCCATACAGTTAATAAATGATGGAGTTGGGATTTCGATCCAAGCAGTCCGACATAAAGACCCAACCAGTTAACCCAGAATTTGTCCTTGTTCAAACAGCTGAGCTACCAGAAGCAGGCTTTTCAATATATATTCAGATCTTTAGAGGAAGGAGTGAAATTCCAACAACAGGAACCGATAGTACAAAATCCTCAACTTCAAGCCACTATAAGTGATAAACAGAAGTATACTACTTTTATGACTAATAACCACTAATTAAGGAATTATAATTTGGGGGAGAGGAGGCTAAACAATTGCATATAAATTGTTCCACTCCCCCTGCCCCAACACTGCCCCAGGAAAGCCTTTTACTAAAGCCCTTCTCTGTTAAGGATCAATAAAATAAGCCACTTTGAATAAGCAAGGGTTGACAAACTACAACTTGGCCCACCAATTATTTTTATAAGTAAAATTTTAGTGGAATACAGATCGAGTATCCTTAATCTGAAAATCCGAAATGCTCCAAAATCTGAAAGTTTTGAGCACCAATATGATGCCACAAGTAGAAAATTCCACACATAAGTACATAACACAAACTTTGTTTCTTCCACGAAATTATTTACATATTGTATAAAATTATCTTCAAACTGTGTGCATAAGGTGTATATGAAACATACATGAATTTCATGTTTAGATTTGGGTCTCATCACCAAGGTATCTCATTATATACGCAAATATTCCAAAAATTAAAAAAAAAAATTGAAATCCGAAACACTTCTGGTCCCAAGCATTTTGGATAAGGGATACTCAACCTGTATAGCCATGACCATGAATGTATGTATTTGCTTATGCTGCTTTTGAGCTACAATGGCAGAGTTGAGTGGTTGTGACAGAGACCACCATACGGCCCACAGAGTCTAAAGGATTTGCTATCTGGCACTCCGTAGAAAACGTGTGCCAGTCTGTGTTCTAGAGGATCTCCCATTTAACATTATATGCACCAACTAATCAAACTCCTATTATACTCACTGTTTAAGAAAATTGGAAATATTGTGCATTTCCCACACCTGGGAGTGTCAAAATTAAAGAACCATATTGAGAAGAGGGCTATGCTACAAATATTCAATGCCCAGGATGGCCAAGAACAGGGAGGAAAAAAATAATCCAGCACAGAATCCAGGTTATAGGATTCAGCTGTCGCTCAAAGCAGACCCATGCTTCTCTCCAGACACTGACTTCGTCAAGTCACCCTATGATGTCAGGAAAATGACCCCGCATTTTCACCGATATTTTCAGTTAATAAGAAATGTTACTCAGGCTTATCTAGGGCAGGTGGCCTACCACTTGCAGATCTGTATCTGCTTCCACCGCCCACCCTGGGCACCACACAAAGCTTGAACTCAGGTCCCACGTATACCACCTGGCCCCTCTACTCCTAACTCTCACTGCTTTCAGAGCACTTCTCTGCCTTTACAAGGCAATTCTCTGCCTTTATAAATTAGTCTATTGACTAATTTGGACAAAAACCTCTCTGAAATAAGGTACTGCTATGCACACTTGAAACAGAAGTGACTTTTCCAAAGCTACCCTGCCTTCTCACTTATTGTCATATCGTTCAGAACAGGGAGCACCTATCCTTCCCTCTTTCCTCTCCCAGCCATCAACTTTTGAGCATCAACTCTTGTGTGTATGTACACATATACACACACAAACATACACACACACATACACACACACACACACGCACACAAACACACGCAAATGGTTTTTCCAAGAACTGAGAAAAGCAGCTGAGATCAGCAGGAAATATCTTTAAGAGATAAGTATTAGCGGTGCTACATTTTAAAAACCAACTATCCTGCTATGTGCATTACTAAAATGGACGTCCTGCCTTTTCAGGAATTCCGGGGCTAGTCTGACCAAAAGTTAGAAGACATCTTCCATCATAAGGCATCATCCCCAACTTATGGCTATCCAGAAAAGGCAGGCAAAGCCCCAAACCAGGCAAAGCTCTGTTCTATTCACCTGCACTCCATAACCACTAGCCCTTAGGACTAGAGACTTGGTGCTTACACACATGTGTACAGCAATCACCTAACAGGACATTCCCAAACTGAACAGACAGGGCCAGCACTGACTCAACATTATGAACCTGGAAGAATGCCACACACATGAAAGGAGAAGAAAACAAAAACCTCAAAGACTTGCTTTTGAGGCAGGAAACCTCCCTAGTTCAGGCAAGCAGTCAGCCTTTGTGAAAAGAGACAGCAGCAAAAGGGACGGGACCCACCATATGCTCCCACTGCTAGGAAGGTATGCTGCTTGGGTAGAGGCAAAACTTTATGAGACCTTTTCTCTCATTTTAGGGGAAGAAAAGATATGCCACTCTCATGGTCTATGCAGGTTGATTGTTATAGAACAAGTACTTCTGCCAGCTATGCCTCCACCACAAACCAAACTGACCTCCCTAAATGCAGTGGTTAGGATTCCAATGTATTCACTCAGCAAAGGCAGAGTTCTATATGATGTTTCCATTGGCACACAATTGTTAATGGTTTATATATCAAATAATCTTTAATCTCTAAATATATTCAAATACCGCTATGCTGAGTTTGTTCAAAGCAGTTTTTTGGTGGGGGTGGGGGAAGCAAACCTCGGTCATTTTAGATTTAGAAGGAACATACATATTGGCCCAAGTAGATTATGTGCGCTACCTGAAACTGATTGCCGGTGAAACCTTCTGGATGTCCAGACAGACAAATAAACCAAGATGGATTTAAACGTGGTTTGACTCTATCTGTTAAAAGAAAACTACCTATAACAATTACTAGAGCATGACCAAACAACAGTGTTGTAACAATCAAGCAAGTTATCATTTGCAAATAAATTCTTTGTAATTAAGCAGTGTGCTCTTCATAAAGGGAATTGAGTGGGCGAGTTAAAAAGCTAAAACACATTCTTAGGCCATGGGAAACACATGCCAGTGCTTTTTGACTAAGCTCAAGATTTTTAAGTTTGCTCTTTTCTTCCTCAGCTCTCATGGGTCTATTCTGCCCCATTATGTTCAGTACATGAGCAAAATTTCTTAGCAAATAGTTAACAGTGACTGAATAATTATTCACTCATTTCCCAAAGCTACGGAGGCCTTAGTGATTGTGTGGCAAAGGTTAAAACCGTAGTTTTATTTTCTACTAACTCTGAAGTTTGACTAACTCTCCCTCACTAAAAAAAATATATGCAGATAGCAAAGTCCACAAAGACACTATGGACATGAAAGTGACACTAACTCATTTGGAATAAATTCCTCATAGGGTCTCTGGAAACTCTATTACTTTCTTCAATAAAAAGGGGAGTACTTACTTCTGGGTTCCCGAGGTCCATCTACTGTAACTTTAATTGCTCTGTGATAGGTAGCTACTTGGGGAGGATTTGTGAAGACGGTTATGGTCAAGGTGAAACTCTTGCCTGCAGATATAAAAGGGGAAAATATACAGTGAATATTAAAAAACAGTGTTGATGATTACACAGCAGCATAGATTTCCAAATTGCATTTAAGCATCTCTAAGGAGGCAATGAAACAAAGACAAGAGGCAGGACTCCTTCTTCTAAATTGGAAACCCTCCGATGACCACTTTAGGACATTTCCAAATTTGCTTAGAGTCAAGATCATCGTCCTCATTGTAGTGCTACACAGGAAGACTCCAATTCCAAAAAAGCTCCTCAGTAGCAACAGTTGTAATGAAAACAAAACCCTGGTCCACTTGAGGAAGGTTCTTTTTCTTTCAGTTTTCTCCAACATCAGGAACACATCCAAGCACAGACAATTTTAGAAGTCTTTATTTAGGGTTGGGTCATGACCTCACGAGAGAACAATAGTAAATCATTGTTGATTATGTTATTTACTTCACATAGCTTTAGCATTTCATTTGCTTAGCTGCACTACAATAAGAAGATAAAAGAGGAAAGTTCTTATGGGAATCATTTTAACAGGAGCCAGTGTCTCCTGTCCTGGCCGTAATGTGCCTGTGGTATGATGATTTCATCATTACTGGAACAAAGTTTTTCTCCTCCCTGTCCACCCCTCCCCTAACATACATCCTTGCTGTTAAATCTTGAAATAACCCCCTGACAGCGACTTACTTTTTGCTAAATGAACATGACATCTCTCAGTATAAACTCAAATTTTGCTTTTAGCAGAAGGTGTGCTTCATTGAAATATTACATCTGATGCTTCAAATTAATGAGCTAAAAGCGACGAATAAGAAGGGGAAAAGAGACAGGGAAAAGTTTGGTAGCATATTTGGATGTCTGTTTTCTCCAGAAGAAGATACCATTCTCTGTTGCACAGACTTACTAACAGTTGTAATCAGTTAGATTTGCAACGGTTAATCATGTCAGATAGTCAAAACTGCAAACTGTTACAAGACAGGAAGAGGTGGGCGTGAAACAGTGACTCAATAAAACATTCAGCAATCTCAGGCCAGAGTACTCATTCAGTCTGCTCCTGTAACAGACCTTTAAAAAGCTCATTTTGTTTTGCTTTGTTTTTTGGTCAGAGATTCTTTTTCCCTTACTGAAAACTGAGAGTATTAAACCAAAACACAAATCTTTGACAATATGTACCAATGCAAAGTTTAATGCAGTCTTTTCAAAGCTTAATATGGAACAGGTTATATACAAGGCTTAATGGAGAACAGGTCTTTGGCTGTCAAGTCTAGTGAATGGGTTTTCTTTTCAACCTAGACCATGTAAGTTCCTAAAATCTGTTTAAGACGCACATCATTTGTTACTGAGTATAAATAGTTTTAAGTCTCCTTGGCTATACTTTTCTATAGCCAAGGGGAAAAAAACAGGAAAGAAAAGACAGGAATGGGGTGGGTGCAGTTTGAATAGGGAAAGGTGAATAACAATTAGAAACGTATTAAGTGCCACTTCATACACATTATCTCAATTAATCCTCCCCGCTTAGATCTCTCACCCCCATTGCACAAATAAGGAGGCTGAAGCCTCAAGAGACTTAGTAATTTACCCAAGTTCATACAACTAATAAATGAAAAAATGAAGATCTGAACCTCATTTTTCAGACCCTAAAATTAATGCTCTTTTTTTTTTAAATATTCTGTCACTTGGCCACTTCCTTAAGTGGCTTGATCACTTGCCATTTAAAAAAATTAATAAGTAATTTATTTCTAGATGCGTCCCAATCAGCTCTATGTGCCCAAGAAACAGTAAACATAAATGGACTAATGCAATATCTCAGGATGATGAAAGCATCTATTTTTAAAGTGTCATTGATATATTTTATCCACTATATTGGCTATTACACGGATTTAAATAATTTATAATTGGTTAGCAAAGAGAGGCTTTATTATAAGCGTTAAGACTAACCAGAAGAATAAACCAGCCAGGAGTCTAAACTAGTTACAGAAAACTAAAAGCCTACAGAATTAGAAACCAGAAACTTGAATAGGAAGCCACTGGGTCCAAGTTAGAACCTCAAAACAATGGAAAGATCGCAAAAAGTAAAAGAGCTGAATCTCTAGATTGAAAGTTAATTTACACTAAAACATTTTAAAGTGCCATTTTGGGGTCAGATTAGTGGTCTATGGGCCCAGGATTGCCTTTCTAACAGTGGCTCCCATGGCTGTGTTTCAGAGTCAGTTTTCATCTATGGCACTCATCTTAATAAATCAAGGATATATACAGATCTCAGTTATCCTTAATGTCTCTAAATAACCTGGTAGAAAGATTGTCGGCTGGGCGCGGTGGCTCACGCCTGTAATCCCAACACTTTGGGAGGTGGAGGAGGGCAGATCGCCTGAGGTCAGGAGTTCAAGACTAGCCTGGCCAACCTGGTGAAACCCTGTCTCTACTAAAAATATAAAAATTAGCTGGGCGTGGTGACGCACGCCTGTAATCCCAGCTACTCAAGAGGCTGAGGCACAAGAATCACTTGAACTCAGGAGGCGGAGGTTATAGTGAGCCGAGATGGTGCCACCGCACTCCAGCCTGGGTGGCAGAGTGAGACTCCATCTCAAAAAAGAAAAAAAGATAAAATAGATTGTCCATAAATTTATTTAAACCAGTTTTGGTAACAGTTCTACTTGAGACCTTTACAACTTACTTAGGATATTAAAAGTCATCTATGCTTCCCCTAAATTCAGGGTGACGCCTCATGTAGGAACAAAAGCCAAAAATAAAATTCACCCTTCAAGTATAAAGCATTTAAATTTTCAGAGTAGAATGAGTTCTCTATAAAAAACTGCTTTTAAAAAGAGATGGGTTTGGGGGAGGAAACAAGTAGTTAAGTATAACTATGATCTGCCAAAATCAGACCCTAAGGATCAAGATGTAATTAACAACTACAGCAAAAGTGAATGAGGCTCCTTCTGCTTCTTATTGCCCCTTCAGAAGAAATATGTATGCAATGTTGAAGAAATTTTCAGAAATTACCAACCAATTTAGTAATTGGTTCTTCATCCTATAATAATAATGCACCTCTTAAGTCAAATGTTTATGTGGGCATTCATGATTTCCTTAAATTAATTTTTTCTCAAAAATCCCCTTTTTATCACTTTCCATAAGTGATAAAATACAGCCTGTTATTTTAAAATGTAGGCTCTCAAATAGGGAGCTAGCAGTCAGTAGATAACTAATTGTGTCATCCATGGCTTCATCAGGAAAAAGAAAGCATACCAAAAAAAAATTTAAGGACCAAAATCATTTTAAACACTTCTCTTTAAAAGATTAAGGATAAAAAAAAGGAAAAACCATGAAAAACCTTAAGCCTCTCCTAACTTAATGCAAGTTCCACTGATGCTCTACTTTTATTCTAGCACTTTCAAAAGTTGTGGTCATAAGATGACCCATAAAGTCAAAGTCAGTAGTGACATGACTCCTTTATAATCTAAGATTGTTTTTCAGTTTCTGAGAGTTTATGTTTCTACCAGTGGAAAGAAAAAAAAAAGTGCAATATTTGAGGAACTTGGTGTTTTTTTATAACACTACTGAAAATAGAAATATTTAAAGCCGGGAAAGAAAATACAATGGTAGCAGCATGTTGATCCAGACTTAATAGCTTAAGAGAAATGTAGAAGTGTGAAAATCAAAGAGGAAGCTGGAAGAGTCTGTTATAAAGCAGGTCAGGTACAAAGGGTACAAAGGCAGGTTAAAGGGTTTCCTGCCACTGAAAAACTGACCCATTTTTTTTTCAGAGTGTGATCTGTTATCAGTGTTCTCTGTCCTTTTTTCCTCTTCATCTCAGCTTGATATTACTGTTTCCTTTCATACAATGTTAATGCAGTGATATAAAAATATATTATTAGTGATAAATCAATTTTTCTTTCTCTCTCCACCCACTCCCCCTACCCCCCATCTAAGTCTTGAAGACAAGTCTGGACCAATTTCTCCATCCTGCCTCTGGCAGCAGACTGTAGCATTTCAGATCCTCCACCAAGTCCCGGCTGCTTCAAAGGAAAAATCCTACTTTCTTCAGTTAAGATCATAAGAAATATAGGGGGAGGGGGTCAGCTCTGTTTGGACATAATTACACTTCATCAAAAGAAGCTTTCTTCATCTTCCATGCGTGAAAAGTCTGCAAGCAGTTAAGTCTGTCTTTTTTTTTAAATATAAAAATTGCTATTTGGGAAACCAGCCAAAACTCAGAAAGCCAATATAGTAAAACAGTGCACACCCTTTGTTTCTCTTTGAAGTTTCTTAAATAAATATGTTGAGGGTTTACAAAGTACACTATCACTTTGCCATACTTTCTACTTAAATTGATCAGAAAAAAGTTATGCAGCATCTATATAATACAAAAGTAAGATAAATGAAAACACTAGTTTGAATCTGTAATGTAAAATTAAGCATGGCACCCAATCCTTTAAAAACTAAAATTCATTACTCTAGTTAAAAAAAAAAAGTATTATTACATAAGAAGAAAGATGCAATTCAGAGCATACAGGTAAATCATCATGTTCACATTTTTCTTGATTCTAACTAGAAAAAAAGGAAAACTTTAATTGCATAGTGGACCTGCATAAGTAAATGAGAAAAAGGAAGAATGAATACACACACACACATACTCCAAACCTAATCAGTCAATAGTGATATAGGATGTGTCTTTTTTTCTTCTTTTTATGAAAGTTAACTAAACCTGATGCAGAGATAACTCCCTTAGTTTTGATTCTACCGGAGGCTGTGAGCCTCATTTTATTTCAAACAACATGTCAGTGACAGTATCTCATTAGCATGAATCATTTTTTTTAAGTTAAAAAGTACAACTTCTTGGCCCTGTTCCTAGAAAGTAAACTAACACTACTCATCGGAAACAGCCTTGCTTGAATTTCCCTTATCAAGTTTTTACAATGGTAATAATTTGACATCTGATCCAAACTAAAGAGCAATTATTAGACATGGTTTAAAAAGTGGTGCTCCTCATTTCCTATTCAAACCTGGGTTGCAATGATTCCATAAGGCTTTATTTCACCTCAGTTCTAAAGTGGTCTATTTTCTTTCTTCTTATCAAAATACTTAAAATGGAAATATTAGATTCAGTTAAGTAAATAAATAAGCATAATGCTTCTAATAGTGAGTAACTAGTAAAAGTCTTTCTGTAGAATAAGTAAATAAAAGCCAAAATATTGGCCTCCTTAAAGACTTTTTTAAAAAACATTAACCTCATTTATCAAACAGTTACAAAAACCCTAAAAGGGATAATTTTCTATTTAAGGATCTCTAATTTTTGAATATGGATTCAGATGATGGGAATCCTTACATAGTATGGAACTATTAATATTAGAGTACTAATCATTCATCTGTCTAGGCAACCTTACATAGTCACTCTAACATAAGTAATACATTATTCACTTATTCAAATGAAAAGCCTTATGTTAAAAAAAAACCATGGTTTTTAATAAATTCTTACTATGAGAGTAAATTAAATCATATAGAGGTAACCTGTGATAAGTGAAGAGCATTATGCCAGCTGTCCTTGCTACAACTTAGACCAAAATTGATATTACCAGGAAATTGATCCAACATATCCATTTTTCTTTCCCCTTTACCACTCAATTTACTCAGTTATTTGACTCCTCATAATTCAGAAGTTGATCCTCCAACTGTTCTTTTCTCTACCTTATATGCTCACACCCAGTGAAATTAGGAGCTAGTTTTTCTGAAAACATTGTTTGAATTTTCAATATCATAAAATAAATGAAAAAGGCCTGAGTACTCAGAAAAACACTCAACTTCATCTGGATGTATTTAAATCAAATCTTCAGTAATTCTATTCAGAAAAAGAAGGTGCTGATTTGTATACAGACTAGTCTACATTTCATCAAAGGAGCCTAATGTGCTTATTCTATTATCAGTATCAAAAGTCAGAGACCTACCTCGTCCACTCCGGCCCACAAATCTCAGATCGTTGAACCTTGCTACTTGGTTTTTCATAACAGCAGAGGCATTCCGGAGCTCAGCAGAATAATTTTCATCGTTACCCGCCATGACAGTAACCACAGTCCCATCTGGTACCTCTCCGAGGGCTACCACCTACATAAAACAGGAAACACAGCAGCAATAATGGCACATCAGAAAGGCTTACAAACAGAATATATTCTCATTGCAAATGATGTGTCTTATCAGGACTTAGTGTTCTAGTCCAGTCCAGTAATGGCCGACAGGAATGAAGCATCTGTGTATGGGTTGTGATGCCACTTCAAACAGACCAATGTTTCAGGGTCCACCCATTTCAAAGGCAGGCAAAAACTTCTTTCATTTGTTGTTGGATTCTTCACAGAAAATATGTACATTTTTATTAAATCCCCATGTTAAGCTGTCCGTAGGAATTATGCCACAGAAGGAAGAGGGATGCCCCATCTGCAGATTGCATCATACAGATCAAGGCACCACCTGTCTGCAGGCTTTCTCTCAGGGAGAGCCCTGAGGTGTGGTCTTATCCCATCACAGGCTAAAAAATATCAAGTCTGGTCAACTTTATGGGAGAAGATTTTTAAGTGAAACCCTGGGGCTCCTCACTACATAGAGCCTAGATATCGTGTAGTCTGTTTTATCTCCTTACTTTGGGCTAGCACTTCAGCTTTTAATAAAGTATATTTACTGAAAACCACACTGCGGTGGGACCCAGTGTGATATCCAAAGTCATCAAGAAACTGAAGGTGAAAATAATTGATGATAAATAAGAAAAAAACAATATATACCCTTAGCCTCAGTTCTATTATGTCTTGTGTCCCATCTGCCATCCTGGAATGACATACTTGACTGCTTAATCTTCAACAGTTAATCTGAAGCAAATTAACTCAATCAAGAAAAGATCTAGATTAATCCATCTTTGGAACAAACAAACATTTTCTCTGCTCTAAGACTAGAGATAACACTTTAACCTGAGTCAGCTAACATGCAAATGTGTGCCTTTGATTAACACAGAGCCCAGTAAGGAGATGCTGGTGCAGATCCTTCACTGTCATATATGAAACACTCCTCCTAATCCATTGCCAAGATCCTGCCCCTTGGTAACAATCCCTTCTCTCAACGAACTTCCAGGACTCTATATTCAGATTATTTCCATGTCTTCCTCATTCAGCTTCCAGATGCCCTCATGGTAACTCAGCAATGACCGCAGCTCAAGTAGCCCACAGCTGTCTGACAATAATACCCCTGTGTGCTTGCCTGTCTGGTGAACCTCCCACTTATCTTTTTCTCCTTCTAGTGCTACTCCCTCCTTTGTCAAGATTTCCATAAGACAAACCTAAGCATTTAATTCCATGTTCCCAATACAATTGGCATATTACAGTAGATTTCTTAACAGTGTGATAATACACACTATACCTATATTTTAGGGCTGAATTTCCCCCATCCATGAACCCTACTGCAACACGCCTTCACTATGTCCTCTCCTCCAGCCAGGAAAACAATCAAACAAAAAACTTGTCAATATTTTTGTCACCCTTACTTTTCTCTTAGGCTGTTTCTCAGTTCCATTCCTTCCATTTAGTACTGTGTTATTCAGTTCAAAATCAATAAAGCCTTCCTTAAATTACAGGCCCCACTTTCCCCAGCCTCCCAATGTACTCAAGTGATCCTCATTTCAACGTACATATGTTAATATTAATGGTCTATGACTACTTTAAATATACCAGGCCAAAGCTGAGGGACTCACTCCTAGGAGTCCAGATTATATGAGTTAGGAAACTACACGAGAGAAGGGCCTTCATCTCATCTGTCTTGTTCACCACTTATCAACCCTGCTCCCAAAAGTGTCCAGCACATGGTAAGTGTTTTATTAATTTTTTTTTTTTTTTGAGATGGAGTCTTAGTCTATCACCCAGGCTAGAGTGCAGTGGCACGATCTCGGCTCACTGCAACCTCCACCTCCCAGGTTCAAGTGACTCTCCTGCCTCAGCCTCCCGAGTAGCTGGGATTACAGGTGTGCACCACCACACCTGGCTAATTTTTGTATTTTTAGTAGAGAAGGGGTTTCACCATGTTGGCCAGGCTGGTCTTGAACCCCTGACCTCAGGTGATCCGCCCGCCTCAGCCTCCCAAAGTGCTGGGATTACAGGCGTGAGCCACCGAGCCCAGCCAGGTAAACATTTTTGAAATAAATGAAAGAGCTCCATAAAGAGCCCCACTTCGCAGAGACAGAAGTCTGTGGGGCTACCCACTAAAACTCTGAGAGGGCCAGTTAATGTTGAGTCAGCACCCCTTGCTAACAGCAATGTGCCCTTGCCCCCAGCTTGTTTTCTGACATTGTTTTCATCTCAGAGGAGACGGAACCATGCTGCCTCCCTTTCCCTGGAGAATATAGTTATTCTCAATATGAGAAGTCTCCTGGATCAAAAGTAAAATCCCTTGAAAATAAGACTTCCTCTCTGTACACGTCATCTCATATCTCAAGCGGCTACTGAATACAGGTAATGCTGTACTCCTGATGGAGGCAATGTGCTTTTCAATTTTTCAAATTCACCATGCCAAAAATGTGAACATTTGAAAATACTGCAATAATTGACTACATTCGCCAGGATTCATCTGAATGTTTGACATTTTGTACACTCAGCATATTGTATTTTAACACCTGCTGCGTGGCTTTCTATGTCAAAGTAAATATGGACCCAGTAAGCATATTAATAAAGGCAGGAGAAAAGTTGTACTGTTTAGAAGAGAATGAATATACCAAAATCAAGAGGCTCCACTTTTTCCCCACTTCTGCTACATATCTGCTATGACCTCACACAAAATAACTTCATCTCCAGGAACCACAGTTTTCCAATATGAATTGGAAAGTCTGCAAAATGTAGAAGATACTATATAAGTATAGAGTGTAATTATAATGATGTGCTTTTTGTAAGATGAGGAGGGTAACACAGTGTTCTGTTCCAAATCTGCTGTCTGTTAAACATAGGCTTTTACTTATAAGCATTCTTAAAGGGTTCAACTGAGTACGTACTTCCTCACTTCATGTTCTGAGATGTTCTTTGATGTTGTTGAGAGATACAGGATGACTGCTGGTGGATTTCACTCAAGTCTGGCTACATTTCCGAAAAAAAAAAAAAAAAAGCAATCTGCCCCAATATAAAGGTTTTCAAGAACTCTGGGACATTATTATTTTACTGCATATTTTTAACATAATGAATTTTTTTTTAGTTAGAAGAAATGGAAAATTGATTCAATATGGGAAAATATGAAAGAAAAGATCCCTAAGAGTGAAATACATACATCCATTTTACTGTGCTTAAGCAGTATAATAATGACCATATTCAATATTAGTGTGTTTTACGTATCACATTTTACAAAACAAATAAATAATCACAAGTTGTGTGAGCCTTCTATGAGGCTGAGAGCAAGACCTGAAAAAAAATGCTAATGCAAGGTAGTGACAATCTTTCCTGTTAAAGCTGAACTCTAGTTTAATGGCTAAATATATTGGTTTTTTTTCTGCTATTCACTCTACCAAATCAGATTGCCCGATGTTTTTCTGAGGGGGAGAAAAGGTTGGGAGTTGGGGGAAGTACTGTATTTGACTTTATATCAATCAGAAGTATAATTATATGTTTGAGAGGTTTTTTCTTTAAGTAGATCTCTGAAGCTAAAAAGTTTCCCTTGGAGATTCTCAACTGTGTTTATCTAAAAGAAAACCAAAAGAATCAAGAAATTTTTACACATTTCATCTGTACCAAAACCAAGCAATGGAAAAACATTTGAAGGGGTAAAGTGCAGTCAAAACTCGCTCTTTAACTAGTTAGGAATAAGCACAAATTAGAATTTGCTTCCATCCTACCCAATACAAAAGTACTGCTCTGCAAAGAATAATTTGTGATGATCTTAACAATTACATTTCTATGTTTTTTTAAAATATAAAATCTACAAATTCAAGAAACTCCATGAGAAAAGGAGAAGTAATTTTCTGTCCTGACATTTCAGAATAGAGAAAGACGTTCCTTTATTTAGCGCACCTCACCATAACTAGCATTTAAATCACATGATATGTGGCTTGCACAAAATAAAGTAGAAGGATATTTAACTGTAGTAATGCTATTGAAATTTTGTATGAGACTCCTTATGACTAAATCTGTGAATCACTAAAAGAAGAGGAATGGAGAATTAACTCAAACCCTTAAAACAGTTTCTCATCTTTTTATATGGAAATTAAAATTGCCTATGACATTTCCATGGACAGAAGTCTAGTCTTAACTAATCAATTACTCTTATAGGCCAAAATAATTCAGGATATTGTACTTGCGGTATAATTGAAATATAATTATTTTTCAAGATAAAATCTGATCAAATCTTTCTTTGCAATAAAAAGAGAAGTGAGACTAATTGCAAAAAGCAAAAATGTTATTCCTATCACAATTACTTAAAGATAACTTCAAATACAGTATCAAAACATTTCAACAAATACTACAGTTAATATTTTGAATTTATCCTAGAACTTAGGAAAAGCCCATTGAATTTTAGAGAAAAAACACAATATGTCATTTCATAATTTTAAAAATATATATGTCAAAGATAAATTTTGATAAAAATTATTTCAATGTAAAGCAGCAATTTGTGGGCCATGTATCATGGTGGTTTAGATCATCTAACAATAGATATTCTGGAATTTTGAAAGGATACAAACAATAATGCCAAAGAGGAAAAAATAATGAAAGATATCTACCATACCTATTTTCAAATATTTAATAGAAGTTTTCTAAAAAATTTTATAAGTATTTATTTTCCACCTGAAATTCTTTGTTCCAACTTCCTTACTTAGAAGTTTTATATATTCAGTCCCAAAATATTTAACTTTAAATAAGTTTTCTTGAATTCAAAGGCATAACACAAAAATGTGTCTGTCTTCACACAACTTGAAATCTATTGATTTACATAATTTTGCATAATAATTTATATTACGGTTAATAAGGATTTAACAGGCTTAACAACCTATTTTCCCTAGTTTAGATACAATGAGATTCAAAAAATATAAACATAAAATCTGATCATTAACTATGTAAGAAAAATACTACTCACTGGTATCAAGTATTTACCAGTTGTATATTTGTTTTCGAAGAGAGAAAAATGGCTAGTGATGCCAAAAATTTATTTTCAAACAGAAATTGCTCTGTCATTTTGAAACCCCTCCTTTTGACAAGCACTGAAAGGTATTATTAAATATACAGAATTAACTATGAGTGCTAGCTTATATATCTAAAAATGTGTTTTCTTTCTTTAACACTGCCAGAAAAACATATGATACTGATAAATATATGTAGTCCAGTGTTCTCTAACTTAAAACAGCAGAATAGACTTGAACTACTTTTAGTTTTAAAATATACATCTGGACTTAAAATTTCTGCATAGTGTTTCAGCTTGAAGCTATTTAAGGCAACTAAGTTACGAACCCTGAACACCAGGCTTCACAGTGGAAATGCTGACAGACCCCTAACTAAAAGGGTGCTACTGGATGCATGGTTGACACGCTCTCTCCACCGTTACCTGACCATCAGCTAATGAGCTGAATTTGCAAATTACTTCTTTGTCACTAGAATTATCTAGGATAGAAAGGGTCTGGGATCCTCTAATAGTATGCCCTAACTATTTTAAGGTTTCAGTGAGATACACCTGAAAATGTTAAAAATATTTATTTCCGTTTCCTTGACACCTGGGGGGACCGAACATTTCAAAACTGCAGAACTTTGTTAAAAATACAATGTTAATAAACAACTTTATATAAAGTATACCAGTTGTTTTTGCATTTTTACATGTAAAAATAAATAAATTTTATATCATCTCGAAACAAGAGTAGATGAACAACGCTAATACATTCTTAATGAAATAGATTGACAATATCGTGTTTAAACACGAGTTTAAACTGACATTTCAAAACAGTCTATTGAATTCATTTCTGATTCTCTGCGGTGTCAAGCTCAGTGTGACAGATACAAAATACGGGCTCAATAAATATTGTATTGATTTGAATATCAGACTTCACAACAAATAAGTTGTGTGTGTGTGTGTGTATGTGTGTGTTTAAATCCATTTACCTATCTGCTATTGACCTGACAACCACTATAATCTATTTTTTACATAGCTCTAAATATCATGGCCAAATTGCTGTCACCACTTTTAAAAGGGAGACTTCTTCATATTATTTCTTCATTGCAGATGTATTTGATTATATTGTAAGAGTATAGAAAGTCTAGTGCTCTCAGGCTTTTATTCCAAAAGTAGGGTAAAGAGAGGTTGTCACAATCTGGATGTTCCAAACATCCATACATTTTTTCTCAACAGAGTATTTTCTATACTGAGTAGATCTTAGCTATCACCCACTTTTTGAATTGTTTAACACAGGTATGTTGATAGAAAGACATTGACAGTCAGGTTGTAGGTTAACTCAATTCATTATTCAATTGATATGAATTAAAATAGTCAATTTAATATGGTCTTGTTACCTACGGTCTGTTTACTGCTTAAGATACAAAAATGTACTCTGTGTGATTAACAAGTTGATTAATAACAAAGAGCAAAATTTATTTTCAAAATAATTTTTAAAGGGTGGTAGTGAAAAATCTTAGATGACAGCCAAAATATCTGAGACTAGCTCAAGCTAAAGTGCAAAAAACAACCTTTCCATCCAAAATGCTCATGTTCAAATCAATTCAGCCGCATAAATGCAAGAGAACAGTTCAAGATAGACCTTAAATATGTTTAGCAGAATGGTATATGGAACACTTTAAAAATGTAAGCATCTGTTCTTATATTTTCACATATTCTGATTTGTGGCATTGTGCAGACAAGGTATCTACTTATTTGTATTTTTTGCTGTTTTCATCCAGGTTTGGGGTTTTTGGGGGCTTTTGGTTTGGGGGATTGGAGGGCGTTGGTGGAAACAAATTTCCATTCTCATATAAGACTAATTTAAAAATTCTGGGCCCTTGGACGATGGACATTGTAAAAGATATATATTGTATGGAAATTTAAATTTATACAATTCACATGTATTCTGAGCTTTTCCTATTTCAAGGAAGCAAACATTAACCTACAAAATGGGTGGTTTATAAAAGGAGAAATGTGACGGTTAAAAAAAAAAATTTCTTGAGCCAACTGCAAAATGAAACTTGCCCCAGAATGCAACATCCCCTTTCCATAACAATTCATTCTGATTTCTGTTCTGATATAAGTCCTAGCGAGATAACCAGGTCTAATTGACCTGGACTCCTCTTTCTTTCCATCCCACCCACACACGGAATCTGAATTGGTGCGTGGGGTGGGGGTGATCAACAACTGGGAACTGTCAGTGGCCCGTGGGAGTTTGGCCCCAGGGTCCCCAGCGGAGAAACTGGCATGATTCCTCCCCCAACTTTTTTTTTTAACCTCCCCCAAGGCCTTGCTTGCCCTGCTCTCCACAGACCTCAGAACCCAGGGGACCCAGGCCCACCTACTCAAGTTCAGAGGTTAGCAAGGGCCCAAAGCACCTTTCTGAGAGTCTCATCTCCACGTCTGGCTTACCACCCCTGCATCCCTGGCGTCTTGCGAGTGTGGACAGTCCTGCGAGTGTGGACAGCCTGGGAACCCGTTTCCCCATCAACCCAGTGTGCGCTGGGCCCTGGGGGCTCCGCGTCTCCCCCCTGTAGAGGGCTACCCCGGGAAATCTGGATCGGGTTATGGAGAGCCATCGGGCTACTGTGAGAGGCTCCAGATCCTAAAACCTCAACCTGCGGAGCACCTGCCTGCGACTCCCGCGGCTGCCACCCGCCCTCAAACTAACGGGCCGGGCAGGCACAAGAGTCTGCGGGGCGCGCAGAGGCCGCTCTCAAGCCTTCGAGCTCACTCCGTGCTCAGGCCACCAGCAGGAGCCTCTCACCACCTTTCAGAAGCAGGAGGGATCTTTTTTAGATTTAAGTCCTTTAAAAATAATAATAAAGCAAAAATACAAAATTTCACCTCCGTTTTCAAGTTGGGCGAACTAAAGTTGTTCCACAGGTTTCCCTCATCCCTCCCTGGCGGGGCGAGGCGCAGAGCTCGGTCCCGGCTGGAAGAAGCGGCCCGAGCTCCCGCCCCGTCCCCTGGCCCGCGCCTCCCAGCACTCGAGGGTTCAGCGCCCAGGCCCCCTGAACGCCCCCGCTTCGGGGCTTGCGGACGCCCCAGCGGCCCCGCCTTCCTCCCGGTAACGGGATCTGGCGCGGGTCAGCGAACAGAGCAAACGCCCCCGCCCTGACACCCCCTCCTCTGGAGACCCTAGGTTTGTCCAGGACCCTCCCGGGCACTGGTAGCGCAGCCCGCGCGCCTCAGTCAGCACCCCACGCCCAGCCCCGGGCACTAATGCCCGGCACCGGCACCCCACGAATCCCGGCACGGGAGCCCGGGAGGGACCAGGACCGCTGAACTCTGCGGGTCGGGGAAGGGGACGCCGAGACCTGAGGAGAGGCGTTTGGCTGTGAGGGAAGCGGGTGAGAGCGCGCGGAGCCCCAAAGAGAGGCTGCGCGGGCAGCCCGCAATGCGGCCAGGCCGGGATGTCCCGGAAGGACGCGGGAGCCCCAGGGGACAATGCCGGGGATCCTCGCCCCCGGGAAAGGGGCGGGGTGGAGCAAGTCCGCTCGCAGTGCAAGAGTGGGTACTTTGGGGATCCTGGGGGAAAGGGAGACGGCGCGAAGGAGTGAGTGAGAATCAAGGCCAGGCAGGAGGCATGAGGAGTGCTGAACGGGTCAGGGGGACTAGGGCTGAAGTCGGGGTGGCAGCGGGCACAGGTGGGAGAGGGAGGGATTTGCGCGGAGGGACTGAGCCCCGAGCCCGCCAGGGCATCCGGAGGGAGGCCCGGCCGGGGGTTTCTGGGGTTAGAGCCGCCAAGGCAGGAGGTCTTGGAGGACGTCCGGGGCCCAGCCCCGTGGGCAGGAAGACACCGGCGGGCAGGTTCCGCCGCTCCCGGCCGGGGGCGGGGGGCGGTGTAGCCTCTTACCTTGAAGGCCACGGGCAGGGTCTTGTTGCAGCGCCAGTGCGAGGGCAGCACCGAGCACAGGAAGTTGGGGCTGTCGGTGCGGACGAGTTCGGCCGGGTGGTCGGCGATGATCTCCACCATGGTGCGGTTGTCGTGGGGCGGCCGCAACCGGGGCACTGCAGCTGCCGCCGCCGCAGCCGCCGCCGCCGCCGCAGCCGCCGCCGCCGCCTCCTGCTGCTGCTGCTGCTGTTGCTGCTGCTGCTGCTGCTGTTGCTGCTGCTGCTGTTGCTGCTGCTGTTGCGCAGCCACCACCGGGCTCACGTCGCTCATTTTGCCGGGCTGCAGGCTGCTGGAGGGGGGGCTGAAGCGCCGGCTGGTGCTCGGATCTACGGGAATACGCATCACAACAGCCACAAGTTAGCGAAGTGGCCGGGGGAGGGGGAGGAGGGTGGAAATGAGGGGCAAGGAGGAAATTGGGGGGGTGAAGGCGAGACGGGGGGAAAGAGGATGGAGGTGATGGGGCTGAGGAGGTGAGAAATCAAGTTTGATGAGGCCGACTGCCGGGCGGAGTCTGATGGGCCAACAGAGTCTGGCGATGCGGCGCAGTCGGGCTGGCGGGTAGGGAGACCCGGGAGGCGCAGATCTTTGCCGGAGTCTTTGGAACACCCGGGGTGGCAGCTGCGAACGGGCGCGGGGGTGTGTTTGGCCTGGGGAGGCGGGGGACTTGAGTTTGCAGCTTGGAATGGGGTCCCTTGGGGCACCGCGTCCTGGGTGCGCTGGCGCCCCCTCCCAGTTGGAGTCCGGTGGTGAAGCGGTGTGGGTTCAGCAGTCCAGCCCCGGGGCCGGCATTGCCGCGCGCTGCCCGCCACCGCCGCGCCGCGCCGCGCGCTGCTACCCAGCTGCAGGCGGCCGCGCCTCCGCCCTCCCGCGCCGCCGCCTCCGCGGCGGCCGCCGCTCCCCCCGCGCGGGCTGCACGCTCAGATTCCTCCCGCGGCGGCTGCCAGCCCGGCTCCCCGGCTAGGCTCCTTCCTTTCCCTTCTTTTCTTCTCGCCCTCTCACAGCCACCTCTTTGCATCCACTCCCTCCTGCAATTTGCAAAGCTCCCCTGTCTCTCGCGCTTCAAGGTGCCAAGAGGTAAGTCGTGGGCAGCGGATCTCGGGGCAACGAATCTCGAGCCTGCGAATCGCAGCCGCTGCCGCCGCCAGCCGGCCGCGAGAAGGAGCCCCCCGCGCGCCGTGTGCAGTTTCCGAAGCCTAGAGGCGGCCCCAGACTAGGGGCAATCTCGCCAGGTCGCGTCCTCTTGCTCTCCCCACCCCTAGGACAAGGAACCCCCTCTTTGTAGGAAGAGATTGAAGCCGAGACACCAGAGAGCCCCCGGCTGATCTGACTGTCGCTATTTTTCGTTGTAACTTCAGGAGAGGAGGAAAGAAAATTCTTGAGCCTCTGTGCTGACTTCTCAGCACTCTTCACCCTCCCACCTCTACCCCCACCTCTGTCTGAGCGACTCCCAAGGGAAAAAGATTTTGCAGGGTTTGGGTGTTTTTTGTTTTAAGTGACACAAAAAAAATGAGGAGGGGGGGTGGAGGGAGATCTAGTCAAAATAGTTTTTAGGAACTCAAGTGCATAGCTGGACATTTCTTTTTTCTTATATATTCAATCTTGTCATTCCTAGAGAACAAGAATGAGGTGTTTGTTTGTTTGTTTTTGTTTTAAGGACTGAAAAACTGTCAGCTTTGTGATTAAAATAAGTTGCAAAACCCTTGCTGGGGAAAAGCACCAGCCGTTTTCCATGAATTTAAATATTTTATTAAGTCTATTCTACATCTAAGACTAAGTTTCGTGTCTGTCTTCCCCAGCGCTCACGGGGAAAAATTAAAAATACGAACTAAAAAATTCAAAATGCTTCCGTGGCTGTTTATTTATGTATTTATTTCCTAGTGTGGGTTTAAAAAGCGACTTTGGATCCCCCAAAAAGTTGTGGTCGAGAGGATGAAGGAGCGCGGAAAAAAAGCGGCACTTTTTACCTAAAATGTGGTTTTTGGAGGCTGGGATTTCTAATGATTAGGTTTTTGTGGTTTATATAGACACGACTCTGGCTAAGTCGATCATTACGCTGATGAGAGTCAGAGCACGTGGGTGTCTACGACCAGCCTCAAACTCTGAGCCTTCAAAACAAATAAAACAATGTGCTGCGCCCGCAGAAGCCGGGAAATCCGCTTGAGGCTATTACACCCCAAGAAGGGGGCACAGGGCCGTTTTACCCTCGGCGTTGTGTACTACTACGTTTCTTGCTTATTACCAAACTCTTTAAAGCCTTCCAAAGCTTGAAAACGTGTTTGCGAAAAAAATCATCAGTTGCCAAAGTTTCAAAGATTCCTAGTGGAGTAGCTGACACAGTAACAAGTGATTTTATAAAATAAATGAAGAATTAGAATGCCTCCCCCTCGAAGCATCAAGGAAGAAAGATGGTTGGGTCATCTCTCACGCCCTCCCATCTTATTTAAAGCAATTCACATACCCATTACTGGGTGTTTTTATTGCTCAGTGCAAACGCCTCCCTCACCCTCGTAGCGACCTGCCACGACCCTCCCTGTCTGGTTTTAGAGCTTTGCTCCCACTCGCTGAGCCCACGCCCGGGTCTGCGCCCTAGAAGGGGCCTGGAAGGGCTCTGAGAGCATGAGGGGCACGGAAGATGGGGGCCTGGTGCCAGTCGCGGACTCTGGAGCCCTTTCGAGTACAAGATGAGCTTGGGGGGCTGTGGTTGCGTGACTCGGGATCGCCCCGCTGAAGAGATGCGCGGGGGACTGAGGGTCTGCCAGACCGCGGGAGCAGAGGTGGGGGTGCGGGGTAGCCAGGTGTGCGCTCTCGAGGGGTAAGGATGGAGTTCAGGGGATACTACTCTGTCCTTCCTAATTGGGGCTTTATTTTTACCTGCCCTTCCTCCATGCACTGCTCCACGCCTCCCTCGTCGGTCTTTCCCTTTCCCACGTTTCTCTCCACGTTCCTGCCTCTTCCCCAAATCCCTCCACAGACACTAGCCCCAAGCCGCGCCCCTCCCGCCCCACAGCCGCCGCCTGCCACTGCCACCCTCGGTGACTCCGAGAAGCGATTCTGCGCCACCGGCTATGACACCTGGTCCCCAACCTACTCTTCGCGCCCGGCCTACTGGCCTCCCAGCCCGGGCGCCGCCAGGGTGCGAGAACCCATTTAGCCAGACCGGACCAACTGGAAGCGCAGCCAGGAGCTGAGCTGGCTCCTGCGCGTGCGATTTTTAATTATCTTTTCGGTCACAGGGGAGAGCTCTAACCCCGGGCACCGCCGCGTCCCCTGCGTGCACAGGTCTCTCGAGTCCCACAGGCGGCCGATCCGGGAAGGGAAGCCAGGCTTTCGCCTCAAAAAAGAGAGAGAGAGACTGCATCCATTGCTGTCCTACCTTACACGTCCACTCATGTGCACTCGGACACACACTCTTGCAAGTCCACACGCAGACACACATAAATACATACACACTCATAGAGTCATGGCTTTTTTTTCCTGCCTTTTTTTTTTCTTTTTAGGGGGCTAGTTTTACTTTGGGCATGTTGTGCCACTGTCTAACAGAGATCCCTGGCTCGTTTTTTGTTTTTAAATCTGTGGGGGCTGCAAAGGGGGGAAGCAGTTATGGGAATTGATTATTTCTATGGTAAAAGTGACACCAAAATTCCATAACTACCATGGTGGGTGATATGCCACCTTCTCTGGGATTGTCCTCCTCCCAGGAAGTCCATAGAACAGAGAATTCCTGGAACTTTGAAGACAATAAGAAACAATTAATATTTCAAATATGGACCACCAGAGGGGCTTTCCAAATAAAAAATTCTAGAATTGAATTTAAGAAGTTACCTTGGGGACTTTTCCTCCTTTTTTCTCCATCGCTGTTTTGTCCTTTGTTTTATTTGGTGGATAGCAAACTATGCAGTCCTCAGTGGTTGGGGATTTTAAGGGCAATTTAATCAATAGTGAGATTATTTATTTTAATTAATCATATCTAGTAACTCAGCTTTATGGCCTTTCTCAGTATCCTTCCTCCATTTCACATTTCAGTGGAACTAATATAAGCAGCTCTTGGAAGTTACTAGTCTTGGATCTCTTAAAATATCCTACAGTTATTTATAATGTGGAAATGAAATTTTCCACTGAATACCCTAACAACGTTTCAGGTATCTGGCACAGTGGGTTTTCAGTCTCCTTTCAAAAACATCCTTTTGCTGAACATTCACACTTTCGACTGGAACTGACTGAGCCTGGAGCTGATGATGTCTTGGCTCTGAGCATTATGCTTAAAGAAAGAAAACATTTTTACAGACCCCTAAACCAAACCTCTCCTGTTAATCGTAGGCACATAGGAAAACCATGAGGTTTTACATATGTGTATTTTGTGCTATAGTTTGCTTGATGTCATCTTTGGGTTTAGATTTTCTACGTCAAAATGTTTGAAACAAATCACCCACCCTATTTCTCTTCAGAAATATTCATCTTTTCAGTTGTATGTGATGGCACTAAAAAGTATACACTTTTTTTCTGAAAATGTGGCAACTCTGGAAGATACAAACATAATCCCACCCACCACTCCCTACCATGTCCTTTAACATTTAACATAACTGTTTAGTAACAACACCTGACAATTCTGACTTTCTAGACAAAGAAAATGAGATGTGAAGCAGTCAGGTTATTTATCCAGTCAAAGAACTGACTGGGAACAGAACCCATAGGCCTTTTATCCTGGTTTCCTTTTCTAACCCCCATACATTATTTTATATATACTTATGATGAAAAGTAGAATAAGTCCCTGTAAAATCTTAAAATATTTTTCAATGGACCAGCTATTAAAGTGGGAAAACCAATGGAAAATTATGGGCACATTGATGATCCCTAAAGCTTTGAATGTCTCATATGGGAAAACTTTATAAACAGAACGATCTTTGGAGAATTTTCGTTTGGACTCTGATTGACAGAAGGTTACTCAGCCCTTGAAGAAGCAGCATTGCCACTAGACCAGGAGTCGTCATACTATGGCCCATGGGACAAATTTGGCCTAATGCCTGTTTTTGTACAATTCTCAAAGATGTTTTTTGCATTTTTAAATAGTTGAAAAATTAAAAGAATAATATTCATAGTACATGAAAATGATATGCAATGCAAATTTCAGTGTCTACAAATAAAGCTTTATTGGAATATACCTATGGTCAGTCATTTGTGTATTATCTATAGCTGCCTTCACCTAAAGCAGAAGAATTGGGTAGTTGTGACACTGTACGAGTCACAAGGCCTAAAATATCTACTGACTTTTTACAGAAAAGTTTGCCAACCCTTGCCCTAAAGTGAAAGGGATGCAAGACCATGGAGGAGTGAGATAGCAGAAAAGAGTAGATATTTTATAAAGATACTGGAATGGGTGTGCATGTGGTTCAGATTAGTTCTCTAAAAGTGAACAACGTAACATTTAACTTATTCTTTTCTGCATAAATTGTTAATTAGATTAATATTTTTCACTTAATAATTTTGGAGGTGCCAAAACAGAAAGAAAAGAATGAGGAGCGAGTACATTTTCACAGGCTCCTTAAGAACAATTTTCTTACACATCTCCATATGTCAGCATTTTCCATTGTCCTTAAAATATAGTGGGAACACATTAACTGCATAGATGAAGAAGAGTGAAGAAACTCTCATGTAGTCTGAACATAAAAAATAGGTAAGGTTTTAGTAGGTTTATTCCAACTGTGTTGCACATGATTACACAAGAAACTCAATGAGCTTACCAATAATTTTCTAGTATACAATATATTCGTAAGACCTATATACAGTTTTCAGACAGTTAGCTTAGTAACTTAAGTGATCCCAAAGCTTTTTGACATATTTTTTCCATTTTAACTTTTTATACCGTTAAATACTGTCTGATTTGTTTTAAGCTCAGTAAATTTTTCCCATTGTCAATGGACCTATAATAATTTGCATGGCTGTAACAAGAGATGAAATGTTTGTAGTGGAGGACTTAGCATCATAAACCTTTCCTTGTTGTTTTAGTTAGCATTCCCAAGGGCCATATTCAGGCACTTACAAGAGAGTACAGTGTTGTCATAAAAAGGCTGACACTTGCCATATGACCTTTCAGAACCACATTCATGGAGCATCTGTGTAATTACTCTTCAGGCATGGTACTGACTAAAGAGGTATATATTTTGTTTGACTAAAATACCAACTTACTAAACGACACCCTAGTTACCTTAAGAAACCAATGTAATTTCTAAAAAGAGCCTAATTCATTACCCAGGAGTCAGAGAAAACTAATTTTCTCAAATCAGCCTTCTGGTATTTTGGTGTTGGCAATTGTCCTATGGCAGTAGCAGTGATCTTTGAGCAGCAGTGGAATGTTATATATAAAAGTTTACAGAGGTCTGTGATGAAACTTCTAAGAACACCCTAAAATTAAAGATTTCCTGTAGTAATTCAGCCATTCTTTACCCAGCTGCTCACATATTGCCTTTAAGTCACCAAGGAAGGTGCTATCCTATTCTAATCTCACTGCCCAAGGTTCCAAAGTTTCACTTTAGGCATTAGGGCAGTGACTTCAATTATTTGTCCCCTCCCTACACCCTGCCATCAAAGTGAAAAATGTAAATCATAATACTCTCAGTTCATCTAGTAAAGTACTAAAAATATCAACATTTGCACAGTGTGAGAAATTTGAATTACAAACTAGCAAAGTAAGAAAAAATAGAACAGAAAAAAATAGAATAGTAAGAGTTCAACTTGGTTCTATTAGCTGCAATCCTAGGGGATGCCAGTTATTATAAGTCACCATTCTAAGTTTTTTGCTATTCTGGATTTCATACTCAGAAACCGTTCTCTCAGTGTTTTTCCCCATGCTTTTCTAAACTAGACTTTTCTCAGAGAAAACAATTTCTTCTTCCCATCTAGTCATAATCAATTTCTAAAAGCAATGACTCATCTTTTCTGACATTAGATGATTCTCCTGAATTATCTTCGTTATTGGCAGGATCTTTTCCTGACTCATATTCCTATTAGTGACAATATTTCTTCCAGATCATTTTTCTTCCCTAGGTGTGCCAGTTATCAGTTTATTGTCTTGCAGCTCCAAATTCACCTTTTTTTACCTGCTCTGTGAAAATGAATCCGGATCCATTAAATATTTCTCTTTATCAGTTGGCAATCATGTTTTGTCGGTGGGGACGTTAGAAAGACATTGCAGGAGGAAAGGGTTTTGCTTCCTGGTTAACTTGTGCTCACACAGCAGTTTCTGCAGTGCAGGACATATAGATTTCCCAGCTCCTGGCTCCTGAAGTGCATACATACCCACATCTTCTCCAAAGCCCAGCTGCTGCAATAAAGCTAGCTTTTCCAGTGCCAGGCTCCTGAAGCACCGGTAGCCAGAAGTTTCCCCCAGCACCCTCCCCTCCTGGGCTGTTTGTAGCAGTGTGGCTCTGGTGAGGCAACTCCGTGTGAACAGCCTTCCCCAGCACCCTAGAGAGCAGATCTGCAGCAAGCTCTACTAGCACAACTTCTCTGCCACCCAGGGAGCCAAGGCTGTGCAGGGTCTGGATTCAGCCTTGGTTGAGAAGAGGGGAGGACTCTTACTTTGTTGCTGTATTTCAGCCCTGAGGGTAGTGGATGCTGTTATTCCTGTATTCTTTAGAGTTATTTTTAGTTCTTCCTAGCCAATTCCTTGTTTCTCCAATCCTCTGTTATAGTCAATAATTCTTCACATTAAACTTTTCTTATTCAAATTACTATATGGTTTCTCTGTCCTCATTGGACTTAGACTGATATGCTAAGGTTTCCATTTTCTGATCCCCAAGACATGCCTATTCATAGTGGTTTCCATTTTGGATCACTCCACTGGGGTAATTATAAGATGAGGATTTCCAACACCATATCACATCTATTAAATGATTTATCTCTTCCTAATTATAAGCCTATAATTAGAGGACATATATTTTAAAGAGAAGAAGATGTAGACAGAGAGTATAGATATGGCTATTTTAAAGCACAGGCTAAAATTGGTCAGTGTTTCTTCCCACAGTCGTCCTGACATCTTCCATGAAATCCCATGATCTTATGTCCATACTGAAACTAAAATACACATAAACAAAA
Organism: Homo sapiens; assembly: GCF_000001405.40. Lineage (NCBI taxonomy): Eukaryota > Metazoa > Chordata > Mammalia > Primates > Hominidae > Homo > Homo sapiens. Next base: position 45,414,827 of record NC_000006.12, on the reverse strand, counting down.
TCCTGGGCAAAAATTCCAGAGCTGCCTTATCACTAGATCTGATAAAAAAAAAAAAAAAAAAAAAAAAAAAAAAGCCAGGATCTGGGAAGGTGGAGAGATACCTTACAGAATCAGAAAAGCAAAATGCTACTACCACCAAGGAAAGAAAGGGAGCAGGGCTAGACGATTGCTGCCTTATTGCAGTTGAAGTCAGAGACTGGGTAGTGCTGTGACTCTATGATAAAATAAAATTGGGAAAACGCTGTATTAAACAAGATAAACAGACTTCATATTGTCAATTTTATCCCAGATTTTAATATGCTACATGCATTTTGAATCTCCACTAGACGGACTTACAAGTTTGTAAATACAGCATTTACAAACTTATTTAATTATTGCTTCTAAAGGAATTTAAAGGTCTTTGAAGTATTTTTAGAAAATACTGAGCTAAATCAAAGTGGGAAAAAAATGTGTTGGAACATTAAAGGGACCGTTCTGTCTAGAAGGGAATATTGTAATATAGTGGAGAAGTGAAGTTGGCTTGGCTACAAGCAGCCAAGCCAAAGAGGGCCTTGGTACCATGATTCCCACTTTTGTGCACATTTACAAGAGGGAGAATATTCATGTTGCTTCTAGAAGCCACAATCTTGGTCTTTTCCTCGCTATTACAGCCCATTACCTTCCTTCATCTAAAAAGGAGAGTTGAATGAAAGTTTCTCTGGGCATGACTCTTCACTCCTCTTGAGTCCTCATTAAGATGAAGCAGAAGAGTTATGCAGGTGTGGGAGTGGATCCCCTCATTATTTAATACTTTGATATTTTGTTTATCATGTATTTATTGGTATTCAATTTCATTTTTCAGAATATTCCATTAAAATCATATCTTGAATACTAGGGTTTGTTTGGAACTCCCTTAAGTTTTGCCCCTAAGGCTAGCTAGGGCCTCCATCATTTCATCTCATCCTGGCCCAGCCCTAGGTCTGTGGGTATTGAGAACTTACCGAGTGATTTCAGGCTTCCTTGCTTCATTACGAGCATCTTTATTTTTTTAATATGTTATTAAATATAAGTACAAATTGCAATCACTGCATATTCTTCCACAAAAGAATGTATCTTTTAGGCCAAGCTCTGGTGGCTCATGCCTGTAATCCCAGTACTTTGGGAGGCCAAGGCTGGCGGATCACAAGGTCAGAAGTTCAAGACCAGCCTGACCAACATGATGAAAACCCATCTCTACTAAAAATACAAAAATTAGCCAGGTGTGGTAGCGTGTACCTGTAATCCCAGCTACTCAGGAGGCTGAGGCAGGAGAATCACTTGAACCCAGGAGGCAAATGTTGCAGTGAGCCAAGATCACTCCACTGCACTCCAGCCTGGGCAACAGGCTGTCTCAAAAAAAAAAAAAAAAAAAAAAAAAAAGAATGTATCTTTTAACTTTCTGTATCTACTTGAAGTATTGATAGCAGATATAACAGAATTTTGACCTTCACTATGTAAGGGTGATTGTGTGTGTGTGTCCTGTGCTTACCTGGTTATCACTCTTTAACAACAAAAATATGGATTATCTGCTTATTACTATGTAATTTTAAAGAAGTAGACATTCCTGTTTTGTTGTTTCCGTCTGTTTTAGAATTGTCTTTGATTTTATTTAAATACATTGCAAACACATTACACTTGGGGCTTATTTTCTTTCATTCCCATAAGTGTATCTTTGATGTTAAATTAATTAGATTCTCCTTTAGTAAATAAAATAGATTCCATTATCAAATCTTTACAAGAGTTTAAAAGAGGCAGTTCCCGCCAGGCCTAGTGGCTCACGCCTGTAATCCCAGCACTTTGGGAGGCCAAGGTGGGCTGATCACTTGAGGCCAGGAGTTTGAAACCAGCCTGGCCAACATGGTGAAACCCCGCCTCTACCTAAAATAAAATACAAAAATCAGCCGAGTGTGGTGGCACACACCTGTAGTCCCAGCTACTCAGGGAGGCTGAGGCAGGAGAATCACTTGAATCTTGGAGGCGGAGGTTGCAGTAAGCCGAGATTGTGCCACTGCACTACAGCCTGGATGACAGAGCGAGACTCCGTCTCAGAAATAAGTAAATAAATAACAATAAAAGGGGCAGTTCCCACCAGTGCCACTATGAAGGTAAACTTTTACCAGAGTAAAAAAAAAAAAGTAGGAAAAAAACTGTTTTTTTAAAAAAAGGTTATTTGGCCAGTATTCTTTCCTTTGTCAATGCAGTTATTTTTCTCTGAATTCACATCTTTGCCCAGAGAATATATTTATTTCTGTTTCCTAAGTGAAACCTCTTTCTACAGTTTTTGATGACTAGGTTTGAGTCTTAACCATGATATACTGATTCTCTGGCTTTTTGAAGTAGGGATTTTTCACATGCCTCAAAATCAAAACCCTTAGTTTACTTCTCATACGTACAAAAGAATCTTAGCAAGTCTTCTTTTTTTTGGGGGGTTTTGTTTTTTATTTTTTATTTTTTGAGACAGGGTCTCTCTCTGTCACCCAGGCTGGAGTGTACCGGTGTGATCATAGCTCACTGTAGCCTCAAACTGTCAGTCTCAGGTAATCCTCCTACCTCAGCCTCCCGAGTAGCTGGAACTACAGGCATGAGCTACCATGCCCGGCTAATTTTTTTTTTTTTTTTTTTGTATTTTTTATAGATACTGGGCATGTAGCCCAGGCTAGTCTCAAATTCCTGGCCTCAAGCGATTTTCTGGCCTTGGCCTCTCAAAGTGCTGGGATTTCAGGTGTGAGCCATTGTGCCCAGCCTCAGCAAGTTTTAATTCGGATTTTTACCTCAACATTTAGACCAGATTTATATGTACATAGATAATCAACAAGTCTAAAATGCTATTGAGTGACATTATTCTTATTATTTTCAAGTAAGATATCCTACAGTAAAGCACACTGAATGAGATGTTCCAGATCTTAAGCTTAATGCTTACTATTCTCCAGGATTACTGGAAATGTGGGTTGCATCTAGTAGTTTCATTGAATATAGTTTTTTTATTTATTCTGTTTTTAACTTGCTTCACTGGTGTTTACCCTTACTGAAGGAAATTATTATAGTGTGCCCATAACTACAAACATGAAAACTGGTTGAAGTGTTATAACTTATTATAATATATAGTCCTTCATAATTAAATTATGGCTTCTCTGATGCTGATGGTATTGGTTCATACAAAAATAAATATCTTTTTTTCAAAGGCTTCTCTGATAAAATTTACACTGCAACAAATAAAAAATAAGAGAATTACCAGAAGTATGATGCATAAGAAGCATAACTCATCTTACATTAGCCTTGAAAATTGAAAGCTTTTCCATTTTCAACTTTGTTTTGCTAGCATTTACAAACTCAACCATAAAAATTCCCTCTAGGCAGAGATATGGCAAAAATATTCCAGTTCAAAGTCAAACTTTCTATAGAATGTTTCTTATTGTCAGTGTTAAAATTACAAAATTGAAAAAAAAATTGTTGGCAAGTTGCTTTGCACTTGTCACTGAATAAAAGGGGGGAGACTCACATCTAAACACGTTAAAGTCCAAACAATCCGTCAGTCATTTTTATTAGACATATATGAAAAGAAAAATAAATTAGTTTGAATTCATTTACTTCACCCTTAAAATTGTTCTATTATGTGAAAAACCTTTGCGGTCTTGAAAATTTTAATATGAGTTACTCAATTTTCTGAACTTCTCAATTGTAGAGTGTGCAATTTGGAGCCATTGAAAGAAAAAAACTTTCAGAAGGTTTATATTGGAGTGGAGACTTGGTCTCTTCCCTTTGAACTCCCTTCCAGGAACAGAGCAACAGGACCACATGTAAACTACACTTCTTCTCTGCACATCCTAAAAGATTGGGTAGACTGAAAAGTGGGAAGTGCACTGGGAAGCCTTTTTAACTAACTCACTATAAACCCTTAACCAAGGGCTCTAGACTAACATGTCCAGTGGTTTCATAGAAATTTCCATCTAAACATTCCATAAACCCTTCAAGGTCAGCATGTCCAATATGCCAAACTAATTGTTTCAGGTGAAAAGAAAGACAAGGGGCAACATGTAGGTTCCCAAGGCTCGGTGCACAGTCCTTATTTTTTTTCCGTCTTGGTTAACAGTACAACTGTACACAGAACTGTGTGCTCCTTAACCGTAGGAACTATGTCCTATCCACAGAAAATCTGGAACCACACGATTGAAGAAGTCTGGAAACACCATCCCTACCATATTCCATGTATATACCACGTGAATAGTGTCCCCTGGAGCCATGTTAACATGTTATCCCTAGATAGCCCCCACAGTCAGCATAAGTTCTGGCATGTAGCATGTGATCAATATATATTAGTTGATGAATGAATGAATGAATATATCCCCTTAGGTAGAAACTTAGGTATCATGATAGACTAATCTTTTCCCATTATTTTCTACTTCTAGTTTATCACCTGATTCTATTAATGCTACTTCTTGAATATTATTCATATCTATTTTCTTTCCATATCCATTGTCACTGCTTTAGGTTCAGGCTTTTATCATCTTGAACTTCAACTACAATGGACTCCTAACGTGTCTCCCTGCCTCCATTCATGCCCATCTCAATCCCAGTCTATCCTCCACATTGCCATCGGCATTCTCTTTTTAGAATACAATTTCGTTCATTTTGTTGCATTGCCTAAAACTCTTTAAGTGGTTCCATATCATCTATCATACAAAACCCCTTCATGTCCTGGCCTTCCCAAGTTATCACTACAGAACTATGAGTATAGAGTTTAAAAAGTAAAACCCAAATTTGAAAACAAATATATCTTGTGAAAAACCTCAACCTACACATTTCCTGATATCTCTTGCCCCAAACTCAGACTCATTTTTCTCTTTCCTTCATCAGTGCTACAGAAATTTGCATTTACCTCCATTATTGCACTCATCACCTGAATAATCTGTTGACATATATGCATTCCATATAGAGTGTAAGTTCCTTGAGAACAGGGATTAGTCTTAGTCATCTTTTATCCTCAGCATTTAGCATAATGCCAAGAGTGAAATAAGTGTCAATCAATGCTTGTTAAAATGAATCACTGAATAAATAAACCTATTAAATTATCTTTAGACCTGAATTTTCTATCCTTTTAAAATAGGAAATTTTCATATTATTAAGTGTTATTATTCTTTCTGAAATTATCAAATATTGATTAGGCTGTGGCTCAATGGGAACTTTCTTACATCTTGTTGGGAATATAAATTGGGGAAAAAACCTCGAAATAATAGTTTGGCATTAAGGTTGAAACTGCATATGCTGTATGACTTAGCAATTCCGTACCTAAGTATCTACCCTAGATATACATAGAAAATTATAATACGTTGTATGTCATACTGGAATAAAGAAATGAGAAGCTTGTGTTTGGAGGCAAAAGAGTACAGCTCCAGCCACCTTAGCCCATGTGGGTATCCTAAGGGCTCAGGAGATCAATATCTTGCACTTGTCCTGAATGGAAGGTTTTATAGTGAGTTAGTTAAAAAGGCTTCCCAGTGTACTTCCCATCTTTCAGTCTACCCACTCTTTTAGGATGTGCAGAGAAGATATATAGTTTACATGTGATCCTGTTGCTCTGTTCCTGGAAGGGAGTTCAAAAGGAAGAGACAAGTCTCCATTCCAATATTGGTGGTGTTCTTCCAACCAGGTGCAATGAATATTTGCTGTTTTATTTAAGAATATTCAGTATGCTATGAAAAATGAGAAAAATAAGGAAAATGAATGAAACTAAATATAAAAGCTAGTGGCTTGTGAGATATGTTAGACATAAAAGAAGTTGAGCATATGTGTGCTTAATTTCAGTTGGGAGGAATAGTAGGACCAAGAGCACCAAATATTCATACAGTAAACATATATCAGGCACTCAATATTCATAAGGTCTTAAACTGACTTCTCATTTACAAAACCCATTCTAGCCCATGTGTCCTTTACCCAGTAAGCTCCATAGCTGTTCATCAGTGTAATTGGCAAGCTACAGCTGTGGCCAGGTCTAAACTAAAGCCAGTGTGTTCACTTGAGGCACCATCCTTCTGCCAAGTCCTGTTGCTCAAACCTTGACTCTGTCTTGTAACCACACCATCAGGGGAAGGTTGATACACAGGAGGAAGAGACAAGATGTATGAACTCAAATACTGCAGTCCTTCCATTCTGCTTGACCCTAGCCTAGGTGTAGGTTAACCTACACCATTCCTCTCCCCTTGCTTATCCTTCTGTTTTCAATTAATTCACTAAATTACATGACACAGGCATCTTATTTTAGTCTGAAAGACATTTGATTCAGTGACTTTTAGGATAGCTTGCTTTAGTGTTCTTAGGGGCTGCATTGCATCAAGGTAGTTTTCCACAAGATGTACAGGTACTCCTGCAAGACCTGAAAATTTTCCACAGACACAGGTTTAAGAGAATCAATTCCCAAATCCTCAAAGTCATATATACTCCTTCCTAAAAGTGATATGCCTAGGAACTTGCCCATAGTTCCCATTTTCTCCCTTCATATTTCCCTTTTCCTACTTTGCAAAAGTAGGCCACCTTCCCTTACTGTTATGCATTGCCTTTGGGCATAAAAAAATCTCCTGGCCTCCATGCCACTACACTCCAGCCTGGGCGACAGAGCGAGACTCTGTCTCAAAAAAAAATAAAAAATAAAAATAAAAATCTCCTGGCCTCCACACAGAGCCTCCATTAATCAAGGCACCAAAAGCACCACTTCTTTCAAATCCTTAAGAGATGTATTTCCAAAAAAACAGTTAACTTTCATGTTTAATAATTGTTTATAAAAAGTATAATGTAGTTATGTTCTTTCATCAATTCTATACCATGGTAATAATAATATTATAATAACTCAAACCAGAAGAATTATTTTAACAGTTATAAACTCATGGACTTAGGATGCTTAACTACTTACTTGCAATTTCAATTTATGTACTTATTTTTCTGCTGAAAAAATAGTGAAGCATGACTAATTGAGACTCTAAAGCAAAAAAAAAATACACCATTAAAATATTATTTTGGGCTGGACACAGTGGCTCATGCCTATAATCCCAGTATTTTGGGAGGCCATGGCAGGAGAATCGCTTGAGGCCAGGAGTTCAAGACCAGCCTGGGCAACATAGCGAGACCTCTGTCTCTACAAAAAGTCAAAAAAAAAAATTAGCTGGGCTTGGTTGGCATGTTCCTGTAGTCCCAGCTAGTGGGGAGGCTGAGATAGGAGAATTTCTTGAGGCCAGGACTTAAGAGGTTGCAGCGAGCTATGACCACACTACTGCACTCCAGCCTGGTGGACAGAGGGGGACCCTATCTCAAAAACAACAATAAAAATGATTTTGTGGAAGAAGAATAAGAGTGGGATAAAAATAAACAATGTAAAATTTCTGACTGAGGAGGATCTTGTTCATGTATTTTTTTAATGGATGAAGGTGTCTCACATCACTGTGGTATTTCCCCTGCATTACATATATCTGAGGCTGCTAGTAGTGGCTCATCTCTGCATCCCAGCAGTTTGGGAGACCGAGGCAGGTGGATCACCTGAGCTCAGGAGTTCGAGACCAGCCTGGTGGTACATGCCTGTGGTGCCAGCTACTTGGGAAGCTGAGGTGGGAGGATCGCTTGAGCCCGGGAGGCGGAGGTTGCAGTGAGCAGAGATTGCACTACTGCACTCCAGAGTGAGACCCCATCTCAAAAAATATTAATAGTAAATAAAACTTGAGGGAATTATAACCCCCAAATTCAAGATTGTGTTTACCTCTGAATTGGTTCAGAGATCAGATCAGGGTTTTACAGGTAAGGATAATGTTTTATTTTATAAGTGGGGTGGTAGCTACACAAGTATTCATTGTATTGCTATTTTTTATACCCAACAATATTATATTTTGATACTACTCAGTATTTAATAAAGCAATTTTTAAAAGCTCTATGGTTCTGAATATCAAAGTCTATGACATTAAAGCACATATATTTCCTAGTACTGGGTTGGGCTGGAGATTGGTTTGGAAAATTCATGTCATTATTTTTAGTATTTTCGGGGATTGGGAACAAATACATCCTTTCCCACAAAATAATATAAAAATTGGTCAAATTCTTATCTGGCCCTGGAAAGCCTATTTAACATGCAATAAAACTAAATGTAATGCTAACCCCAGCACTTTGGGGGGCCAAGGCGGGCGGATCACTTGAGGCCAGGAATTTGAGACCAACCTGGCCAACATGGCAAAACCCCATCTCTACCAAAAAATACAAAAATTAGCCAGGCGTGCCTGTAGTCCCAGCTACTTGGGAGGCTGAGGCACAAGAATCGCTTGAACCTGGGAGGCAGAGGTTGCAGTGAGCCAAGATTGTACCATTGCACCCCAGCCTGGGTGACAGAGTGAGAGACTCTTCCAAAAACAACTATAAAAAGAATATTAAATATAATGCTAAGAGTCTTATTCTTCCATTGATTCTACAAAAAATGGGCCCAACCTTTACCTGAGAAGTCAGGATACCAGAACACACCACTTACTACTTTAGTTCCAGCCTCCCCATGATAATTTCTACTGTAGTCGTCCAGACAGAGGGATTCCTATGCTATGGTTAAGTTCCCTTATCATAGGGGTAGGTGAAGAGGAGTCTGTTGAGACAACAGAGGGTGTTTACTGGGGAGTCGTGGAAAATAATGCTGCATAGATTATGATCATATCATAGACTTCCTCAAAATGTTTACAGAGCAGTCGAGAATTTGTGAAATAGGTAGAGAGATTGTTTAATAAAAATTAAGCTAACAGTTGTTGAATATATATTATGTACCAACGAATTTTCTAAGTGGTTTACATATATAAACTCTTATTCTCCTGACAACAACTGTATGAAATAGGTAATATAATATCCCTATTTTCAGATGAAGAAAGTGAGAGGCACAGGGTGGTATCTCATCAAATGTCACACAAGTAGTAAATCGTAATGCTAGATGTGAACCCATTCTACCGATCTATAGCACTTGCCAATTTCTATGGTCTAAATATTCCCATCATAGTTGATTTTTTTTTTTGAGACGGATTTTCACTTCTGTTGGCCAGGCTGGAGTGCAGTGGCACAGTCTCAGCTCACTGCAACCTCTGCCTCCTGGGTTCAAGTGATTCTCCTGCCTTAGCCTCCCAAGTAGCTGAGATTACAGGCGCCCACCACCGCCCGGCTAATTTTTGTATTTTCAGTAGAGACGGGGTTTCACCATATTGGCCAGGCTGGTCTTGAACTCCTGACCTCAGGTGATCCCCCTGCCTCGGCCTCCCAAAGTGCTGGGATTACAGGCATAAGCCACTGCGCCCAGCCTACCATAGTTGATTTTTAAGCTACCAGCATGATGTCACCAAACAATGGGTTGGAAGGAGATGTGCACAACTGGCTTTAGTAGCTGATATGAGCTAGCTGTAGTGCACTACTGAACAAAGATTTATCAAATTATGATTGTATACAAGAAGCACTCTGTCAAGGCACAAAATTGTTTAGCTCCAACTCTTGCCCTTATGGTAGTGATGGTCTAAATGAAGAGATGATATTTGCTGCCGGAAGTATTAAATAATACATATGTATGTAACTTTATAAGAGGAATAATAGTTCACACTTAATTGCCAGATAAATGTTGTAGATATTGGCTTACAGGTGGAAAAATTGCAGTGTCCTCTATGGGCAAATAAGATTTTATGGAGAATTAACAAGTTATTAAATCATTGCAGAATTTGCATGGATGAAAAGGAAAACATTCTAAATACTGGTAAGAACATGAACAAAAAGGGTTATTTACATGAGTTAATGCTTTCATCAAAGCAGACTGTGAAGAGAAACTGTAGAACTCCTCTCAATGAAAAATTTTCCAGCAACCGGGATAAGTTTCAACAATGATCTGCCAAAAGGCAAGAGGGTTAATCAGATGACATTTTGAAATATTTTCCAAGTTTGCTGGTTCGTATAGTTATAACTCATAGCCTATCTGACCGTATGGCTATATCACTGCCTTTCCAGAAATACATTCATGAAGGGAGCATTGAAATCTAATCTTTAAAAATGGGATGTTCTGATTCTGCAATGTTGAGACTCTTCCTCTGGCTAAAATAAAATCTAATATACTTTTTTGGTAAATTGTGAAGTTTGGCCTCTGGTCTATTTCCTAGTAATAATCAGGTCTGTCTGTTGATGTCTAATATGCTGCAGACAGGCACCTTGAGAACTGTAAATTTTGTTCAATTGCATAGATATTTTAAAGAATCGATTAATACATGTTAATCAACAACAACACTATCAAAAAGAATGGATGGGTTGTTAAAGGGAAAGGTGCAGAAAGCTGTTTTCACATTGGCCGTTTCAATAAATGGGGAGGAGAAGAAGCACCATTGAAGAACACAGAGGAGGAAGTAGTGAAGAGGCAGGGCCATGGGGAATGGAGACATCCTAGAGCAGGAGAGAGTTTCAAGAAGGTGGGTCCTTTGCACTTGCAGATTCTTATGCCTAGAATACTTTTTTTTCTTTTTTCTTTTTTTTCCTTTTTTTTTTCTTTTTTCTTTTTCTTTTTTTTTTTTTTTGAGACAGAGTCTTGCTCTGTCATCCAGGCTGGAGTGCAGTGGCACAATCTCAGCTCACTGCAACCTCTGCCACCTGGTTCCAAGCAATTCACCTGTCTCAGCCTCCCTAGTAACTGGGACTACAGGCACACGCCACCGCACCCGGCTAATTTTTGTATTTTTAGTAGAGGTACGGTTTCACCATATTGGTCAGGGTGGTCTCGAACTTCTGACCTCAGGTGATCCACCCACCTTGGCCTCCCAAAGTGATGGGATTACAGGCATGAGCCACTGCGCCCGGCCTACTCCCTCATCTTTTTAAATGTCACCTCAGTGAGTTTCCCCAGATCAGGTATGGGAGATAGCGATTTTCTCTCCCCACACCATCCAGCCCAAACTGGCTCCCTATTCTTCCCCTGCTTTGTTTTTCTCCATTTCTCTGATAGTTTACCATTTGATATATAATTACATGTTTGTTTGTTTATATTCTGTCTTCCCTCTTCCCCCAAGTCACACATAGGTTAGAATGTCAGCTCCATGAGAGCTTGTTTTTTTTGTTTACTATTGAATCCCTGGTACCTGGAACAGTGACTCACACATAATGGGCATTCAATAAAGACTAGTTAGAATACAAGTAAATGAAGATATGATCAAAAGTGGCAGAGGTGGTCTAGTTCCTTGAATAGACTACATCTACAGCATTGGTCAGCTAGATTAAACACATCTATGTTAATTAAAAGGAAAGTCAGGCCAGGCGCAGTGGCTCACGCCTGTAATCCCAGCACTTTGAGATGCTGAGGCGGGCGGATCACCTGAAGTCAGGAGTTCGAGACCAGCCTGACCAACATGGAGAAACCCGGTCTCTACTAAAAATACAAAATTAGCTGGGCATGGTGGCTCATGCCTGTAATCCCAGCTACTTGGGAGGCTGAGGCAGGAGAATTGCTTGAACCTGGGAGGCGGAGTTTGCAGTGAGCCGAGATCGCACCACTGCACTCCAGCCTGGGCAACAAGAGCAAAACTCCGTCTCAAAAAAAAAAAAAAAAAAAAAGAAACTCAAACAATTAAGTATGGAAGAAGAGACCTTAAACCCATGGCCAACTGCTAAAGATAAATAAAATAAATCCTTAAATCCTATTTTTTGTGTCAATAACAAACTTAATGTAATGAACTTGGATCTTTATTATAAGGTTGTTGTAATCATATCCTTGTGTTTTATAACCTTAAGAAGAAAAATGTCCATTGAGTATGGATTACTTTTTTAAACCTCATAGATCTGCCAAAATGTTTTTGCTATATATGTGATAAAGTTATTTTTTTAAAATATACTTTTATGTTTTTCCAAAAAGGGACTATTAAATAGATATTTCAGTGTGTTTGTTTGCGGGATAGGGGAGTGGGAGCTGTTGAGACAGAGTCTTGCTCTGTAGCTCAGGCTGGAATGTAGTGGCATGATGAATGGCTCACTGTAGCCTTGATTTCTCAGGTTCAAACAATCCTCCTACCTCAGCCTCCAAAGTTGCTGGGACCACAGGAGCATGTCACCATGCCCGGCTAATTTTTTTGTTTTATTTTTTGTAGAAACAGAGGCTCTCTATGTAGCTCAGGCCGGTCTTGAACTCCCGGCCTCAAGCAATCCTCCTGCCTCAGCCTCCCAAAGTGCTGGGATTACAGGTGTGAGCCACCGTGCCCAGCTGATATTTAAGTATTGATTATCATAGCCAAAATTTTGTTAATGCTTTATATAACTGATTATTATCTTTTGGCATGTTATAGGAAGCTCTATAAAAATTCCTAAAATATTTGTTGAGAGATAAATAAAATTAATATGTATTTACCCAATTTGGATGAAAACATTTCAGGGCTCTTTAAAATAATTTGTATTCTTCTGTTTTAATGGTATTTCAAATGGCTTGCTTTGGAAGACATCCTGATATTAATTAATCTTTCATAATGCTACTTATGGTATATGATTTTTGCAACTCTGAACAGCATGAGGAAATTTGCAAAATTTGCCAGTTGCTAAGGGAATCATTGTTTTAAAATTCCCATTTATACTAGCTTCAGCTAAAGAAGTAGATAAGTTAAAAGAGGTAAGAAATACTTAAATTATTTTTAGAAAGTGAAGTGGCAAACAAACATGGACAAAGAAAATTTGTGGAGAGATAGATGAATATTCACAGTGAAATACCATTATGCATCTAAGAGCATAATTAACCAACACTTTCCTTGAATTATCTAATCCATTACTCACAGTATAATACGATGTCGAATGGGACGTTTCCTGATATCCTAGTAGTAACTCTAGAACCCAAGACACTAGGAGCGAAAGCTGAAGACAAAGAGAGTTTGGGTCTCAACATTACCACTGAGTGGTTGACAAGGATACATGAGTTTTGTTTGTGCCAAATGAGCACCACAGAAAGTATCAGTTCTAGAACCATCTGAACTGCCACTAAGGCTGCAGCTGGGGTAGGAGAAGAGAGGCCATTGGAAGAGGTTGAACGTCTACATTAGGAAGATGTACTGGCATTTGTATGCCTGTTGTTCATTAGCCAGAAAGGCAGGGGCCCCAACAGTCAGTCACACAGTCCAATCACATAAACAATCTTTGCCTTCTGTTCATTATCCAATTATTCAATTACTGGTTGCAGTTTTGAAAGCCTGCATTATCCAATTTAATTCTCATGGCAGCCCTGTGAGGTACGCATTGTTTAAAAATCATACCTCTTTTTTGGATTAGAAGACTTAGAAATGGACTCAAAGAAGTTATACAACTAGTTCAAAGTCAGAGTTAGTGACAGAGCCAGGACTTAAACCAACTTCTTTTGGCTTCATATCTCCTCCTTAATTCTACTGTACAATATAGCCTCACATGTATATTTGTATCTCCTATGAACAAGGCATTGTTAAATGGATTAAAGAGTATATAAATATGTGTAAGATGTTATTGTTCTTAAAGAATTCTTAAGGAAGTCTTTGTTTAGGAGGAGATCATAAGCAGCTTGGGTGAGAATGCAATGAGATTGTGGTTAGTAGAAGATAACAAAGAATGATAAAATGCTTTCCATTAGAAATGAACAGAAATTTTGGCAGGGTTTACCCACTGGAAGATAATCCAGAATTTAAGAGAGAGGGTAGGATGGATGGCTGAACGACTTGACAGAAATGCTGAAGAAATTTTTTTGTTTTGTTGTTTGTTTTTCTCAATATCTTATTACGAAAAATTTCCAATAAATAGCAAAGCTGAAAGTTGTTTTTAAACAGCAAACACTCATATACTTACCACCTAGATTCTACATTAATATTTTATTATACTTGCTTTATCATACATCTGTACATCTATCCACCTCTATCTACTCAGCAACTCATCTTCCTAAAGAAAATGAATTTCAAGGTACAGTGCAAACAATATGGCTGGAGGCATTTTAAAAATAGGAACGTATTATATTCAATTTACGTTGTTTGTTTTGCAGCACTGTAATTCTTCATTTCTCTTTACCTTCGGTAAAGCTCACCACACAGAGAGTCTTTGTGAAGATGGTGTCTTTCAATAATAGAAATCAAGGAAAACGGCTGGGTTCTAAGTGTAAATAGATGCAGAGAGACTGAAATAAAAAAATACATAAGACAATGGGAAGAACCCAAATTTATTGGAGTCAGGGAATTAGAACTAGAGGTGATCACAAGACTGTAAACTTTCAGGAATTTGGAGAAGTCTTGGGGAGGGCATCAGATTTTGCACAAGGTGTGAATAGGGATTTAAGCCCATTTATCTAGATCATTTAAGGAACAGGCAAATACCAGTTGACAAGTAAATTACCACTTCGTTTCTCAGTTACCATTTACTGGAACTAGAGGTGTTCTATCACTAGAGGCAATATTTGTGGTGGGAAAAAGGCAGGAAAGGAAGGAAGAAGTTAGACAGGAAAGAAAACCCGAACTTGTCATAAAGGATCCAGCCACTGCCAATGGTTCTCCTCTCTTTTCTCCACCTTCCCTCACGCCTCTCTAATTTCCCTTCCTCCCTCTGTCTCCCCTCCTTCCTTCCTTCCTTCCTTCCCTCATTCCCTCCTTCCTTCCTTCCTTCCCTCATTCCCTCCTTCTTTCCTTCCTTCCTTCTTTCCTTCCTTCCCTCCCTCCCTCCTTCCTTCCCTCCCTCCTCCTTTCCTTCCTTCCTTTTTTCCTTCCTTCCTTCCCTCCCTCCTTCTTTCCTTCCTTCCCTCCCTCCTTTCCTTCTTTCCTTCCCTCCCTCCCTCCTTCTTTCCTTCCTTTCTTCCCTCCCTCCCTCCTTTCTTTCCTTCCTTCCTTCCTTTCTAAAGAAAATGAATTCATCTTTCTAAAGAAAATGAATTTCAAGGTACAGTGCAAACAATATGGCTGGAGGCATTTTAAAAATAAGAATGTATTATATTCAATCTCCCTCCCTCCTTCTTTCCTTCCTTCCTTCCTTCCTTCCTTACTTCCCTCCCTCCTTCCTTCCTTCCCTCCTTTCCTCCCTCCCTCCCTCCTTCCTTCCTTTCCTCTCTTCCTTTCTCTCTTTCCCCACTTGCCTCCCTACCTCCCTCTCTTCTTTCTTTCTTTCTTTGGAGAGTGAAAGAAAGAAACAGGGAGAGATAGAAATGAGAGAGAAGGTGGCTCACGCCTGTAATCCCAGCACTTTGGGAGGCCAAGGTGGGCAGATCATGAGGTCAGGAGTTCAAGACTACCCTGACCAACATGGTGAAACCCCGTCTCTACTAAAAATACAAAAATTAGCTGGGCGTGGTGGTGCACGCCTGTAATCTCAGCTACTCAGTAGGCTGAGGCAGGAGAATCGCTTGAACTCAGGAGGTGGAGGTTGCAGTGAGCCAAGATCGTGCCACTACACTCCAGCCTGGGTGACAGAGCGAGACTCCATCTCAAAAAAAAAAAAAAAAAAAAAAAAAAAAGGAAAGAAAAGAAAGAAATGAGAAAGAAGAGAGAAACAGGAAGACAAAAAAGGGAAAGGGGGAAGAGAAAAAGAAGCCACTTTGGGAGATGGGCAATTCTCTCTGCCTCCAATGCTGATCTTCCTCAATTTCTGCTTCCATCTTGACACTATTCATTAGTAGAAATACAGATGAAGAGAGGAGGAAACAAACTGGGGTCAGGGGAGTAGAAAAATGGGAGGGAAGAGGAGAGAAACTTATGTGAATAATATCACTAATTTTTCTAATTGAGTCCCAGCAACTCAAACTCACTGTTACAGGTAGCTCAATGATTTTTTTATCCCTAACTAGAAATTTATTTACAGCTTGCTTTTGTAAACAAAAGCTTCAAACATCTTTTCTGCAAGAGAATACAGCCCTCAAGAGTTACATAGATATTATATTAAATATAGGCTTTTCATTTACCAGGTGTGTGACTTGGGAAAATTACATAGCCACAGTGTGTCTCAACGTCCTCATGTCTAAAATGGGACCAATAATACCTACTTTCTTAGATTGTTGTGATAATTAGAGATGAGTTGTATTAGAGCACATGCCACATGGCACTTATTAAAAGATAGCTATTAATGTTATAAGGAGGAAAGCCCTAAGTTGGAACTCTAGATGACAAACTAGCATGAAGGTTAAAGGAGCTCTTTTGAAGGACTGACTGACTTCAAGATAAAGATCTAAGGTGAGTCAGAAAAAAATGTTCTACATAAGTCAGGGGATGAATGATGCCAGATTGTGGTCAAGAAATACTTGTTAAAATTGAAGGATTAGTAATGAAGTTACCATATTGTATGTACTTGCCAATTTCTTTAAAATCTTCACATATCTTTTGAACATTTGTAATGTTATATATATTGGTTTCAAAAGAAAGCCTATATATATAAATATTTTAAGGAAAAATTGAGGGGAGAAAATGCAGCTAAACTGCCTCTTTGTTAATCAGACTTAAAGCTGAAGTCTCACTGTTCAGACTCTTAACAACTTCAATGATAATAGCTCATGCTTACTGAGCACTTATTGTGATCAGGCAGTGTGTGAAGAGCTCTGCATGGATCGTCTCATCTACCTCCCACTACAACTCTAGGCAGCAAGTACAGTTAATAGGTGAGGAACCCGGGGCCTAATAAACAGGCTAAGTAACTTTCCTAAGTGCACACTGAAAGCAGTGAAGCCAAGGCAATCTGAATCTATAGCTTACACCCTTAACTGCTATATTCTATGTCCATGTGTCCCAGAGCCAAAGAGGCAGCCCAACAAAACCACTGGCAAAGTCCTAAGGAGAAAATAATTTCACACAGACTGGATATCCAAAACTGAGTGTAAATCATCCACTGAACACTCAAAATGTTCTAGGCACAATGCTAGGTTCAATGTCACACGCAGGGAACACTAAAATGAGATAAGATCCTCCCTGCCTCGAAGACCTCAATAGGTCAATATTGTTATTCCATTGTGTTGTTTATATTTAATGTTATAAGTTTAAAAATGATTAATTGCACCAACTATATTAAGTATATATGCATGATTCTTGCATAAAATATCAAATTCAATCAAAATAATTTATCAGTAATTCTTTAATTTTGGTCCCTTAAAATATTACGTGACTAGCAAAAGATTTGAATAGACATTTTGCCAAAGAAAGTGTAAAAATGGCTAATATACCATTTTTGAAATACTAATAAGTATCATGAATCTGGCATCACTAGTCATTAGGGGAAAGCAAATTAAAACATTATGAGACACGATTTCACACCCACTGGGATGGCTATAATCAGACAGACAATAACAAATGTTAGCAAGGATGCTGTGACACAGAAACTCTCAAATATTATTGGTGAGAATGGTAAATGGTACCATTTCCAAACTGCTACTTTGGAAAACAGTTGGATCTTTTTAAAAGTTTGAAATATATGCCGGGCATGGTTGCTCACGCCTGTAATCCCAGCACTTTGGGAGGCGGAGGTGGGCAGATCACAAGGTCACGAGATCGAGACCATCCTGGCTAAGACGTTGAAACCCCATCTCTACTAAAAAAAAAAGTAGAAAAAATTAGCCGGACGTGGTGGTGGGCCCCTGTAGTCCCAGCTACTTGGGAGGCTGAGGCAGGAGAATGGCATGAACCCTGGAGGCAGAGCTTGCAGTGAGCTGCGATCGCGCCACTGCACTCCAGCCTGGGCGACAGAGCGAGACTCAGTCTCAAAAAAAAAAAAAAGTTTTAAATATAAATTTACCATATGACCCAGAAATTCTACTCTTAGGTTTATCCCCAAGAGAAATAAAAACATATATACTACATATATATACTATACACATATCTACACAAAAATTTGGACAAAGTATGTATAAGCATTTTTTATAGCAGCATTATTCATAATAGCCAAAAAGTGGAAATGATCCAAATGTCCATCAACTGGTGAATGGATAAATAAAATATACTGTATCTGTTCAATGGATATTGTTATTCAGTGATATAAAGGAATAAAATACTGATACATGTTACAAAATGGATGAAGGTTGAAAACACTGTGGTAAGTGAAAGACACCAGTCACAAATGGCCACATATTATATAATTCTATTTATATGAAATGTCCAAAGTCAGAAAGAAGATTAGTGGGATGGGTACAGTGGTTTACACCTGTAATCCCAGCACTTTGGGAGATCAAGGCAAGAGGATCGCTGGAGCCCAGGAATTTGAGAGCAGGCTGAACAACATAGCGAGACCCTGTCTCTACAATAAATTTAAAAATTAGCTGGGCATGGTACCACATGCCTGTAGTCCCAGCTATTTGGGAGGCTGAGGCAGGAGGACGGTTTGGGTCCAGGAATTCAAGAATGCAGTGAGCTATAATGGTGCCACTGAACTCTAGAAAGTAGACTAGTGGTTGTCTAGGGCTGGCATGGGAGCATAAATGAAATGGGAATTAACAATCCTTTTAGGATGATGCAAACCTTCTAAAACTGGATTATGGTGATGGTTACACATCTCGGTAAATGTACTAAAGCCATTGAATTATACAACAATTTCATGATATGTAAATATGATATGTAATTATACCTCAATGATTGTTTTAAAATTATAAAATATTATTATATGACTAAAATTCTCAGGCTTTTATGTAATATCTGAGAATTAGTATGGAATCTATTTCCATTTTATAAAATGCTTATTTTGACAGATGCATATTATGGTATCTATTAGGAGAGTTTTTTATACTAAAGCTTTATAATTGCTTGTCACTAGGTGATGTCACTTCAGATTGAAACTGTCTTTATTCTAAAGCAATTACCCAATTAAGAAATCTTTTCATAATCTTTTACTAATTAATATAGTGGGTTGAAAATGTTTTGGGTTAAGGCTGGTGCAGTAACTCATGCCTATAATCCCAGCACTTTGGGAGGCCGAGGCCAGTGGATCACTTGAGGCCAGGAGTTTGAGACCAGCCTGGCCAACATGGTGAAATCCGTCTCTACTAAAAATACAAAAAAATTAGCTGGGTGTCGTGTCACATGCCTGTAATCCCAGCTATTTGGGAGGCTGAGGCATGATTGCTTGAATCCAGGAAGTGGAGGTTGCAGTGAGCCAAGATCAAGATGGTGCCACTTCACTCCAGCCTGGGCAACAGAACAAGACCCTGTCTCAAAAAAGTCTTGGGTTAAATAGTGTATGACTCATTTGAAATGCTTACTTTTATAGTTTATAATGTAAGGTAAAGAACCATAGAAATTGCCTCCTCTTTTGCTAAATTTTTGTCACACATTTTCCCCTAAATTTTTTGTTATATGTTCTTATTTTACTCTCTTCTTATGTTTTAGGAAGAATTTGTATTACTCTCATTTTATAGAAGAGGATATATGAGCTCATATGGGTTCAGTAATTCAACTAAAATAACCTAACACCTAGGAGGTTTAAGAACCAGATTTGAGCATAAAACAGTATGTCATTCTATCACTGAGTACCAGCGTGACTTCAGCTGATAGATGTTCAGATTCTAATAGTCATCAATTATTTCTATGTATGAGACTGAAGTGGACTTCCAGTTTCCAATGTGACATGTAAAGAGCTTGGAAGTTGTCAGTTCCACTCTCACAAGAAAAAAAGCTGAACAAACTGAAAACCAACCATTCTTCTTAGTTCCATCAGAGAGTGGAGGTCACAGGACAAACCACTGCCCCAAACACTGGAGAAACAGACTGAATATAGACAATCACAGATTGTCAGGAACAGAAGTGTGGCTGAAGCCTAGTAGGGACACTTAAAGGGTAATTCATTAAGCGCTGGAGACTAAGCTTGTGGACTAGCTTGAGATATTAAAAAGAGCAACAATAAAATTCCTGGGGCCCTAGTCTTGCCTCCCCCCCACACACACCCATTCCTGAGTTTTACCTCCAGGAGTCCCACTAGGTTCTCAGGATAAAGATCAGGGAAAAATGCTCTCAAGCTTCCTGTGGAAAGAGGGGAAAGCAATCATTTGAAATATGCTCAGAGCACTTTGTTCTGCTTAACCAACGCCTGCCCTTAAGGCAAACTATTTTACCCGGGTTTAGCTGAGCTGGGGGAAGTAAAATACCCAACTCCAGCCTCCTCCAGCATTCCACATGGAGGAAGAGAAATACATAACCCCAGCCCCTACTGGCCTTCCTATCTAACTTGATGGCAGTGTCGGGAGGAGGAGAAGATGAGAAGCACTTGTGAAGTTCACAGCCCAGGGAGCCAGGCTCACTAAAAGACTGAAAGCCAATAATAAAATTATGGAACACTTCCTCTGCTCCTGTGCTTTACCACCACATCAGTTAGGGTCCTTTATACTCACTGAGAATCACAGCTAAAAGATCTGTAAGCTTCAGACCCTACTTAAAAAGGAGTCTCTAGGGAAACCCAAAGACAACAGGCGAGGCTAAAAGGAGGACTCTAGAGGACATTTGATATGGCTTGGATGCTTGTCCCCTCCAAATTTCATGTTGAAATATAATCCTCAGTGTTAGAGGTGGGGCCTTGGTGGAAAGTGTTTGGGTCATGGGGGCGGATCCCTCATGAATGGCTTGGTGCTTTCCTCATGACAATGAGTAAGTTCTCACTCTGAGTTCATGTGAGATCTGGTTAAGAGTGTGGTAGCTGGTCGCAGTGGCTCACGCCTGTAATCCTAGCACTTTGGGCCAAGGAGGGCGGATCACGAGGAGGGCGGATCACGACCAGCCTGAACAACATGGTGAAATCCCGTCTCTACTAAAAATACAAAAATTAGCTGGGCATGGTGGTGCACGCCTCTAATCCCAGCTACTCAGGAGGCTGAGGCAGGAGAATTGCTTGAACCGGGACCCGGGAAGCAGAGGTTGCAGTGAGCCGAGATCACGCCTGGGCAGAGTGAGACTCGGTCTCAAAAAAAAAAAAAAGAAAGTGGCACCCCCTACCCAACCCCAACCCTACTCCTGCTGTCACCATGTTATGAACTGGCTCCCCTATTCACCTTCTGCCATGGTTGTAAGCTTCCTGAGGCCCTCACCAGAAAGGGATGCTGGCACTACACTTCTTATATAGCCTGCAGAACTATGAGCCAATTAAACCTCTTTTCTTTATAAATCTTCCTTTACCGGGCTGGGTGCAGTGGCTCACACCTGTAATCCCAGCACTTTGGGAGGCCGAGGTGGGTAGATCACGAGGTCAGGAGATCAAGACCATCCTGGCTAACATGGTGAAATCCCGTCTCTACTAAAAATACGAAAAATTAGCCGGGGTGGTGGCGGGCGCCTGCAGTCCCAGCTATTCGGGAGGCTGAGGCAGGAGAATCTCTTGAACCTGGGAGGCAGAGGTTGCAGTGAGCTGAGATCGGCCATTGCACTCCAGCCTGGGCTATGCAGCGAGACTCCGTTTCCAGGAAAAAAAAAAAAATCTTACTTTACACAATGCAAGAACACATTAATAGTACATTTTAGACACTGACACCGCAGCTATAGCAAACAATAAGCACAGCTTAACTCCTAGCCAGAAAAACATAAAACCACACAGTGAGGGCCTATCTACCTCAGTTCCTTTTACCCAATACACCATACTTGACTTTCAACAAAAAATTACAAGAAATATTGAGAAGCAAAAAGTACAGTCTGAATAGACAAAGCATCAGAACCAGACTCAGATATAGCAGAGATTTTGAAATTATCAGACTAGAAATCTAAAATAACTATAATTAATATGCTAAGAACTCTAATTGAGAAAAAAAGAATGCCATGTGAGAGCAAATGGGTAATGTAAACAGATAGAAACCCTAGGAAACAATAAAAGGAAATACTAGAAGTCAAAAACACTGTAACAGAAATAAAGAATGCTTTTGATGGGCTCATCAAAAGATGTGACATGGACAAAGAACCTGTGAGCCTGAAGATATGCCAGTAGAAAGAAAAAAATCTGAACAGAATGTCCAAGAACTGTGGGCCGATTACTAAAGGGTAACATACTTGTAATGGAAATAACAGAAGGGGAAGAAAGAAAGAAATCAACAGAAGAAATACTTGCAGTAATGATGGCTGAGAATTTTCCAAAATGAATGAGAGACACTAAACCTTAGACTAGGAAGCTCAGAGAACACCAAACAGCATAAATATAAAAAAAAAAAAAATAGATCTAGGCATTTTCTAGGTAATTTCCACACCTAGAAATTAACATTACAATGTATTGGTCTCCCTTCTTTTTCTTCTGACCCTCCCCACCCAAAGTCTTTGCTGTCTGGGAAATGTCACAGAATTATTATGCGGATTATACAGCCTAATTAGTTTTCCCTTTAAGAAGTAAAAGGGTATTTATTTTTATTTATTTTATTTTATTAGGGACAGAATCTCACTCTGTTGTCCAGGCTGGAGTATAGTGGTGTGATCACAGCTCACTGTAACCTGGACTCATGCATTCCTCCTGCCTCAGCTTCCCAAGTAGCTAGGAATATAGGTGGATGCCACCACACCTGGCTAGTTTTTATATATTTTTTTGTAGAGACAGAGTCTCACAAAATGTTGCCCAGGCTGGTCTCAAACTCCCAGCCTCAAGCAATCCTCCTGCCTTGGCCTCTCAAAGTGCTGGGATTACAGGCATGAGCCAATATGCCCAGCCTATATTTAAATATAAATAGTAAAAAATAAAATGTTCTATTAGCTTGCACACCTCAATTGGCGTGCAGATTTCTTGAAGGCAGGTATTATGTATTACGTAATTCTGAGTTCCCCAGAGCCTCTAGTTCTATTATACTGTACAAGCAAGGAAAATGTATGTTTGTTTAACTGATTGGAAACAAGTATAAAGGCCTGACTACATATATGAGAGCCTGCAGATGAGGACTGGAAACTGGTGAAAAGATGAGCCACCAATGAAATGGATTAAATAGTTTTGAAGTATTATTTGAATATTTAAAAAGCAAAACTAATCTCCTCTATGCTTCCATAGTGTGTGATACATTTAGGCTTTGTGTCCCCACCCAAATCTCATCTTGATTTTTATCCCCATAATCCCCAAGTGTCAAGTGAGAGACCAGGTAGAGGTAATTGAATCATGGGGCGGTTTCCCCATGCTGTTCTCGTGATAGTGAGTTTTATAAGGGCTCTTTCCCCTTTGCTTGGCACTTCTCTTTCCTGCTGCCTTGTGAAGAAGGCGCCTTGCTTCACCTTCGCTTTCCACCATGACTGTAAGTTTCCTGAAACCTCCCCAGCCATGCTGAACTGTGAGTCAATTAAACCTCTTTCCTTTATAAATTACCCAGTCTCAGGCAGTTCTTTACAGCAGTGTGGAAACAGACTAATACATTGTGTTAGGCCATTTTAGCATTGCTGTAAAGAAATACCTGAGGCTGGGTAATTTATAAAGAAAAAAGGTTTAATTGGTTCATGGTTCTTCAGGCTGTACAAGTAATCATAGTACCAATATCTGCCCAGAAAGCTTATAATCATGATGAAGGGTGAAGCAGGTGCAGGCTCATCACAGGGCGAGAGTGGGAACAAGAGAGCAAGGGGAAGGTCTCAGACTCTTTTAAACAACAGAATCTCATATAAACTAACAGCAAGAGCTCACTTTTACCAAGGGGATGGTGCCAAGCCATTCATGAGGGATCTGCCCCCATGATCTAGTCACCTTCAACCAGGCCCCAGCTCCAACTTTGGGAATCACATTTCAAAATGAAATTTCGTGTGGATAAACATCCAAACCATATCACATAGAATCTTGTACCTATACAAGACATGCAATGATTTGTTTAGAAGTCCATTTTTTCCGGTTAGACTATAAGCTTCTCTAGGACAGGGATCACATCTTTCTTCCTCTTTTAATTGTGAGAGACGCTTCATTCATATTTTGTAAATAAATAAAATTTGAGAGAGATTTGATCAGAGGGAAGAGAGTCTAAAGCCAATCTATAATAATAAAGTTATGTATTTAAAAGAAGTACTATGTTTCAGAGTAATTTTGAAGGAGTTTTCCCTGAAGGAAATGTACTCCCTTGCCCCACAAACCCAATCTTTTTAGGGAGCCTGTATTCTCAGTTATCCAGCTTCTCTCCTGTGATGTTCATATCTCTATTTCCATTTCCATTGGCCTTTCTCTTTTTTTTCTGACCTAGTTTCTTTCTCATGGGGGAAAATGACAACCAAAATTCTTTTCAATTACCCAATTACACTTTCACCTTCCATTTTGTTCCCTTCCTTCTTTTAACTGCTAACCTTCTCAAATGAGTGATCTGTTCAATATGTTCACATTTATACCCTCACCACACCATCAAGACTAGTTATGTCAACATTAAAGCACTTCTGAAAACTCAAAAGTCACTTCTCAGTTTCTCATCTTCTTTAAGTTCCCAATGTTTTAAAACATTTTCATAAAGCAAACGATCCTTTTATGAGGTGAAAAAGCACATGATAATTTATCTGTTTCCTGTAGTTGTTCAGAAGAAAAACAGGTTTCCAGGTTGGGGTACTGCCAAGGAAGACGGCCTGAACCTCTTAGAGTGGAGTTCGGGTTTGGGGTTTGACCCCCTTGACCCTCACCAGACAACATATTGCTGTTCCAGAGCTGACTCAACTTATAAGAGACCCAGCATAAAAAACAAAATGCTGAGTTATTGACATTATCATTGACATTATTATCACATTACTGAGAAGCCAAATACTATTCATGGAAGCCAAAGAATCTGAAGGTTGCTTGGTCACAACAGAATCAGGATAATGAGAGTTATCTACATAATTTGAATTTTTAAATAATACTAAGACCATCATAGCCTGACCTATTTCTTTTCCTCATTTACCTCCACAGAATTGGAATGTGAAATAACTTTTTTTTTTTTTTGAGACAGAGTCTTCCTCTGTGGCCCAGGCTGGAGGGCACTGGTTCAATCTCGGCTCACTGCAACCTCCATCTCCCAGGTTCAAGTGATTCTCGTGCCTCAACCTCCCAAGCAGCTGGGATTACAGGTGTGCACCACCATACCTAATTTTTGTATTTTTAGTAGAGACGTGGTTTCACCATGCTGGCCAGGCTGGTCTCTAATTCCTGGCCTCAAGTGATCTGCCCACCTCAGCCTCCCAAAGTACCAGATTACAGGCATGAGCCACCATGCCCGGCCTGCCAATATGTTCTAATTCTGCTCTTTCTGTGCTTCCTGACTAACCTCTCTTCTTATTTATATCATATTTTAATCAGGTTATAATTAAGGCTTGCTGTCTTGGATCTGTATCTCTACAATGATCCATTATTTACTTATTGTACAAATAAACTTTCAGAGCTTAGTCTTAATTGTAAGTAATTGGAGAATGTCTCACTGTCATCTATATGTCCATCTATGATTTACAAATATGGATTTCTACATATTATGCCATATTTCTTTAAGCAAGACATACTTGGTTAAATCACCTTGATCACCTACACACATATTTAGCTGAAAAATGAGTCTTTATGATCTTTCTAGACCAGTGATCTGTTGGCTGTTTCATTGTTCAGGATTTCCAAAAGGATATCTCCCAGATCGTGAAAGTAGTTCCAAGTTAGGTTCCAAATATTTGAGCAATGGCAAGATTATTGGGACAATAATAGTAGAAAATGACTTTATTATTGGTATGCAATATAAAAATCACAGTCATAAACATGTGTTCTATTGAAGAGAAACTATTGAACTAAGTATGACTGGCTAACTTCAAGTTTCATTAATATTTATTTACTATTTGTTCACTTACTTGGTCATCAATTAGCACTTGCTGCAAGACAAGTAGTAGTAGAAGCCGAAGGTTTAAGAAACATTTGTTGGAGGATAATTTAAAATTGAGAAATTCAGTTCATAAATTCCTTCCCCATGAATTGGGAAATGACTGCCATTATTTGGTTAGAATGAGATGATACCAGTGCTGGAGCATAATTTGAGAATTGCTATATAGGGGGAGTCGCTGAATATTTCTGATGCTATGAACAACAATTTTATTATTTCTCTATTATAAATGTAAAATGAGAGTAGAGAAGCAAGATTTTTTTTATAGTATTTGCTTTGTAAAACTTGGAAGAAAGAAATCTCTTGGTTTAGATTTTTAAATCCTGTATGACACCCATTTCTAGAGAGAAACCAGTAGATTTTTAAAAGTCCTTAACAATATTGTTCCAAATAAATGTATTTGTAATATGAAAAATATGACCAAAAATGACTAGAATGTGGTTGAGTAACATAGTTTGTGCTTCATCATTGCTTGCTAGTTGGAGGAGTCACAAATTCTGTAGATGCTCTAGTGCAAGTTGTTCTCAAACATTAACTTACTTCAAAATCACCTGGACAACTTGTTAAGTTAGATTGCTGAACTCCGCCCCCCAGAGTATCTGATTCTGCAGGTTTGGGGCGGGGCCCAAATATTCATTTCTAACGAGAAGCAGATGCTGCAAGTACACTTTTAAAGCCACTGCTGTATGCTCTGGGCTAGCTGCAATTTAACAAGCCTCTGGTTATCTCTGTCCTATTCCTCATAGTGTGGCAACAAAACTTTATCACCTCATACAGGATTTACCCTGTCATCCTCACTTTTTCAGCAAAATAGTTGCTTTCATACATTACTGAAAAAACTGGGATCATTAGGTATGGTCTGCTTCAAGTTCTCATTTCTTTTTTCCAATCTGCCTCTTTTCTAATTTAAGACTCATCTCACTTTCTGGGCTCTTTTCTAGGGTCTAATTCTATCTTTGCATCCAGTGATTTCGTCATTAGCCTTCGTCTATCCCAAGTGTTCAAACCTTCCCTCCTTACCAGCTTCTTCTCGAAAGCCTGTAAATAACCTCAAGTCTTTTGATCTTGAACATCTATATCATGGCCCTGAATATTTCTCCAGCTACTCTTTCTCTTTCACAGGCCAATTTCTTGGGAAGAATAAGGAACTTATAGGACTTTCCAAGTCACTATAACCAAGCTTCTATTCCTACCACTCTATTGAAGCTGTTTTGCCAACGATTACCTTCAACTGGCTAAGTCCAATTAATCCTGATTCTCGTTTTAGCATCATTAATATGCCTCTCTGAAACTCTGCTCTCCTGGTTTCTGTGACACCACTAAGCACCCTCTCAACGTTCCTTGTTGACTCTTCCTCTCCTCCTCCCATTGACTGTGTTTAAGGTAACTGTATAAAATCCCAGTGGCTATAACCAGTAGCACAACTGGAATATTCAGGCAGAATGGTGCGGATAGAAGCTAGAATACAGTCTGGAGATCAGGAGAGTATGTGGACATTTAGATCTGGGAACTAGAAGCATTGAATGTGGATATTTAGGATTTGATGTTTGACTCACTTCTCATTGTTTTATGCACTGTCTCGGGCATTTCATTGTCTCCTTTGGCTTCCGCTGTGCCCACACAGATTCTTGCGAGAATGTTTCTAGGCCGAATCTAGGAACAGGGCTGTGTGTCGCATGTGAGTTATGTGTGTGGAATGATGAGTGCTGTGTGCTTCTGGTTCCTAAACCTAAATGTGCAGCCACTCTCTTGAACTACATAATTTATTCTAGCTTCTATCTTGACTATTTTGCCTGAATATTCCAGTTTGCTACTTGTCATAGCCACTGAGATTTTGTACAGTCACCTCAAACATATGTCCAAAACTGCCATTTTAGTATGCCTTGTCTTGATAAATGGTACTACCATCCACTCAGTAAGTCAAGAAACCTTGGAATGATACTTGAGTTCCTTCTTTGCCTTACTTCTATCCTCATGTCTTACGAGTACCCAAGTTATATAAAATTCTACTTCTTTAGCATTTCTCCTGCCATCTTCTATTGTTTCCTACTCCATTGACTTAACTCTAGCCCGTATCACCTCTTCCTGAACTGTTAGCTCCTTCCAGTTTTTCACCCTTCCAACCTGTCTTACACATTACTGTCAACTAAAAAGCAAACTATGTCATTGCATTAAAAAAAATTATTCCAAGGCTCACCATCTTTTATTAGATAAAGCCCAAACTTAATGCCCAAGACTTTATTTGATCTGGCTCCTGTCAAATTTCTAGCTTTCTTTCTCATACCCTATGATCTCATCATGCTGGACAACTGGCAGTTTCCTCCAACACACTGACTTTGCTAATACGGCTCCCTCTGCCTAAATTATCCTTCCTCATTTTGTTAAACCATCATTTACTCTTCAAGGCTGAGTGATGCGTCATCTTCTCAACAGTAACGACAATAATGACAAAAAAACCCAACATTTATTAAGAGCTTATCATGTGCAAGGCACTTTGCATACATTTCCATGTAATCCTCATCACAAGACCTTGAAGACAACTGAGGTTCAGAGAAGTTATCTTCCTTGACATCTTTCTCTGCTCCAGTCAACACTTAGTGGCCTCAAATGACTACTCCCTAATTGTGTCTCTGCTACAATCTATACATATGGAGGTAAGATAATTTATATCAGAGCATAGTTTTGAAGGAAATGATCTCCAATTTCTTTGAGAAAATGCACTAATAGGACGGGCGCAGTGGCTCATGCTTGTAATCCCAGCACTTTGGGAGGCCGAGGTGGGCAGATCACCTGAGGTCGGCAGTTTGAGACCAGCCTGACCAATATGGAGAAACCCCATCTCTACTAAAAATACAAAATTAGCCAGGCGTGGTGGCATATGCCTATAATCCCAGCTACTAGGGAGGCTGAGGCAAGAGAATCGCTTGAACCTGGGAGGCGGAGGTTGCAGTGAGCCGAGATTGTTCCATTGCACTCCAGCCTGGGCAAAAAGAGTGAAACTCCGTCTCAAAAAAAAAAAAAAAAGCACTAATAAGCTGCTGGGTGGGCAGTAAGCCCTCAAAGACTGGAGCCTGCTGGAATCTAAGAAAAGAAAAAACTACTTAATATTAAAAACAAATAAGAATTTGTGGGTGAGGAAGAGCAGAGGACTGAGTAGAAAGAAGAAAAAGGGGCACTGTGGAGAAGCACGATATTGTGGCAGGAGTGCTTTTTCACCAAGGCTGGAGTGCAGTGGTGCGATCTTCGCTCAACACAACCTCCACCTCCCAGCTTCAAGAGATTCTCCTGCTTCAGTCTACTGAGTAGCTGGGATTACAGGCATGCACAACCATGCCCAGCTGATTTCTGTATTTTTAGTACAGACGGGGTTTCACCATATTGACTAGGCTGGTCTTGAACACCTGACCTCAAGCGATCCACCCACCTTGGCCTCCCAAAGTGCTGGGATTATAGGTTTGAGCCACCACACCTGGCCTGCTTTTAAGAATAGAAATTTACAGTACTTTTAAGTTGTGTTTCTGTGATGTTGTGATGTTAACTCCCTTTCATCATTTCACAACCTTAGTAAATCTGCTGTGCCCACACAGAGCTTTGTGAAAATGCTTTTGGGTGAAACCTAGGAACAGGGATAAGTTCCACATCTGAGTGGATGTTTGTGGAATAAGGACAGATGGCAGCTCATCCATGAACCTCACTAGTTTACCGTAAGGGGAAGTTCAGAGCCAAAGCGGTTCAGTGAGAACATCAGCTCCCCAGAAATAAGAAAAAAACTTGGGTTGGGCATTGGACTTGCAAATGAGGTGGAATGGAGGTTCAAACCAATCCTAACCGAGAGGTTAAAACCCAGGGAGATCTCAGCTGACACCCAGGTTACATATTATCATAGTACCTTTGCTCTTCCTTGTTTATATACCTTTGTCTCTCCTAAATTCACCAGTAAGAAGTCTTTTTGAGAGCAGAGACTCTGTTATTCATCTTATATTCCCAATGTCTAACAATGACAAATAGTGTACTTACTACGTCCTCAGTAAATGTCTGTTAAAAGAATAATTGTCAAATTTACATAAGTTTACTGAATTAAGAAAAAATAGGCTGGGCATAGTGGCTCATGCCTGTAGTCCCAGCAGTTTGGATGCTGAGGCAGGAAGATGACGTGAGGCCAGGGGTTTGAGATCAGCTTGGGCAACATAGTGAGACCCCATCTCCATAAAATTTTTTTAAAAAATTAACAGGGTATGGTGGTGTGCATCTGTAGCATCAGGTGGGAGGACTGCTTGAGCCCCGAAGTTTGAAGTTACAGTGAGCTATGATTGTGCCACTGCACTCCAGTCTGGGAGATAGAGTGAGACCCGGTCTTTAAAAAAAAAAAAAAAAAAAAAAAAAAAAGACACCCTAATGTCTAATACTTGAGATAAGATTTTGTGTTTAATAGTACTATGTCTAACACATTAAAAATATAAACATTATAAAATTACTCAATAACTAATTATAATAAAAACTAGAAAACTGGCCAGGCACAGTGGCTCACACCTGTAATCCCAGCACTTTGGGAGGCCAAGGTGGGAGGATCACTTGAGGCCAGGAGTTCAAGACCAGCCTTGCCAACATAACAAAATGCTGTCTCTACAAAAAATACAAAAATTAGCTGGGCGTGGTGGTGCATGCCCGTAGTCCCAGCTACTCAGGAGGCTGAGACATAAGAATAGCTTGAACACCGGAGGTAGAGGTTGCAGTGAGCTGAGATCATGCCACTGCACTCAGCCCAGGCAATGGAGTGAAACTCTGTCTAAAAAACAAAGAAACAAACAAACAAACAAAAAAAACCCCAACCACTCCCCCCACCCCTGGAAAACAATAATAACTACAAATTATTAAATATTTTCAATGTGTCAGGAACTTCCCATTTAAATCTGATATCAACCTTCCTACATTAAGTATTCCTATCCTTATTTTACAGTGGAGGACACTTATTTTCAGTTGAATAACTTGCCCAGCATTATGGCTAAAGTGACACCAAAGCCTTTATTTTTTACACTATACCTGACTGAGTTAAAGAAATGGTTTTAAACATATTCTGGAAAGAGGAAAATACAGCTTATGCTGCATCTGTAAAAAGCTAAAAATAAAAACAAAGTAACCTGGTGAAACCTGTTGGTACAGTTCCCTGATTACTATTAACAAATGATCTGAGCATTACTTAGTCAAAATAGGTTTGTTGCATCCACCTTCAGAATGTGAAGTAGGAATAACAGGTTGCCTTAGCCACACTGTAGTTTATTTTATATGACACCAAATAACTTTTGGTCCTGTTTCCACATGTAATAGAAAAAGAAGGCAGTTATTTGAATAATTTACTGAAATAGATTCAGTTTCAATGAAAATACTTTGGAGAACTGGATGTTTCTGTATACTCGTCTTAACTTTATTCTCTACTTTCATGGATTAATAGACCAAAAAATATTTTTCTTTTTCTTTTTTTTTAAACAAGGGGATGTTTAGCTTTTCTCAAACTTTCTTAAAGGTATTCCTTGACATATATTAGATAGGTCTAAATGGAACTTTATTACATGAGCAAGATTAGAAATTAATTTAATTATTATAGAATGTTACAAATTCAAAGTTCTCATTTCCTTAAGAACTTATTTATTTATTTACTGAGACAGGGTCTTGCTTTGTTGTCCAGGCTGGAGTGCGGTGGCGCTATCTTGGCTCACTGCAACCTCTGCCTCCTGGGTCCAAGCGATTCTCCTGCCTCAGCCTCTCAAGTAGCTGGGATTACAGTCATGTGCCACCCCACCTGGCTAATTTTTTGTGTGTTTTTTTTGTAGAGATGAGGTTTCGTTATGTTGGCCAGGCTGGTCTTGAACCGGCCTCAAATGATCCACCTGCCTTGGCCTCCCAAAGTGCTGGAATTATAGGTTTGAGTCACCGTGCCCGGCCCAGAACTTATTTATTTTTGATGGCAAAACATTAAAGATAATACAAACATCATGCTTAATTATGTACTTATTCCCCAAACTGCATTCCTGATCTCTTGCACCTGCCCAGCATACTCCAACCCCAATCTTCCCCATCTCAGCTAATGTAGGCAAATCAATTTTTCCAGTTGCTCTGAACAAAATTGTTCATCCTTCATTCCTCTCTTTCTCTAGAACCCTAAATCCAATGTGTCAACAAATCATATTGGTTTTCAAAATATACCCAGAACCCAACCATGTCTTAAGCCCTCTACTGTAACAACCCTAGTACAAGCTACCATCATCTTTTGCCTGGGTTACTGCAATAGGACCTGTCACTCTACAGACTATTTTCAACCTGGCAGCCAAGGTAACCAATTTAAAGCCTAAATCTTACGATGTCAATCTTCTGCCAATAGCCTCTCAGTGTCAGGCACACAAGGCCTTTCACCATCTGGCCTAGTGCTTCTCTGACCTCATATCACATGATTTTCTTTCTGGGTTACTCTTCTTTAGCTACAGTGGCCTCCTGGCAGTTGCTTCAACTTACCAGACCTGTCCCCACCCTACGGTTTGCACAAGTTGTTCTCATAGTCTGGAATGCTCTTTCTTCAGATATGTGCAGGTATCTCCTTCACTTTCAAGTCATTCTTCAAATACTACTTTCTCAGTGAGGCCTGCTTCAACTGCCCAATTTAAAAATGACATCTTCCCCATTTCTCCTGTGCTTGGTCTCCTTCCACATCCCTTCCTGTATAAACTTTTTTGATAACACTCATGACCTTCTAACATACTATATAATTTAGGTATTTATTTTAGGCATTTATTTTTATTGTCTAACTTCTGCATGTGAGTTTGATGATGGCATATGTTTTTGTCTGTTTTGTTCACTGCTCTATCTGCAGCTTCGAGAATAGTGTCAGGTACATGGTAGGCCTACAACAATCCGTTGAAATGTAGAAGTTGTTTGATTCCAGTACAAGAGTTTTACATATTGGATTCCATGGGAACGGGAACAACTAAGTTTTCATGTGCCTGAAGAGCTCAAAGGCTCTTTGAAACTCTGGTATTCCATGGTTCCCTTACCATTCTGACTCTCAAAAACATAATCATTTTTTCAGCAGCCAAGCACTACTTTTAAAAGACACTGGACTGTGAAATCTACAATGATAGGTCCCTAAGAGGATGATCATGATTACAATTCTACAAGCTACCTGGTACTGTAAAATTTTTTAACATTTCTTTTCTAATCATTGTACTGCTTTTCCTTATGAATGCAATTGGAAGGTAGGGGAAGCCAATTTGATTACACCTTAATAATTTTGTGGCACCCCAACCCCCTGCAGTGCATCAGCATATTTGATACATCTTTTCACGCTGGTTTTTCTTTTGAAATGTGTAACATCAGGCAGGGCATGGCAGCTCACTCCTGTAATCCCAGCACTTTGGGAGGCTGAGGCAGGAGGATCTCTTAAGCCTAGGAGTTTGAGACCAGCCTGGGCAACCTAGGGAGATCCCCATCTATACACAAAATTTAAAAATTAGCTGAGTGTAGTGGCACATGCCTGTAGTCCCAGCTACTGAGGAGGCTGAGGTGGAAGGATTGCTTGAGCCCAGAAGGTTGATGCTACAGTAAGCTATGACTGCATGACTTCACTCCAGCCTGGGCAACAGAGAGGGAAACCCTGTCTCAAAAGAAAAAAAAAAGAAAAGCCCTGAATACTTTTGTAATTTTTGTAGCACAAATGCTGAAATTATTCTGCACAACTTTAGTATCCATCCTTTGGCTATTCCCATTTTGAAGGAACATAGAATTTTAGGGCTGTAAGGTTTTAGTTCATTTGGTTCTATCATCTCATTCCACAGATACAAAAACTGGGGTGCAATGATGTTAAGTGACTTGCTCAGGTACTACCGGGCTGAGTAATCTTTTTGGTCAGAACAACTTGCTCTAAACATAAAACAAGATACTTTTGAGAATGCAATTGGAAAACAGTTCTCAACGTCAGAAAACAAATATAGCAACAATTGCAATATACGGTTCTAAACAATATGCAATCTACCCAGTTTATTTCCATGGTGACAACTTAAGCATTAAAAATAGAAGGCAAATATAGCAAAGGATGAAATAATTGATAAATAGAAAATAAAAAGTCCCCACAAACATCCTAGCAAGTAAGAGTTATGAATCTCAAACAACAAAGAATTTCCAAGTCACCTGAACTGTCACTGTAGCATCCACATGAGAAGAAACCACTTCTGGCCGGGTGCGGTGGCTGACACCTGTAATCCCAGCACTTTGGGAGGCCGAGGCAGGCAGATCACAAGGTCAGGAGTTTGAGACCAGCCTGACCAACATGGTGAAACCCCGTCTCTATTAAAAATACAAAAATTACCCGGGCGTGGTGGCACACGCCTGTAATCCCAGCTACTCAGGAGGCTGAGGCAGAAGAATCGCTTGAATTGGGGAAGAGGAAGTTGCAGTGAGCCGAGATCGGGCCACTGCACTCCAGCCTGGGTGACAGAGCGAGACTCTGTCTCAAAAAATAATAATAAAAAGAAACCACTTCCATGGAATCAGAGAGATGGTTCCATATTAGCCATGACTTCTGCTGCTCTTTTGAGAATGTGGGCTTACTACCTAATCATTTTAAGATGCCCATGGGCACTTTTACTTAGATACATGCACTTTCTCTTTGCACTAGTGAGTCTACGTGAATATTACATGCCAGAGGAACGTTAAAGTCTACGCTAACAATGCTTCATTTTTCTTTAACAATTTTGTCCAGGTCATGGAGACATTTTTGTGGAGTGATAAATTAACTTGGTCTCCTGATGTGTTTTCCCCACATGCCTTGGAAAATCACTTGTTTTTCTGAGAGGTGGTAGTCATCAAAGCCTTAACTTCAGCAACAGCTTCGCTGTTTTAGCTTTGTTATAATTAAGATACCCTAGTACCATTGATAGTTTAGGATATTTGATATGAATGTAATGCAAAAATATTTTTGGCCCTTTGTATATAGCAATGGTCTCAAACTATGAGCAAAATTATGGCTAAATCAGATTTTCAAAAATGGATTTTAAGAAATTCCAGGAGGTAGGAACCTGGTTAACTCATGTGACTTTAAAAATCAGATCTCTGCCAACAGCCCAATTCAGTTTCCTAAGAATAAATTTTTAAACTTCCTGTATCAATGCCTTAACTCAGTTTCCCTTCTCCATGTGTCACTCTCATTAACTTTTGTTGTGCGTGATTTTTTTTTTTCTTTTTTTGACGGAGTCTAGTTCTGTTGCCAGGCTGGAGAGCAGCGGCGTGATCTCGGCTCCCTGCAACCTCCGCCTCCCAGGTTCAAGCGATTCTCCTGCCTCAGCCTCCCGAGTAGCTGGGACTACAGGCACGTGCCACCACGCCCGGATACTTTTTTGTATTTTTAGTAGAGACGGGGTTTCATCATGTTGGCCAGGATGGTTTCGATCTCCTGACCTTGTGATCTGCCCGTCTCGGCCTCCCAAAGTGCTGGGATTACAGGCGTGAGCCACCGCGCCTGGCCTGTGTGTGATTTTATGCAGGCTGGACACCAGTATCCTAGAATAAGATGATCTGGATTCTATCCTGATAAACTGGATCAAACAGGTACTCATCTGATGCAGGTGAAACTCCAGTGCAGGAACTTCTATGATAACATTAACTGAACATAATTTTAATTGAAATGATCTACTTTTATGTTTCTTTAGATGTGAACATTAATTTTTCTCTTAATCTTCTGTTAACTAATTTCTTGGTAATGTACTCAAAAGAGCTTTCAACCAGTCTTCCCATGTAAGAAGTTATCACCATACTCACTCTGTTACTTTCCCTTATACTGCACACTTTGCTCAGCAATGAATTGATCCCTGATTTACACATCAAGCTGAGCTCTCACATCCTAAATATATCTATTCTTTTGGAATTTTAGGTATTTGGCAAATATTGAAGCGTTGGGGAGATTAAAGAGAATCAAACACAACACTAGCAGACTCAACTACAATCCACAGAGGAAATAACCAAATAAGTTGCTATTTTAAACAATTTAAGCAAATAGAAGGAAGGGATTTCAGAACTCACAGTATCTATAGGCAAGAAAATAACTGAAGCAGTGATGCTTAAAAAGACTTGGTGAGGGTTAATACTTGAATCCCTATAAAATACAGTATTTTATAGTATTTGACAACACAGGTGTGAAGGTGAGCATGGATAACCAGTTTTCTTCTCTAAGCAGGCAATAAGAATGTTAAATATAAATAAGACTTCATATAATATAAAGAGTGAAAGACTGAAAGCATTGTCTTACGACTACTGTATTATTTAAAGAACTACATCTATATCAATTAAATGTGGCAGGACAGAATGTACAGTACAATACTGGGGGTGCAAGATTTTAAAATGAGGAACAGGCCAAAATCTAAACACAGAATCGTCCAAAAAAAAAAAAAAGCCTTCAAGTAGAAAAAGTTTTCAATAACAAAACATGGTAGTTAAACGCCTGCGTCTAGTAACATGAGTTGGGGAAAAAACATTAATAGCAGATTAATGAAACAGATTCTGTGCGAGGTCAGGGTAGGGAGTGATGGCGCGCGGAAGCGGCGTAAGAGCTGGTTTCGCCGTCCCAGAAAGGGTTCCACATCCACACGCCTGTACTGCGGCCCTGCGGGGAGCGTTCAGACCCCTCCGTTTCCCTTCACCATTGTAAACGCGCAATCCCATTAAGATCCCGTTCACTCCAATTCCTG
This sequence comes from Homo sapiens, assembly GCF_000001405.40. Taxonomy (NCBI): domain Eukaryota; kingdom Metazoa; phylum Chordata; class Mammalia; order Primates; family Hominidae; genus Homo; species Homo sapiens. The sequence continues at coordinate 45,378,365 of NC_000006.12, read as the reverse complement.
GAAAGAAGCTTAGAACGGTGAATCTCTTCCTCGGAGTTGAAAATCAACTTCCAGTGCCGGTCACCCAATCCTTCAAAAATCCTAGCCCTCTCGGGCCCAATTCCTAAAGAATTCAAGCCTGCACCCTGTACACCCTGACCGATCTCAGCTCGTCCCCACTCCGCTCCCAGCGTCCCCAGCTCTAAACGCCGCCGCGTGGCTCAGCGCTGCCCAAGCCGGGCCCTGAAGGCCGCGCACAACGCCCCGCCCCCGGCGAGCGTGGCGGAAGTAGCTCGCTCGGGCTGGGAGAGCGCGCGCCACCTGGCCAAGCGCGCATGCGCCCGCACTGCCAGTGCGGGGGGCGTCCGTATCGCTTACTCCTCAGTCTCCGCAACCCCCGCCCCACCGAGAGTCGGGCTCACGCCATCTTGTACCCCCCCCATCGCCCCGTCACACAGCCGAGTCACCTTTTCCCTTTCTACACTCCACACTCTCAGTCCCCCACCCCGCCCCTTTCCAAGCGTGTCCCGGGCCGCAGCAGCAGAAACCGCACCATCTCCACCCCCACATTCTCCTCGCGGGAAGCGCAGCAGTGCCTCCAAGGGTTCTTAAAGCAGAGGTTGTAGGGCTTGCGGGGGGCGGTGCGGGGATTCGGGCGGGGGAGACGTCAGAGAGCCGGGAGGGACGCAGAGCGGAGATCCCAGCGTCGCTGGGCCCCCGCGCCGGCCACGCCCTGGCCCCGGCTCGAGGGCGGCTGCCTGGGTCTTCGTGGTCTACGCCGGAGTGTTGAAGGGAGGGCGGCTGTGGGAGGCGCTGGCCGGGCGCAGCGCCCTGGTTCCGCTGCCGAGCGTGGAGTTGCCTCTCGACTCCTCCCTTTTGGCGGGTGGGCGTGGGGTGAGGGGGGCTGGGCTGTGCTGAGAAGCGGGGTGCGCGGGTCGTCTAGGTAGTGTGGGGGCTGCCGGAGGAATCATTAAAGAGGGAAATTGTTGCTTTATGGCACGGCGAGAGAAGAGTTAGGTAGTTAGTGGGAGTGTAGCATCCAGAAAGAGGAAAAGATCCGCTGTGTTCTCTGTGGGGTGAGCTCACGTCTGTGACCCCTGGGGAAATTATTTAGCTTGTCTTTGCCTTGTTTTGGTCTGTAAAATGGCGATCTTATAGCCTATTTCAGAATTGTGAGGATTATATGAGAAAATACACGTTAAACGCTTAGAACAGCGCCAGGTGCTGCTCAGTACATATTAGCTCTGCTTTTGCTCTCCACGTTTTAGGAGTTCAGAATGACTGTGACCTTATTTTCTCAGAGAATCAGGACACTTGGTCTCACACGTGAGAGTGAAGTTATGAAGACAGTGATATGTAATATTTGACACTCAGACGATCCTGGACGTAGTATTACTGTACACGTGGATAAATTAGCATTTCTCCAAGAGGCTAATAGAAATGTTAAGTTATTTCGGTAGAAAGAAATGTGTGTGTATATATATGTATATACATATGTGTGTATATAAGTATATGTATGTGTATATATGTATGTATGTATTTGGAAGGAGAGGACCTGGGGTCTTAGTATATGTGAAGGGCAGACTCTGGAAGAGGAATTAAATTCGCCCTGCAAAGATTTACTTGAAGGACAAAACTTGGGGAATTTCTGGTGAATGTTTCAAAGAGGCTGAATTTGCCTATGAGAAACAGTTCGTGAGAGTACTTTGCAAGAATGGAATGCTCTTCATTGTGCTATGGAAAGTTTCTTATCTCAGGATATTCGGGACGTTGGAGCGAAGTATGCCTAAGTCTAGGGCTGCACTTTTCACTAGCAGTTTCTGCCTTGATGGAGATGTTCCATAATCTGTGCCTTTAGGCACTAGTGGTAGCCTAGGCACAGTGGCTCTTCAGCACTTGAAATGTGATAAGTGTCACTGAGGAACTTAATTTTTAATTTTATTCATAAATTAATAAATTGATTTACGTTTAAATACCCACATGTGGCTAGTGGTAGCTACTGCATTGGACAGCACAGGGCTACAATTTAGATTTTGAGAGTCCTTCCGAGTCTTGATATGGTTGAGTTTTAAATCAGATAAGCCAGCTCTTTGGAACATTTATTGCCATAGGGAATTGTAATTATATTCAAATAATGCCTTTCATTCAAATACTGCAGTTCAGACCATGGGTCTGTTAGTACTTATTTACATCTTGACAAATTAAAGCAAAACGTTGTCTCCTAGGTTGTACAGCTAATGCCAGATTCAGAGAGCTATGACAGTATTAACTGGAGTTTTCTTTAAACATTATTGTACTATTTTGTGATTGTCGGTTTCTGCTATCTTTTACCACTTTGGTTGGTTTTTCAGTGAGAAGTTTCCAGCTCTTATTCAAGTTTTTTTCTTTTTTAACCTTTTGTGTAATAAAGCGATTTGAAAAATTGTAACTCTTGAGCATTAGGACATTTTAGAACTAGTTTTATGGTTATCCAAATCTTTTGGAGAGATAAGTGAAATTAGGTAATAGATGTTTCACAAAATTACTTTACTTGAAATATGTGCATCTGTTTTTTTTTTTTAAAGCAAGTGTATATAAAGTCAAATTTGAAAATAAAACTAAAAGAACAAATAAAAAACCTTTATAGGTAGCGGTAGCACCCTTAACCTTGGCCTGATGTCTGTAAAATGGTGCCCTTGGGCCAGGCACGTTGGCTCATGCTTGTAATCCCAGCACTTTGGGAGGCTGAGGCCAGAGGATCTCTTGAACCTAGGAGTTCAAGGCTGCAGTGAATCATGGTCAGGCCAGGCTTCCAGCCTGGGCTGCAGAGGGAGACCTTGTCTCTTTAAAAAAAAAAATGATGCTCTTGGTCTTAAGGCTGAAGATAATTGTTAGATCTGGAGCAATAACTTAAAGCTCACGAGTTAAATCAGATGGAGAGAATAGCTCATAATATACAAATCAGAATGGGGTGCTTTTATGGGTGACTATAGTATCTTAATTTTTCTGAGACAGTCGTAGTATAAAGCCTGATTGTTCCAGCACAATTATTTTATTTAATAGAACCCCTTTCACTATCAAAATGTTCGAATTGGGACCACATCATAATGTCACCCTACTGTTAGCCTTGTTGGGACTTGTAATATATAGTTTTAGGATGATTAACCACATTGCAATATCAGAAATACTTTATTATTTTTGAGATGGAGTTTCACTCTTGTTGCCCAGATTGGAGTACAATGGTGCGATCTCAGCTCACTGCAACCTCCCCCTCCTGGGTTCAAGCGATTCTCCTGCCTCAGCCTCCCGAGTAGCTGGGATTACAGGCACATGCCAGCATGCCTGGCTAATTTTTGTATTTTTTGTAGAGACAGAGTTTCACTATGTTGGCCAGGCTGGTTTTGAACTCTTGATCTCAAGTGCTCCACCCGCCTCAGCCTCCCAAAGTTCTGGGATTACAGGTGTGAGCCACCGTGCCCGGCCAGAAATATACTTTAAAACAGTGACAAAATTACTGTTTTTGTGTCTAAATAATAAATAAGATACCTGGAATAAGGCCAGCAAGTGACTTTCCCATTTAAGCCACTGATAATTTTAAAATTTTGCTTTGAATATAAACCTTTAGCAGCTTGAGTTTTGGTTCCCTCTGGAAGAAAATCATCTTTTGGTGGGGGTGACTGCATGGTAGTCTATGTCAGTCAAATCAGGTGATTGAGTATTTGTGTTGAAATAACACTGATTTTATTTTATGGTGAGGTTGAATAGTGAAATCCGTCAGAAATCTGATTATGTATTAGAATGTTAAAGAAGGGTTTTGCTTACAGTTTACTTAATGAAAAATAATTCAGCCATATGCATTATTATATTAAGTTTATACTGAAGTGGGTAAAATATTTTATTGAGGCTCTAACACTTGATTTGAGTTCTCGCTCTGCTGCTTCCTAACCATGTGATTTGGGACAAATTATTTAATCTTCCTAAGAATACTGGGTTCCTCATTTATAAAATGAAGATGGTAATGGCATCTGCTTCTAGGTTCATAAGAGGTTAATTTAAATAACTCATGTGATGGGTTGTGTGCAGTTCAGTAACTGTTAGCTGCTGTAGCCTTAAGTTTATTGGATAATCTAGAAGTGATAATAATGTTCTGAGATGTTATGTGGGTTGGTGAACAGAGCACTAAGACCCAATTCTGTAAACCTAGCTTTTGCCCTTTTCTGGCACATTCTTTTGTCATTTCAGTTAAGGTATTTAACTTATTAATATCAGAGCCTCAATTTCCTTATCAGTAAAATGGAATTAGTACCCATCCTCATCCCGCTTTCTCATAGGACTGTTGGTGGCATCAAATGAGAATTACATTTAAAAATTATCGTCTTACTTTACAAACATTTTTATATTGAATTGGTTTTGTCTCATCTTGTCTACCTTCAGCCTCCACTAAAGAGTGACCTGCAAAAATTGTTGTGTAAATTTTGTGTAACAGCATGGATAGTGTATAATAGGCACTATTACTGAAGACAGTTCTCTTTTACAAATAATATTGTAAGTCACAGGCTGGGTGTGGTGGCTCACACCTGTAATCCCAGCACTTTGGGAGGCTGAGATGGGTGGATCACTTGATGTCAGGAGTTGGAGACCAGACTGGCCAACATGGCGAAACCCCGTCTCTACTAAAATTACAAAAAAATTAGCCGGGCATGGTGGTGCATGCCTGTAGTCCCAGGTACTCAGGAGGCTGAGGCAGGAGAATCGCTTGAACCCGGGAGGCGGAGGTTGCAGTGAGCCGAGATCGTGCACTGCACTCCAGCCTGGGCGACAGAGCAATACTCTGTCTCAAAAACCACACACACACACACACAAATAATATTTTAAGTCACAGTAATGGTGCTTTTTTGATCTGGTCACAATATATTTTCTACGGAAAACAACCCCATACTACTGCTAAGGGAGAACCAACATTTTCTTGGGCACTTGATGTGTTCCTTCCGTTGTATCTCATTTATCCAAACATATTCCCACCTAATAGGTTATACTAATGAGGCTCTTACTTTCTAGAATTGGTCTGTGAGGCTTTTTTGTACTGTAGTTCTCCCTCTGAAAATACCTGGCCCATAGTTAATGGGTAGTGAAGGTTAAATAAGATAATGAACATGAAAATCGTGGCCGGCTCTGTGACTTCATGCCTGTAATACCAGCACTTTGGGAGGCCAAGACAGGCCCGGGTTGCTTGAGCCTAAGAGTGATGGGCAATATAGTGAGACCTGGTCTCTAGAAAAAATTTAAAACAAAAATTAGCTGGGCCGGGTGCGGTGACTCACAACTGTAATCCCAGCACTTTGGGAGGCCGAGGCAGGTGGATCGCCTGAGGTCAGGAGTTTGAGACCAGCCTGGCCAACATGGTGAAACTCTGTCTACTAAAAATACAAAAATTAGCCGCGTGTCTTGGCGTGCACCTGCTACTTGGGAGGCTGAGACATCAGAATCGCTTGAACCCTGGAGGCGGAGGTTGCAGTGAGCCAAGATTGTGCCATTACACTACAGCCTGGGTGACAGAGCAAAACTCCATCTCAAAAAAAAATGTAGCTGAGCTTGGTGGTTTGTGCCTGTAGTACCAACTGCTTGGGAGGCTGAGGTGGGAGGATTGCTTGAGCCCAGGAGGTGGAGATTGCACTGAGCTGAGATTGTGCCACTGTACTCCATCCTGAGCAACAGAGAGAGACCCTGTCTCAAAAAGAAAATAGTACTCTGTTTGGTGTATGGTATGTAGGAGTTACTGAAAAGATGCTGTTGAATTCACAGGACAGTAAATTGAAACAATTTATGTGAATATACTTTATAAACTAAAATAACATACAAATATAAATCATTAAAAAATCTTGAAATGTACTTTTGCTGATTTAAATGCTATAGTGGTTTTATGACTGAATTCTGTATATTTCACTTTATTCATATTAGTCTTTAAAGGTCTACTCTTAGTCATAACATTCTTTGAGAATATACATGTTTAACAGTAATCTTTTGTGATATATTTTCAAGAAGCTATGCTTTTGCATGAGTTAATCATCATCATCAGCATGAACTAAATGCCTTATATGTACAAGGCGGTTTACTAAGGGCTTTACGTATGTTATTTTATGTAACCTATAAGAGAAGTAATTTTAATCTCCATTTTAGAGATGAGGGAACTGAGGCAGTGAGGTGGCATAACTTGCCCAAGGTCATGTGTAAGTGTTAGAGCCTATAATTTAACTCCAGAGCCTAGCTCTTTACTGCTTCCATTGTGGTTTGGCATAGTCAGATATTAATATTTCACAACACAGTTCACTGTGACATACACATTGTGGAGGCCTTTTGGGTTAGTTATGATAAACTTTTATTTGTATATTCTTTGATGTATAGTAGAAAGAACTCTGGACCAGGTGTCGGGGGACCTCAGTTTTAGTCCCAGCTTGTATCACTAAATAGTAGTGTGTCCTTGGGCAGTTCAAGAAACCCCTCTGGACTTCAGTTCCTCACCTGAAAAATGAGGGATTTGGAGGAAATTAGTGATTTTCAAACTGTAGTTCTGAAGTCTGCTCAGATGTCTTTGGTTCCCTCCCACCAATTTGCATATATGTTTGTCTGTTATAGTTGCTTATCCATCTACCTAAGATTTTCTTTTAAACAAAGAATTTCTTAACTGAGTGTTTAAAGTCATCAGTCTCCAAGATAACTTAATGACCATGTAAGTCCCCTGACTGCTATGTTTACAACTTTTCAGTTAATTTCACAATATTTTAGTGTTTTAGGAGATAGAGATCTTTTACTAATGAAAAAACTAAAGCACTAAAATGAGAGGATTGTTATTAAAACATAGTATATCTAAATGGCCTGAATATTTCAGGTTATCTGCTATCTGGGATCAAAGCCTGTTGTTTATTGGATTTGTGACCTTCAGCCAGTCTTAGTTTCCTCATTGGTAGAGGGAGAATACTTGTCTTGTAGGGTAATTGTGAAAAAAAAAAAAAAAAGTGAGCTAATACTGGTGAAGTACCCTTTATAAACTCCAAATTCCTCTATTTTTTACATGCCTACAGTAAATCCCCCAGTCCTTTTTCTTTTTGGTCACATAAACTGTTTTTAAACACATCAGATATTTTGTAAATTGTTTATGTTTAATGCAGAATTCTCATAAGCTTTAATATTTCTGAAATGTGACTCTAGACTGGAAGAGAGTTTTGATTTTTAAGGGAGCTGCTTATTTTTTTGACATGTTTGTCAAATACACTTACCTCTTACTGTTAGGAGTATAATTGCTGCCAAAATCTTCCACATATCTCAAAAGTTAACCATTAAGTAACTCTTTAATTAAGTTTGTGTAAGAACAACAGTGTTTTAATGTTGGAAAAGTAAGTGTGCTATGTGCCATTTGTCAGGGCTTAAGGATAATCTGATAGGCACATTTGCAGTGCACCTTAGGGACTGTTTTTGCAAAGAAATTTTTTTTTTAAACTCAATTTTTCTGTGAGAGTACTGGATATGAAAGCATATGGAATAGAAACTTAATGTGAGACTAAAGAAGGAGGATATGCTAGAAACTCCTGTGTCTCGGAGCAGTCTATCACTGGGCTCCTATGTCTGTTCAAAAAGATGCTCAGGTAGGATATGTAATGCTGCACAGTTTTAGCTGTTTATCATCCAGAGAGAAAGGATGGGGGTAGTTTTCATGTTTACAGGGTGTTTTGATATTTTCAATTCAGATTTTTTTTAGTGCCCATTATATGGATTCCTGTGAGATAAATTATTCCTGACAGAGAAACTGAACTTATGAGATTAGTTGATCCTTATATCCTTATACAAAGTTCTATTATATTGATTAATTATCCTTAACAAAAATCTTGTGACCATGGCTTTTATTTCAGTTTTCTGCTTTACAACATCTCTCACAAAGCTTCTGCAGCTTTTTAAAATCTCCACTTGAATGTCTAATAGTTGTCTCAAACTTAACATAGGCCCAACTGAACTGTTTTTTTTTTCCTTCCCAGTCTTCTGGATCTCAGTAAATGGCACCACCATTCAACCAGTTTCTAAGGCTCCAGAATTCGGTCATCCTTGACTGCGCTTCTCTCACACCCCACGTGTAATCCATCAGCAAATCAGTTCTGCTTTCAAAATGTATTCCAGAAATCTGACCACTTCTCATCATCTCCGCTTGTTAAACTAATTCAACCCACTGTCATCTCTTGTCTGCACAACCTCAATAACTTCCTAACTGGTCTTCTTGATTGCACTCTTGCTTCCATATAGTATATTCTCCCAGCTGCTGGAGTTATCTTTTTAAACCTAAAACATTTCAAGTAACTTCCCTTTTCAAAATTCTCTAATAGCTTCACATTACACTCAAGTGAAATGTAAACTCCTGTGGCCTAAAGGCTTTATAAGATCTGCCCTCTTGCTACCCCTGTGTTCATATCTTTCTAGCCACACTGGCCACAGGATTTTGGTACTTTGCTGTTCTTTCTGTTGGGAAGTTCTCCAGAGCTCCCTCCCAGATCTTATATTAAATGCCACCTCCCAGTTGAAATCAACTTGTTTTTTTGATTTCATAGTATTTGTTATTTCCTCAAATTATATTTGTTTATGTGCTTGTCTCTTGCATTATAATGTATTTCTTTTTGTCTGACTTAGTCACTACTATATCCCTACCTCTTAGAACGGTGTTTGGCCTGTAGTAGGTGCCCCGTAAATACTTAGATATGAAGAATCCAAAGCACTGGTGGTGTTGGCTTTAAATAAGAGTGTGTCTTTATTATAAGAGGAGGGAATTAAGGGAGGATACGATACACTGTCTTTGGTGGAGGAGAGTGGAGGGAATGACTAAATGATAGCTTTTTATTTCTCTGGAAGTAGAAGATGATGTCAACTGTCCATAGCTAGGGGAGGGATTCACTGTGGGACAGAGGCTCATTCAACAAAAATAATTAGTATGCACTAAAGTAATTTAATATTAAACTAATATAAACTAAAATAATTAGATGTCAGAGAAAGAATTTCTTTTGTTTACATATCTGGGAAGGTTTCTTGGAGATGGGCTTAGGTCAGTAGAGTTTGGGTAGGTTGAGAGATACTGTATTGTTTCAAAAGGTATTGCAAGTAGAGAGAACTGTAGGGGTAAAGGTTCAAAAGAACATGGAATGGTTCTGGAGATAGTGAAAGTTTGATTTGACTGTGGTAGAAAAGGAGGCTGGGGAGGTCAGGTGTGACTGATTTGAGATAAGTTTATAAACCAGGCTTTTTAATACCTTCCAAAGTCCACTTAAAATGGGGCATATATTAATATATTGAGATTACCTTTGTGTTATTCTAAACACTAGGTCTAGAAGTTTTTATAGATATTTTATGTATTTAATTTTTAATTTTTTTCATTCTCAGTGATTGACCATTTGGTATTATTTTTCACATCAGAAGAAATTTAGATCATGATGTAACCTGATTATTTTTTTAAACAACAAAACGAAAACTCAGTGCATAATAGTGTTGGCTTAACCATAATTGTTTCCTGCCTTTGGAATTTTATGAAAATAAAAATGTTCTAATTATAAAAGTTTTCTATTAATTTATATTATGTGAGATGTTCAGGTTATCATTAGAATTGAGACTCTGTAGATGCTCAAAATCAGTACATAGGTCTGCTGAAATAGTTTTCTTCAGCAATATAGAAGAAAAGATTAAAACTTCTCTCTTTTAGTGGATTGACTGATAGTTTTCACAGTCCAGATTTTGATGATGTTTGGAGGGTGCAGAAACTAGTAATAAGGTTCTCAACAATTTGAGGTCTTTTAAGCTTAAAGATGTTTCATGGTATTTCTTCTGTGGTCATTTAGTCCCCCAAAATATGAGATCTAACTAGAAACCCAGTAGCATGTTCAGTGCATTTTGTTTAACTCACTTTTTGTGATTAACTTCACTACAATTAAAACTTTTTTTTTGATAGCAATATTTTCTGAGGAAAGGCGTGCATCCTTAAATTCCTTCATTTTAAATTGAAAGGTAAATGCCAATTTTTCTTCTCTGGAACACAGTTTTACAGGTGTGTTATAATATTAGCTATTAGCTTAATGATCAGGTTTAAATACTATTAATCAGATATGAACTTATTCCTTGGGTTCACATTTAAACTCTGGCATGTTGAAATAATCTAGGTCCCAATCTGCACATCTGAATTCATTTTGTAAAATATGGCAAACAGATGCATTTTCAATTGAAAGCTGAAACAACTGCAGGACATTAACCCATTGAAAAGATTACAGTAGGTTTTCAGTTCCACAGTAACTGTATTTATTAGTGAAAATTGACTTGAGTGCTTCTGCTTTTAACAGACTTTTCTTTTTTAATGTCTAGAAGAAAGGAAATAGAGCATTGGAATGATAGGACTTTGATGTGTAAAGAAGTTAATGTCAAAAGAAGTTAATTATCTAAATCAAACAATGTGGGTATGGGAAATAATTATTTTAAAGAGTCTAATGACCTATCAGCTCATCATGTCAAGAAAAATGTTATTCACCTGTTTGATATAAAAATTGACTTGACTGTGAAAGGATGATCATGGTTATAATAAACTAGGTTTGGTGACTGGATTTGAAAATGAAAAAGGAGCAGATTGCTCCAGCAGTGTCTCAGGACATTTGACCATAGGATAATCCCATGGAATGGCATGTCTGTCAAATCAGACAAGTCAACTCAAATCATAACTTTCTGGAGGCTGGGGTTACTACTTACTCTTTGAGTTTAACATGTTCTCGAAGATAGCTCTGTCAGCCTTCTATTGAGACAAGGGAACATTTCCTGAGGTCTTTGAGAAATCCAGGCTCCTTTTTTTCGCATTTTGTCCCAATTCTGCAGGACTATTTAGGGAAGTCCTTTGTTTCCTGTTTTCCCCCAGTCTTGGACTTGTGATTTTTTTTTTTAATCCGAGTCTCAAATGGTTATGTTTCTTTTCCTGTGTTATTTGTAGAGAAAAGTACTTATTCCAAAAGTCTTTTTAAACAATGGCACAAATTTAGGCTTAAAAAAAGCGATGGTCTTTCTTAGCATTATGTTCTTCATATGTTTTAGAATTTTGGTTTTCGGGCTCAGTTTAAGTGGAACGTTTTTGTTTTCCTTCGCTTTTTGTGCTCTTGCCTTCTTGGTATAGTGGTTTTGGCCTGGCTGTTAGGGCCCTCAGACTAGACCAGAGGGATATTGGGATATTCCAAACCTAGTCACCTAGCTAGTGTGCTGCTTGCCTTAGATCTGTGTCCTGTCGCCTTCTCAAAAGCTTCAAATAAAGCCTATCTCCATCAGTGATTTGTAGTAGCTTTTTTTCCCCAACCTTCTTTCGTGGGGCCCAGCCCTTCCATCTCAGCCCTTGGTAAGTGACCCTGGTTTAGATTCCCTTTATGAATTTTATCATTACCCACAGGAGTGGTTAGATTAGAAAGATATATTAAGAAGATAAATTTGGCAGCAGTATGGAGAATGAACTGAGATGGAGATAGAAGATGTAGCTAAGAGTTTTTAGAAGGCCATAGCCGTAGGACAAGAGGGGAAGGGTCTGAGAACATACAGAAAGTAGAATTTACTTGACTTCTTACAAATTGTAGGGTGCAGGAGAAGGAGTCAAAGGTAGTGACTGAGACTTTGAGCCCAAGTGACTAGTAGTTGTAGTGATGTCATCAGTGAAAACTCAACTTATAAAGAAGCTACTTAGTATTTGTTTAGTTGCATAGAGGTCTTTTAGTAAAAATGTTTAAGTTTTAAAAACTTGCCTGATTGTGAAAAAAAGGGTAATACATCTAAATTTATATAAAAGTTTTTAGCAGATAAAGGAGGGGAATTCTTTTTTCTTCTTTAACTTTCCCCTTTAACGGAAGAGGGAGTTCTTAAGGTCTGCTTATTACAATAGCTAACATTTATTGTGTATCCACTGTGTGCTATCAGTACTGCTCTAAATTTTTGTATGTATTCATTTAATTCTCACAACAGCCCTAAGAAGGTGAGATTATCGTTGCCATTTACAGATGAGGAAACTGAAGCACAGAGAAGTTAGGTAACTTGCCCAAAGTCTTAGCAAAGGAGCGGAGCTGGGATTCAAATCTAGGCAGTCTGACCCCAGAACCTGCCCTCTTAGTTTACTGAAAGTCCTCTGCACTGCTTTACTTTATCATATGTTCTAAATATCTTACATTCTTCTTTAGAAACTGCAAAAAATATTTTGAGGAAAATTACAGCTTTGCAAAGTTTATGCAAGCATATGAAATAATAACTAATGTTTATTGAGCACTTCCAGTATAATAGTGTAATAGATGAGGGTTTACCTACTTTCATGACATTATTTTAATGTTACTTTGACTAAATCTTGCCAATTTTTTTAATGCATTAAATAAAATGTCATACATTAGGATTGGCACCCACTTTATCATTATGCATCACCTTAATTTTATTGGGAAAAATGTCACATTTAAAATTGAGTAAGTTATTTACCCATAGGATTATAAAATATAATGCTTTTGATCTACCGATTGACATTATTATTTGTATTTTAGGCTTTTGTTCAAATAGGATTTAGATTATGCTGTAGTTTTCTAATTTTGTATCTTTCAGCTGTGGAATTGTTTCTTTAAATGAGATCTTACTTGGAACCTTCATATATCAACTAGAAAAATCAGGGTTGTTCCGTGGCCTGAATGAAACTGGGAGTGTGTTGTGCTTGGGGTCCATCTAGAATGCCCTGAAGCATTGCTGATGAACCGTAGGGCTCCCTGAAGCACATTTTGAAAACCAATGAGCTCTAGTAAAATATGTTAATAAATACTGTTTTTACATTACCTATTGTAAAATAGGTGCTAAAGTATTTATCACTGAAGTGAGTAATTGGCTGACATCTTACTTGACTAGTTTTTTTCCACCTTGCTATTTCATTTTAATAAAGAACATTAAGTATAAGTGAATCAGTTTTGTGCAAAACAAATCAGAAATTTAAATTTTCTCTACTTTTTGAAGTAATTTATATTTGCTTTCTTTTTTTTTTGCATTTACTTATAGCTAGGTACATTTTGTAAGCTTTATTTCTCCTTTTTATTTAGATGAATAATACGGCAGCTAGTCCAATGTCTACTGCAACTTCAAGTAGTGGAAGGAGTACAGGGAAGTCTATAAGCTTTGCAACAGAATTACAGAGTATGATGTAAGTATGTCCCTGCATGCTATTGCTATTACTATTTTAAATTTATTCATGTTGAAAGACAATAGACATAACAACATTTATAAAACTTAACTTGGAAATAATTTGTTATTAATCAAGTAAAAATGAAATACTGTGGTAACATTTTAAATTGCCATATGTAGAGGCAAAATTGGTTAAAAATGCTACAGTGGTACTGTATTTGAAAAATGAGTATTAGTTCATCTTTATAAATGATAGAATGAATAATCAGGTGGACACAATTGCTCTAATTATTTGCCTGAGTCTGTGTTATGTATTGTTTATTTCTATTCTAGTTTATAGATTTAGGAAATTTTGAGACTGATTATATTCTTGGACAGTTGAAATGTTTTCACATGGAAGTTCTTAGTTTTTCTCAACTCTTGTAATAATTCAGTAAGCCTAATTTAAATTAGTTTTTAGTTCTGATAATATTTGAAATCACTGTGTTTCAGAGCATTGGGGAAAAACTTAGAGCATTTGAAAAACATGTATTCAATCTTTGGGAAATTGCAGAGTCATTAAGATTTCTTAAGGCTCTGTTCATCTTGATTTCTGGTTTCTTGCATTAAGTGAAACTATATCTCTTGATTTGATAAGAGGTAGCATATTTATTAGAAATGTCTGTTGACACATAGTAGTTTTTCATTATATTGGTTCAGGAGACAATTTTGTCTGTATAAGGTGGGGGGCAAGATATTATAGTGCTCTTCTTTTCCTGTGGATACATTATTCATGACTTAACAGGTAGTTGAAAAGAATATATCTGTTGAAGGTTTAAGTGTCTTCCTCTTGTGGCTAAATTGATAGCCTTCATAGTTGAATTAACGTCACTATGTGATGATTACTGTTAAAAGGTAAAATGAGTTTGAGCAGATGTCTTATAATTGCATGATCAACTTACTTTATACAATATTGAAAACACTTAGTTCAGGAGCTCTCAAACTTTTTGGCCTTAGGATCCTTTTATACTTTTAATCATTGAAGATCCTGAAGAATATTTGTTTATGAGGGTTATATCTATTAATATTTATTAGTTAGAATTTATTATTAAATTTTTTTTTTTTTGAGACAGAGTCTCACTCTGTTGCCCAGGCTGTAGTGCAGTGGCACAATCTTGGCTCACTGCAACCTTCACTTCCTAGGTTGAAGCGATTTTCCTGCCTCAGCCTCCCAAGTAGCTGAGATTACAGAGGTATGCCACCACACCCGGCTAATTTTTGTATTTTTAGTAGAGACAGGGTTTCGCCATGTTGGCCAGAATTACTTAGAATTTAAAAAGAAAGAAATTTATGCATTAACTTGAAAAGTAGTAAACCTGTTATATGTTAATATAAATAATATATTTCTTATAAAAATATTCTAAAGCCAAAAATTGATTACACCTTTCAGATGAGATGCCAATAAATTTGACATATTTAGCAACTGCGTGAAGTGAGCCTATATTTTAAATTATGGAAAATTATAAGTGTTTATGCTTATATACATTTTTGTGGATTAGTTTAATTTTTTTCATTATAGTTTAGTGGCTTTATATTAAGAATATTTTATGTTGTGTTATGTTAATTATGTTTAAAAATACTAAGCATGTTTTAAAAGGTTTAGAATAAGGTGAAAAAATTCATTTTCTGTAGAGCTGGTTCATTGATTTACTTTGTATTTTTAAAACTTTTAATTTGGGAATTTTCAAACTTACAGTGTAATGAAACCTATATATCCATAATCTGGCTTTAACAATAATTGTGTTTTTCCAGTCTTATTTAACCTTTCTCCCTACTCTCCCTTTTTAAAAAAATATGAAGTATTTTAAAGCAAATCCCAGACATCTTATTTCAAAATTTATAGTATTTATTAAAACAATATACTTGTTAGTAAAGTTAAAAACAGATGTCCTATAGCAGAAGTCAACAAATTATGGCCATGGACTTGCTGCCTGTTTTTGTAAATAATTTTTTACTGTACCATACCCAGGCTTATTCATCTATCTGTTGTCTATTGAAGCCTTCATGCTCTGTGCCAGAGTTGAGTATTTGCGACAGAGACTATATGGCCTGTAAAGCTGATAATATTTACTATATGGTCTTTTACAGAAAAAGTTTGATAATCTCTGATCTGTAAAAGACAGTTGCCTTTAAGAAGAAGACTACAAAAATTAAAAATAAAAATAAAAAACCTATGTACCTACCAAAATTAAAAATAAAATATTAAAAAAACCAAACTGTTCCCACAAAAATTAAAAATTAAATTAAAAGCTGTAGAGTATTATATTCTTTTGTTATTTATACTTAGGAGAGCTTCTATTTAGTGCATTTGATGGACCTTGGGCCATTTTAAAAAAACTGAGAAAAAATAAAGGCTAAATTCAGCACTTTCTTATTAAATACTTTTGCAAACATCTTCCCAACCAATGTACCTAAGCTGAATTCGGAATGCAAAAGTTATTGTTGGCTACAGCTCTGGAAGAAATGTACATTTTCCTTCTATTTCAGACCTCATAGAGAGGCCACTCCTAATAGTTACATTCATCATTTATAGTCTGAAGTTATTTTTTTTGCCCTTAGGAATTTCTTTATAGAACAGGGAAATAGGGCCAAAATTGGGAGAATCCTTTTAAATTTACTGGTATTTCTATTGTTATGAGATTTTTAGGCTTTTGATTGTATAAAATTAGACTCAATATACATTTAATTCTTGCTTATGTATATTTCAAATGAGAAAGTGTGGACTTATTCTGCTATGTTTATTTTGTGTTACAGTAATTTCATTCTGTGACTCCCTACTGCTGCTGTTCATAGTTCTAAGCCTGTTTATATTGCTGCTTTTCAGTCCTCTGCTGCTGTCTTCCCCAATCCATTCACTATTAATGAGTTGTTGTTCTTTTGGCTCCCTGGTGTCTAAATAAGTAACAATATTGTAGTGTCATTTCTGGGGAATGGTTTCACTGAAAGTTGTCTAGTTGTCAAGCACAAATGAAATAGTCATGATCTGCTATTAAATCTAGAACTGGCAACCAATCTGTCCTAGTATTAGAGCCTTGAAGAACTTACCATATTTTGAATTTGGGTGGTGAATATCACCAGTGAGGCATTCTTAACAGAAGTTGTGTTGTTGTTGTTGTTGTTGTTGTTTTTGAGAGGAATCTAGCTTTGTTGCCCAGGCGCTGGAGTGCAGTTGCCTGATCTCTGCTCACTGTAAACTCTGCCTCCCGGCCTCAAGTGATTTTCCTGCTTCAGCCTCCCAAGTAGCTGGGAATACAGGCATGCGCTACCACGCCAGGCTGATTTTTGTATTTTTAGTAGAGATGGGGTTTCACCATGTTGGCCAGGCTGGTCTCAAACTCCTGACCTCAAGTGATCCACCTGCTTTGGCCTCCCAAAGTGCCTGGGATTACAGGCTTGACCCACCGTGCCTGGCCCCTTCTTACAGATTTGAAAGGAAAGGATTAGTAGTCTAACAAGTGTTAGTGGGTTGGGATGATAGCAGTTGTGCCTTACCTAGTGCATATAACTGAGCACATTTGCTATATGCTCTTTATCACAGCTCCTTTGAATAACCTGTACTGGAATGGTCCAGAGGTTTTTCATTTTTAGGTTATTGAACTCAAGCAGCCTGTAAATTTGAAAGTGAAATCTTTTCAGTTGACATTACAGGTATTTTAACAAACTTCTTAAGAATTTTAATTAATTTAAATGCACTTTGAGAGTCTTCACTGAGTTCTCTGAGTTCTTCCTTACTTTACCCATTTATATATTTCTTGCCTTGTCATGTACTTTTTCAGAGTTACAGGCCTGATGATAATGATGCCAGATTTCACAGCTCAGTAGTGCTTAGTAATTATAATGTCACCACGTTTTTAAAAATTGGGAGTTTTGGGGATAAATAGCAATAACATTGAAAAAATCTTGTTTACATGTTACTTTTATATTGTAAGAATTCTTCCAAATGAAAATTTCATCCTTATCTAACATCCACAAATTAAAAAAATTTTAATCAGAATTTTCTTATATATAATAAAATACATTTTAAAAATTGTACAGTTCTGCAATTTTTGCATTTTAAAAAATTACCTTTGTATTTTTGAGATGGGGTCTCTATGTTGCCAGGCTGGTTTCAAACTCTTAGGCACAAGTGACCCTCCTGCCCCCATCTCCTGAGTAGCTTGGACTACAGGCATGTGCCACTGTGCCCAGCTAAAAATCATTCACTGAGTCCTTATTATATGGCAGGAACTGAATGCCTTCAAGAGGCATATAGTCTAGCAGTAGAGAAGGAGACAAATATTTGTAATGCAATAGGATGCGAAAAATTCCATGGTAGTACAAAGGAGGGAATGAGGAACTCTTCTGAGGATAAGCTACCTACGTTTAGGTCTGTAGTTCTGCCCGCTTCCTGGAATGTCTGTTAAGTGTTCTGCGAGCACCTCAAATTTAGAATGTCCAAAACTGAACTAACAATTTTCTCAGTAAGATTTGCTTCTTCTCCTGAGAGTGTTTGGGATAAATAGCAATGACCATTTATTCATTGCTGCAGTGTACTAGAGCTTTGTTTTATATGTGAAATGGTATCATTTGACTATTTTTTAAGTATTATGAAGATATGAGCTGTGAAAGAATGTGTGCCCCCTTCATCTGACTTTAGAGAGCCCTGATATGTATAGTCTCTGAATTTTTAGTAGATGGGTTTTTAAGCTAACACAGGCTTCCTTCAAATATTGTTCCCCTGGTTCATTTAAGTTTTTCAGGAAACTGGGAGAAAGAAAAACCCTGAAGGTAAAAAGTACGAACATACTGTAATTCCAAGGGTGCTTTAATAATATCAGTGATAATAATGAATGCTTGTATAGAACATGCTGTGTACCAGGCACTCTCTTGAGTACTTCCATATGCCATTTCATTTCATCCTCACACAACTCTGTGAGGGTAGATGCTATTATTCCCCTTTTATAGACGAAAGAATAGAGCCACAAAGGTTGAGTAACTCACCAAATATTATCCTATAGTCAGTGGCAAATTCTGGATTAATGCCAGGAAGTCTGACTCCAGATTCCGTGCTGTTGCACTTATGCTAAACTAATTTCAGTTAATAAACTTTTTATTTTGATTTACAAAATTTAGTTTATAAATGACTTTCAACAGTTTATGTGTGACTACTGTGCTATAATGAAATAAAATGTGAAAGCTAAATGTTTTTTCAGTTGATTGCTCGGTTATTAGTAACAAGGACCAGGTGATCCTCCTGCCTCAACAAGTAGCTGGAACTACAGGGGTGAGCCACCACACCTGGCTGATTTTTGTATTGTTTTGTAGAGGCAGGATTTTGTCGTGTTGCCCAGGCTGGTCTTGAACTTCTGGGCTCAAGTGATCCTCCCACCTTGGCCTCCCAAAGGGTTGGGATTAGAAGCATAAGCCTCTGCGCCCAGCCTGTCATTTTTATATTATCATAGCATTTGTTGCAGTTTCCTATATCTAACAACAGATCTTTTTCAGCAAGGGCATATCAGTAACCAAAAGAAAGTATACTTTTTCATAGAAATTATATACTTACTATATACTTATTAGATGCTTGTATTTGTGTTATTTCATAATTTTGGATACAAATGTGGCCATATTATTTGAATATTTAAATGTCTATCCTACTTTTGTGTTTTTTCACTGTTAAATAATAATTGATCTTCCTGATATTTAAATTACACTAAAATATGTGGTAAACTTACCCATTTACTTTTTGTGAAATGCATCTGTTTGGGATATTTTAAGATATACTTTAGTTTATAACTATAATAGTAATTAGGAATATTTTCAAATTGTAATGTAAGTGAGAATATGTATAAAGGCAGATTTCCTGAAAGTGATATTATGTATAAAAGCAGATTGAGAACATAAAAACACTGCATAATGGAAAGTCTTTTTTCCTTTCAGAAATGAAATAGGAAATGTTTAAGTTTCTAGATCCAGTGAAATTAAGTGCTTGTGTTAAAAAATGTTATTTTATAAATGTGGCTACATAAAATAATTGATTTTTTTATTTAAATATTACTATCAATTCTCTCATGAGAAGATAATAACTAGAACTTTCAGTTTAGGATTATATGTGTAATTACCAGGGAAAAAAGTGTCTTGCTTACTTACAGAAATGAATTCTTGAAATTCAGGTAGATGAAGTTATTTGAGTAATTCTGTGATGAAAATCCTTAGTTATATGGGGAAAAATAGGTAAAAATTCACAGACCCATCAGCCTAAAATTGCAGTATAATTGCTGATTATCACACTGGAGAGTGGCAGTCTCTGTTCTGAACTAATTTGATGGTAGATCCATGCTGTAATTGATATATAGCTATTTATAGTCTTTTTTTATTTTTAGAGTGAATATTCATACGTTTCACCATGTTCCTGAATGCTTCTCTAGACTCTGCTGAAAGTATTATGTGATTTATGTACAGTATTAACTTTCAAAAATCTGAAAACTTTATATTCTGCAATACATATTTCAGATAAGAGACTGTGAACCTGTATCTACCTCACAGGGTTAGTACGAAGATTAAATGAGATGATTGAATTAAAACACATAGTGTAGTTCCTGGCAGATGATAAACATTGTGCTCTTGTTACCATTATCTTTTTAAAAAATAAATATCATCATCAACATACTGATTAAGGAGTTTATAAAAAGTAATTCAAGTATAGGGGGAAATATTTGCAATTTAATGGGAAGAATTTCATAATTATAGAGAAGAAAGGATTTGTCTACATTATAGCATGCTGTAGAACTTTCCACAGTGATAGAAATTTTAGTTCCTTTTTATCCGGTGTGATAGCCACTAGCCATGTGTACCTATTGAGTATATTAAATAAGCCAGGCAGCTGAGCAACTGAATTGTAGATTTTATTTAAGTTTAGCCATAAACTTAGCAAACAGCTACCATATTGGGCAGCACAGAAGAAATATAGTAAATACAAATTATTTATAGAATGCTTCTTTTCTGGGTTGCATCTGTTACATTTTTATTGAGATGGGAAAAATACATTTTACATGTTATAACCTGTTTTTATATTTGATTTTAACACGGTCATTGATTACTTTTTTCCTGTCTCTCTTTTTTAAGTTGTCATTGTCCCACAGTTCTTTATAGCTTTGAAGATGTTAATTTTTGGCTACTTTGGCAAGTCAGATTTGATTGAGAAGTTTAATATTACATTTATGTTCCATTTTTTAGAAAGTATGAATAATAAAGAAATGTGTTCAGTTTCTTAAAAATGTTCTTTTGTGAATGTATTTATATATATATATACTCTTAGTCTTTCTGAAAAATCCTATGACTGTAGCTCTGAATGTATTACACTTCATTATTATGTCAGCATGTGTAATTGAATATGTAATGTCATTGTGAGTTTTAGGTTCTCATTTTTATGTAGCTAGATTTACAAAATTTCTGGTAGCTGTAAAATTAGCAATGTTATGTAGTATTCTGTCAATTCATTATTTTTATTATGGTGAGATTTTGAAAACTTGTTAGTTTAAATGTACCAGCTTCAAAATTAATCTTTAGAAAAGGGGGACCAGGTGTGGTAGCTCATGTCTGTAATCCCAGCACTTTTGAGGGGCTGACGTCAGGGGAGCTCTTGAGGCCAGGAGTTTTGAGACTAGCCCGGGCAACATACTTGAGACGCTGTCTCTACAGAAAATAAAATTAAAAGCAATTATCTGGGCCCTGTAGTCCCAGCTACTTGGGAGGCTGAGGCAGGAGGATCACTTGCACCTAGGAGGTTACGGCTGCAGTGAACCATGATCCTGCCACTGTTCTCCAGCCTGGGTAACAGAGTGAGACTGTCTCAAAAAATAAAAAATAAAAAAGGTACTAGATAAAAATGGATTCTTGACCGGGCACAGTGGCTCACGCCTATAATCCCAGCACTTTGGGAGGCCGAGGTGGGCGGGTCAGAAGGTCAGGAGATTGAGACCATCCTGGCTAACATGGTGAAACCCCGTCTCTACTAAAAATACAAAAAAATTAGCCAGGCTTGGTGGCGGGTGCCTGTAGTCCCAGCTACTCTGGAGGCTGAGACTGGAGAATGGCGTGAACCCAGGAGGCGGAGCTTGCAGTGAGCCGAGATCGTGCCACTGCACTCCAGCCTGGGCGACAGAGTGAGACTCCGTCTCAGAAAAGAAAAAAATGGATTCTTCATTACTAAAAATATATCAGAGAGTGGTTAGTAGTTTTAGATAGGAAATTAATATTTGATGCCTATATTATATATTGATTTGCCTCGTTACAGTAAATTCTGTAAATTAAAAAAGGTGAGTGTAATTTTAGAAAAGAGTAGTAAATTCTTAATATAGTGGAATAAATCTTGTTGATTTTGACTTTTTGCTGGTTCTGAAGTCCCATGATAGTTAAGTTTGCCAAAGCACAGTTTTGATTATCTCTAGATGTGAGACTGATGGACACTTTTACATTACAGCCAAAGAAATGAGAATTGGGCCAGGCGAGGTGGCTCACACCTATAATCCCAGCACTTTGGGAGGCTGAGGTGGGCAGATCACTTGAGGTCAGTCAGGAGTTCGAGACCAGCCTGGCCACCATGGTGAAACCCTGTCTCTACTAAAAAAAAAATAAACATTAGCCAGGCGTGGTGGCACACGCTTTTAATCCCAGCTACTCAGGAGGCTGAGGCAGGAGAATTGCTTGATCCTGGTGGGTGGAGGTTGCAGTGAGCTGAGATTGCGCCACTGCACTCCAGCCTGGGTGACAGAGTGAGACTCTGTCTCAAAAAAAGAAAAAAAAAGAAATGAGAATTGATATATTCCAATGTGTTTTAAGATGTTAACATATATTAACATATATGTGTGTATATGTGTGTGTGTTTTTAATATACTAAAATATATAAAAAATATATATTCAAATGAGTATGCCATCTTTTGCAAATATATCTTTTTTGGACACCTATGTAGATTTTAAAAAAAACCTTAGCTGTGAAATACCATATGCCTTTGAAAAAAATGTTGTTGTAGTCATTAGAAAGTTTTCTAATTGGCATAACATTTTTTTCCTATGACAGAATAGAGTACACAACCACTTTTCTAGAGAAGAGGAGTGAGAATCTATTATCTTTGACTGCTTTCTTCTTACCTTTCATAGGTTTCTGTGTCTTAAAACAACTACGTTACAACCAGTTTTTGCCATGGCTAGTAGAGTTCTATTAGCCTTTCATGGCTTTCTCTCTATTCCTGTATTACACTGGTTAGTAATGTGTGTTTAATAGGGAAAGGGGGGGAAATTAAATTTTTGGGGTTGGCCTGGCAATCAATTAATATTTATTTATTCAACAAAAATAACATTCTTTTTGGTTGGAATTACTTTCCAAACATTCAGACTTGGAATACAACCCATTTCTAAGTCAAGCACTGATAGTATTTTTTATTCTGCCTCTTCCAATTTAGAATTTGTGCATATTAATGTCTTTTATATATCTCTAATCCTTTAGAAGTATGTGAACATAGTTAATGTTTATTTTTAATAGAAATAAAACTTCACTTATCTGGAATTTGTAATTAAATATAAATATTTCAAAAGGCAAATTGATACAAAGAAAAATAATGCTACATCTGAGTGATTAAGGTAGCATGATACAGTGGAGAAGACTAGGTTTGGAGCTGCAAGATCTTGGTTCACTTCTTTCTGTATTGGTGGATTTTATATTTTAGGAACAATTAACCCCCACCCCCAATGAAAAACCCTGGAAATTTTATGGGTAGGGGAACTGTTATATCAACATTTTATTCTATAATAAATGAAGTATTTTTTATACTTCCTCATAGAGACAGTTTATATTATTTTCTGAAAAGGAAAAAATTAGAAAATACAGAAAGTTCATAATTAACACCTTAATTATTAAATTAAATTAAATTAAAGTGCTTATTGGAGCTGGGCATGGTGGCTCATGCCTGTAATCCCAGTACTTTGGGAGGCTGAGGCAGGAGGATTGCTTGAGCCCAGGAGTTTAAGACCAGTCTGTGGTACCCCATCTCTAAAAAAAAAAAAAAAAGCCAGGTCTTTTGGCATGCTCCTGTGGCTCCTGATGCTTGGGAGGCTGAGGTGGAAGGATTGCTTAAGCCCAAGTGGTTGAGTCTGCAGTGACCTGTGATCGTACCACTGCACTTTAGCCTGGGTGACAGAGTGAGACCCTGTCTCCAAAAAAAACCTCAAAGTGCTATTAAGGCTTTGGTATTTATCTTTCCAGTTTCTTTCCAATGCATACAAAAAATTAAAAAATACCAAAAGCCCATATTATAATTACTACTGTGTAACTTGGGTTTTTACTTAATATATATCACAGGACTTTTCCATGTTGATAAATACACAGCATTATCTTTATAAGCTGCACTATAAACCCTAGCCTCAAGCGATCCTCCTGCCTCAGCCTCCCAAAGTACTGGGAATACAGGGGTGACCCACCACACCTGGCCTAAAACTTTTTTTTTCTTTTTTTAAATGTGTCTAGAGATCTCTGCATAGCAACATATAGGAGACTGTGTGTGTGTGTGTGTGTGTGTATGTGTGCGTGCATTTGTGTAGTTACTGTTTGAATAAATCAGGAAGCCTTAAATGCAGTGAAGCCCCTTATTATCCAAGGAAACTGAGACAATCCCTGAATGAGTTAGCAGCGGCAGTAGAAGTAATGAGATCCTCACACAGATGAGCAAAAAAGAAGATCATAAAAGCATCTATGATTCCTTTCCAAGCGAGGCATACACTTTGGGGTGTGTACATTTGTGTGTGACTTAATTTTTATGTTCTTAGTAATTTTTAGTCATTACTGTGCTTTTTTGGCAACTGTCCTTTTTTCCTTTCACCTGCTATATTGTGAACAACTATGTTATCAGATCTTTTTATTTCATTGTGTGTATATCTATCATATTATTTTTAATCCCTGCTGTTAAGTAATTAGGTTTTGTCCAGTTTTTCCACTATTATTAAAAATGATATAATGGAATCTTGAAACCTACTATTTGAAAGTCATAGAGGAATTTTTGAGTCTAAAGACTTTTTTGATACTAACTTCCTAATTTTTCCTACAGGAAAGTTGAACTAATGTATTTCTATCAAGTTATGAGAGCACCTCCCTCCATCTTCCCTGACAATTTTTAACAGTAAAAATATTGTGTTTTCAGCTTTTCTTTGACAACTGAGCTTGAAAATACTTTGGCCATTTTTATTTCTTCTTTTGTGCTTGTCTGTATTCTTAGTATAATTCTACTGTATTTTTTTTTCCTATTAAGGACCTTTGATATACTAAAGGCACTGACCTTTGGTTGATTATATTTGGCATTTTCCCTATTTTCCCCGCCAGCACCTAAATCTCGTGGTTGCCTTAAGGTTTGTATATAGTGATTAAAAAAAAAAATGAGTTTTCATTGCTCATATAGTTGAATCAGTCTTATATATCTTATTGCTTCTGTCTTTGACAGAATGTCCTACCCTTGATTTTGATACATATCTTCATGCACTTTCTTACATTTCATATTTTTAGTTTCTATGGTTTAATATTTAATCCATTGTTTTGTTTTATGATGTCAGGGAGGGTTCTAAGTTAGAATAATTTTTCTTCAAATTGATTTGCCAGTGTACTTACCATCTCAAATTATATAAGCCTTTATTTCTCCTCAGAATTGAAATACTACCTTTATCAGATAATAAATTATTTTAAACTTTTCTGCTTTGTTCCGTTGAGTAGTCTATTCCTTTGCCAGTACTGCATTATTTTAGTTATTATAGCTTCTTAATATGTTTTAATAGTTAGTATTATAGTTCAAGTCCATCCGCATAACTTTTCTTTTTAAAATATTTTTGACTCTTTTCCTATTTTTATTTTTCCAGATGAATTTTTAGGAATCATTTTATCAAGTTCCAAAACAAATTCTAAGTGCAAATTTTAAGTAGTTTCATTTTTCTTTTCTTTTTCTGCTTTTTGCTGTGTACTCAGATTTCAGACATTGGTCTGTGCAATTCATTTTACTTTTAAAGTTGATTAATGAAATCATTTTACATTTAGAAAGTTTATTTGAAACAACACTGGAGAGAAACAGTAAAAACAACTGACTAATGAGTGGGCCGGTTAACTACTGTACTATTAGAGACTCTGAAGAACTTCTCAGTTTTCTTTAATATTTGTTTTTCTTGCTAGAATGTAGAATTGTGCTGTGACTGCAGTATGTAAAAATCAGCCAAACTATTCCCTCAATTTTAAATCATGCAGTTATTGTCTTAATTTTGAATGGTAGTCATAGCTGGAAATAAATGACCAGTTTAATTTTTTTATAGATATATAAAACTGCATTCTGACTAATAGAATTATATATATGTAGATATCTATGCAATATAAGTAATAAAGAATAAAGGTATTTAATGTATTCTTTATTTTGTAAATACATGATCTAAGTGATCAAATGGTTCTATTTTAAAGAAATTATTTCTACAGTAGATTATGAATATTCATGACTACTTATAAACAGAATACTAGGTACAGTTGCTCCATAGTACTCTACTTGTAATACAGTGATGTCCTAGTGAATCATAGAAGCATAAAATGTACTTTGTTCCTAGGATAAATAGTCCCAATCTGTAATTTTGTTTGAATTTATAGATTTATTTTTATAGTTTTTGTTTTCTCTCCCCTTGGCTGGTAATTTTGTTGCTGTCATACCAGACTCCAGCAATGTTTCACCTTCTTTCCTTTTGAATGTTGCTTCCAGTCTACAACAGTATAGTAATCAAATTTATTAGATTTGTATCTATAATAAGAGTTCATAAACTAGGAAAACTTGATACACTTTCTTTTCTGAAAAAAACTACTTGATCTTTGGTGCATAAACATAATATCAGTTTTGAGAGGGGTTTGCTTACTCCTTGGTTCATATTTTTTATTGTATTTTCTAAGGCTGAAATTGTCAGGTAGACGATCAAAGGTTATTTGTAAGTCCTTTGGGACTGACTCTTTTCTCAATGAAATACTGTTAGGATTTTTAGTTAGATTGCTGTAGTTCAGTACACTTCTTTTGCTTATAAAAAAGGTCAGGTAATATTTATTTTCAGCTATGCCTAATTACCATTCATATCATTTTAAGGAAGCAGGCAAGACAGCTGGTTGGGATGGCAAAGATTTGAGGTAGGGGAGTTTGAAGAGAGTGGTAAAGGTTTGTTGTGTCAGCGGTAGAATTAGGGACAGAAAGCTAATTAGGAGTATACTAATTGTTGCCTAAGTTGTCAGTGACTCAGCTGAGCTTAGTCAGCATTTATAAGGCCTCTAACAGGCTGTATTACTCTTTTTCAAAGTGCTCAGCAGCTGGGCATAGGGCTGGGAAAGAAAGATAATTGGGTTAATTTAGGTATTTGAAGGGCAGATGTGGCAGAAGGCTATTGAAATTTGAGATGTTGGAGGTTCTGATCACTAACTTTGGGCTGGTTGGGAGGGATAGAATAGAAAGTATGGAGTTGATCAATTTGGAGAAAAATGGGGAGGGAGAAGGGATTGGAGATTTTAGTGAAGTATAAAACTAGGTAGAGTAGAAGTAGTAATTAAGAGAGCTGGAGGAACAGAAAATGTAACAGAAAATACAAGTATCACCTTGGAAATCTCATCGTCCTGGAAGTCTTCTTTGACATCTCCACTCAGTTTCCTTTCTGTGTGCTGTGGTAACTTATAATACTCTTTTAAGTCCTCATTTTACTATGTTACAGTGATCTTTTTATTTTTCTCTCTTCCTCACCATAAGCTCCCTGATTATGGGGATTGTTTTAAATTTCATGTTTTACAGTGCCTGGTACGTAAGTATGCCTGGTAGGTGTTGAATTTAGTAGAATGCATAGGAAGTTGTGATCTTGATGGGTTAGTATAGCGTAGGAGGGCAGTCTCTGTGGGAGTGGCTGAAGTGATGAGTGAGTTGTATACTTGAAGTGTTTTCACTAATTTAGAGCATAATTTTTTTGTATGTATCTTAGTTTCTGTGACCAGCTATTACAGTGGTCCTCAACCATTTTGGCAGCAGGGACCAGTTTCGTGGAAGGCATTTTTTCCACAGACCTGGGTTGGTGGGGTGGGGACATGGGGCGTATGGTTTTGGGATGCAACTGTTACACCTCACATCATCAGGCATTAGATTCTCATAAGGAGCGCAGAACTTAGATCCTTCGCGTGTGCAGTTCACTATAGGGTCGGAGAATCTAATGCTGCTACTGATCTGACACGAGGTAGAGCTGAGGTGGTAGTGTTCGCTCTTGCTGTGCAGCCTGGTTCCCAACAGGCCACGAACTGGAACTGGGGGTTGGGGACCCCTGAGCTATTATAAATCCGTCTGAAAATGTAAAGACTTCATTCATTTAGACACTACTGGGATATCTTAAATTTCCTGATTAGAACCTGGCATTTAGCTGACAAAAAGAGCTTATCCTTAAAATTTTTTGTTGTTTTCATGTGTTTTATAAGCTTCCTTTAAAAGGCATAGTAATATGATTATGACCACATCTTAGCAGCCAGAAATTATTTTTAGAAATTATTATTTGCTTTGAAGTTAGTTTTCATCCCCCTATTTTTCCCTCTCATTTCTACTCTCAACATTTAGTCTAAAGCAGTGTTACTCAGCAAGTTTGTGACTATTATTGGTCTTCTGTGAGAAAGCAGCTTGAGCCAAAATGTAAACCAATTCCCTGCTTCCTTTGTTGAAATAGTTTTCTTGTGATAAAAGGAGAAATTAAATGGTGTGTATTACAAATTACCTAATGTAATTGATTTACATTCTGGTGCAAATTCCTTGTATTTTATTGTGTACTTGAAACAGTTTTTAGACTAGCACCTGTTGGGCAGACCACATTTAATCTAGAAGATTATTATATACAAATGTTTTTTGTTTATTCATTCACAATTACCAAGTGGGTGCCTACTGTGTACTATGCACCATTCTAGGCTCTGGAGATATAGCAGTGAATAAAACAAACACAAAATCCTTAATCTCAGGGCTACATTCTAATTGTATTAGAAATATCAATTTTATTTCTCATTTCTCAGAAATACTTTTGTTTTTGTAGTAAACTGTATTCTTGCAGTTTATAGTTTTGTGTATAAAAACTTTAGACTTAATTGTATGTATCTTTACATATAGTGGCAATACTACTTTATATTTTTGGCTCTAGTAATTTTTTTTCCTGTGACTAATAAAACCTTTGAAAACAGTAATTGCTTATTTGAGTCACTTCCCAATTTTACTTGAAATTAGCTTTTCTGAAGCAAAGATCTTTTTATTTAAAAGGAGATGTAAAAGGAATTAATTTTGAATAAAAGAGAACATTGACAACATGAACTGATTATGCAGTGGATGGAATTGTATGTTAAGCAATCATTGTTTGGTTGCCTTTCTTATATTCTGACAGATGACCTGTTTGTCAGACTTCAGAGTATTTTAGAGACTATATTGAAATAATATAATTTTAATGATGAAATATAAAGAGCAGCAAATTGATGAAAACCAGTGAAACAACCTATGACTTAAAAAAATGAATCTTCCAGTGCAATGGTTCCCAAACCTTAGTGTGCATTAGAATCACCTGAGAGCCTTGCTGAACCATTAAACTGCTGGGTCTCACCTCCAGCCTTTCTGATTGAATAAATCAAGGGTGAACTCAGCAATTTGCCTTTCAAATAAATTCCCAGGTGATGTTGATGTTGGTGATCCAGAGACCATACTTGGAAAACTAGTGCTTTTATATAATGTCATCTTGTAGTGCCCCGATTTATCAATAAGTAGCTAATTTAATCATAGCCGTAGCAGATGGTGACTTAAAGAAAACTCAGCAGGTAAACTGAAAGCCAAGAAAGAACCCACATTTTTCTTAATCCTTATTTTAGTGGACTCATTAAATGGAAGATTGTGGGACAAAATATAGAGAATTATTGTGATTCCATAATTGTGACTTTAAATATGTAGAAGTAGACTGAAATACTAGCGATATTCTTTTTTCCCCCTCTAGTGTAGTTGTCCCTAGAAGAACTAAATTGAAATTTAAATACCCCATTTGTATTATAGGCAGTAACATTTATAATCAGGATCCCACTGATTTACGTAATGACAGAATTTAATGATACCAGTGGAAAGATTATAAACCTCTTTCCACTCATAAATTCATTTATTCAACATTTACTAAGTACATGTGGTGTGCCATGAACTGTGTATACATTTGTGGAAATAAATAATTATAAATTGTGATAAGGACTCTGAAGGAAAATGTACAGGATACTATGAGATAGTGTAATGGGGGAACTAAAGCCTCTCAAAGAGAGTTCATTTAAGCTGAAACATGAAGGATCGATAGGAATTTTGGTTACACAGAGTTGTGGGAAGAGGAAATATCACTTCCATCACTAAATAGGTAATGTGCACTAACATCTTCCTATATATTATTTCATTTAATGCCTTGTTAGTTGAATGATATTATTGCCAATTTTTTTTTTTTTTTTTTGAGTTGGAGTTTTACTTTGTCACCCAGGCTGGAGTGCAGTGGTGGGATCTTGGCTCACTGCAACCTCCACCTCCCGGATTCAAGTGATTCTCCTGCCTCAGTCTCCTGAGTAGCTGGGACTACAGGCATGCGCCACCATACCTGGATAACTTTTTTTTTTTTGTATTTTTAGTAGAGACGGGGTTTCACTGTGTTGGTCAGTCTGGTCTGGAACTCTAGACCTCAAGTGAGCCTTCTACCTCGGCCTCCCAAAGTGCTGGGATTACAGGCGTGAGCCACCGTGCCTGGCTATTGCCAAATTTTAGATTAAGAAAATGAGGAGACGATAAAACTAATGGTAGAGAATTTTTTTTTAGAATTTAGAATTTCTTTAATAGAAATTAAATAGCTTTCCAGAGTCATCCAGCTATTCAGTGGTAGAACTGGGATTAGATTTGGTCTTTCTGACTCCAGAGTCAGACTTTTAACTGCTATGTTATATTAGATTTAAACTTATTTTCTTAATTATTAAATAATGTAAGTATGCCCCTTTTTTCTCATTTCTATGGAAATGAGAAAGGTGCTGCTTTTAACGTAAAAACTATAAGCTAGACATAAGCAGGCCATTTAGAGGGATACATACACATATCCACATATCCACACATGTGTACACATGCATACATACCTATTTATATAACTTTAAACTTTCTCTGATTGTAAAAGTAATGCATTTGTTTGAGATTTTGGAATCTCTAGAACCAAGGAGGGAAATAATTTTTTCATTCACAGGTAACCATACTGACATTCTGTTTCATTATTTCAGTAGGCATGTAGTATTTTTTAAAAATAGTAATTACAATGTGAATACAGAATTATTCTCTGATAAATAGACAAACAGTGTTTTAATGAAATATACGTCTTTTTTTTTTAAAAAAAAGAATTGTGAAGTTCTTTTTTGGATGTAGAAAAATAAAGTATTTGGATTTCACTCTTCTATTTAAAGGGAATAATCTCACAGGATTATGTTTCTTTTATTTAAAATTTTTTTCTCTGTCATGTGCATATTCCCTTGCTTTTGCAGACAGACCCCAAGAATGCTGGGGAATTTAAAAATATATGGAATGTAAGCCTTGCTGCATTTATGTTTATTAACCAGTTTAAAAAATATATTAAAGGTCAGATTTTGTTTTTCTCAAACTTAACATCTTGCCTATAATGATACATGGATATTCCTTTTGGGTTCATTATGTGCCATAGTGATTTATGTTGAGGTATTTCTTTTGTGTACATCTACCACCAAAAGATTTTAAATACAATTGCAGAACTTTACATTTGTAACTTGAGAAAGAAGGAAATACATCTTAAAATCAGAACACTGTTCCCTAACAGTCATATATATATCAGTGAAATCGAATTCATTTTAAAGAAATTTAATTATTCACTGTAGTTTAATTTACTATATCTCTTAATTCTAAGGTGTTGAATATAAATTAAATTTAGATGTTAGCCAGATATCCCATTATTTCACTTATCTTAATATGATACATGTAAATAATTCTTTAGTCTTAGCTTCTTTCTTTGATAGTAAACTCACACATATTTGTGGGGTATTTTTATTTAAAATGTGTTCAATTTTTAATTATATAAAGTACCACCTCTCTTTTCAGCCATGTAAGTTATTTTTAAGGCATTTTCTTTTCTTATATAGTATTTCTTTAGCTGTTACCACGTCCCTTTGCTAAGTCCTCCTACTTTTTGTTTAGGCACTTGTTTATTTGTCCATCCACTTCCACCTAATGTTTCATTAATTCATTTAAGAAATGTTTATTGAGGCCCGGCGCGATGGCTCACGCCTATAATCCTAGCACTTTGGGGGGCCAAGGTGGGCGAATCACCTGAGGTCAAGTTTGAGACCAGCCTGACCAACATGGTGAAACTGGGTCTCTACTAAAAAAATATAAAAATTAGCCAGGCATGGTGGCCTGCACCTGTAATCCCAGCTAGTCAGGCAGAGGCAAGAGAATTGCTTGAACCCAGGAGGTGGAGGTTGCAGTGAGCCGAGATCGCACCACTGCACTTTGGCCTGGGCAATAGAGTGAGACCCTATCTCAAGAAAAAAAAAAAAAAAGAAATGTTTATTGAATTCCTATTATATGCCAGGCATTTGGCTAGATGATGTGAAAAGAAAGTAAGAGTGGGAGAGAGGGAATTCTTGTGTATCTGTGCTACCAAGAGAGTGTGTAGTTTAGTGTACTGTATTGTATCTCTGTGCTTAATGAAGTTGCCTGTGGGGCTGCTCAGGAGGGCATGCGAGGTTCTAGCTACCCTCTCACCCTTCTTCGTTTCAACCCTGTAGACTCCTTTAAAAATCTATTTTATTTATTGGGCTTTCTCATAGCATTTCCTATGAACAATGGATTTTGCAATTTAAAAACTTCAGTATCACCTGTCTAGTAGAATTATATATATTTACATATATACATAAGTAGAGTGAGAATCTTACACACATAGAAACTGAGAGAATGACAGGTGGTAGATGCAGGTAAGTATGTGAAAAGAGTTACAGATATGCTACTATAGGAATATGGAGGTGGATCAGAGAGTTTTCAATTTGGAGGATGAAAGCCAGTGAAAATAGTGTCGTTTGAGATTTTTCTTCAAGGATAGGCAATATTTAGCCCTGTAGAGATTTGTAGGTAGGGTGACAGTGAGGATAGGTAGGGAATATTGCAAGTACGGGAGACAGCATGATCAAAGACACAGAGGCAGGGATGAGGCATTTGGAGCAAATAGCTTACTGTGTCTAGAGAGAAACTGGGTCATAGAAAATACAGATAAAACATGATTAGTATCAAAATGTGGCAAGCTTTGGCAGACTGAGGAGTTAAGTCTTTTTCAAAGACAATTGGAAACCTTTGAAAAATGTTTGAAAGATAAAGGTACGGTGTGCATTGATACTCATTAAGAAGAATTGATAATGCATCATGTAAAATGAGTTGGCTGTGGAAAGACCTATTGTAGTAGTCCATGTAAGAGGGAATGGGAATGAAGAATAGCAAGCAAGTGTAAGTGATATTGCATAGGTTAGATTGTTAGGTCTTGGGGATTTATGAGATTAGAGAATTAGTTACCAAAAATGATTCCAAGGTTTCTATCTTAGAGGACTAGCAAGCTGATCGTGCCATTAAGCTGCAGGTTTGAGCGTTGGTTTATCATTTGTATCCTGGTTGAGGAGTCTATCATAATTATTTATAATACTAAAGGATTAAAAAATGGAAATTGAGATGAAGCCTGAAAGGAATAGAGATACAAAATTAATCTAGAAGGTAAAAGTCTGCAGAGATGCATATAATAAAGTCCCTCTGGTTGCTGAGATGGGGCAAAAGTTTTACTGTCAACCTCATAGCAAATAGGAAAACATGTCATTTGAGCATGACATTTTACAGTCTTTAACAATCAAGTGAACAGAAGTTTTATTTATAATACTAAATTGTAATAGCTTATCTTTGATATTTTTATAAAGTGTCAAAGATTTTTATAAGTATTCTGACATCTTGTATTAATATCTCATTTAAATCTCAAAACATCCATGTGAGGCAGCGCAGATGAGTGGGTAGTTTCTCCTCTGTTTCATCCCATGAGGAACGTTTTAATGTACAGCCTTTTTGTTACATAAATCAGTTTGCTAAATTCTGATTCAGCTAGGTGAAACAGATTTCTAAACTCACCAGAATGAAGCTTGGCTTCAGAGCATAGTCCATGGCAACTACTAAACTATCCTGCTTGTAAAGAGTCCCTTAAACTTCAGGGATTTAAAAATTCTGTACCATTAGTTTTACCGTCTCCCTTGTCATAGTCTGAATCTTGGCTTACTGCATTTTTAACTTCTGAAGTGGCCTTCTTTTTTAGGTCCACCAAGTATATTTCTCTTTTGTCTTAAAGGCAGACTCACCTTTCATATTTAGGATTTTTTTTCTCTAGGCTTTCCTAGCCAACCATGAAGAGCTAGTTTATACACTTTACCTAAAAAGTTAACATGCTTTTGACATTCCTGATTTTTAATGGGTTTTAAATTTGTGGTAGGCATAGCTTTTTGTGGCCTCTTAATAGTTTTTGTTGTGCATATCGTAAAGCAGTTAAGTACTTAATTGATAATGTTACTGTTCTAGACGTTCAAAGGAAAATGTACATATATGGGCTCTCCACTGGATATTTAGAATCTAAGGCACTGCTCATTTGGACATGAATGAAAAAAAAAACCATCAGAGAATGAAAACAATAAAGCACTGCATGAATGGGCAACAAAGTACATTGTTTATAGCTAAGGGCAAGTCAGTTTTAAGGGTGGAGAGCAAAAATAAGTATACAGACAAGGGGAAGTTTAGGCCAAGTATAAATGAAGTGGTTCCCAACTGTATAAGAAATAAGATTGAAAATTCTGGTTCAAGTAGTCTAAGAAACCCCTGCAGAGGAGCTAAACTTCTAGGAACTTTGTCATGGTCTAACTCTTTGTATACTACTAAGTATTTAGTGGATGTTCTTTCTCTTTGTCATATCCACTTCATATCAACTTTTATCTCTCCGAATAAAAGGAATTTGAATTGCTCTTTAGTTTGACAATTTTTCATATATACAATTGTCTCATATTTTCTGTTTTATTCAATTAGTAGTCATGGAGAGGAAAAAAGACAGGAATAGGCACCTGTGATTGTAAAATATTTTACCAGTAAACAACTAGTATAGAATATCAAGGGCAACTGGTTATAAAATGAAAGCCTGTAGACCTGTCAGGTGGAGGTCTTTGATGGCTAAGATTCTAATATGGGTTATTAAAAGCATGATTTTAAGCACCTAGAAGGTGAGTAGTTGGAGCCAAATGGTTTTCCTCAGCAGTAGTCATGCCTCACAAACTTCTGTGTTACATCAGAGCTACTGGATAGCTGTCTCAGGAACATGGGACAGAGACACCATTTTTAAACTTCATCAAGGCTTTTCACAAGCTTGTGGTGAGACATCATTGACAACATGAAGAAATATAGACTAGTAGCTAGTTCGTACTGTTATGCAACTTAATAATTTGCAGAATGTCTCAAATTATTGAAGGCATTTTTTACAAGAGAGAGTTATGTACATAGGACCTTCTCTCTTAATCAGTCATTGTGGGTAAACTGAGGGGTGTATGAATGTGAAAATTCTATTCAGGTTTGAAAAGCTGCCTTTTGGAGGTGCAATTATTATAGATTAGATGATCTCTGTTAGTCTCTCGAGTCCTTCAGAATTAAGAGTAAACTACCAGGTGCTCTTCACTCAGTATCAGAACTCTGAAACAGATCAAGTGAACAACTTTAGGGACCTTTAGTAGAGAAGGGGTTTCACCATGTTGGCCAGGATGGTCTTGATCTTCTTGGTCTGCCCGCCTCGGCCTCCCAAAGTGCTGGGATTACAGGTGTGAGCCACTGCACCCGGCTGAGATTCTGCATTTTTAACAAGCTTTCAGGTCATGCTGATTCTGCTGTTTTGTGAGCCACACTATGAGTATGAGTTTAGACTTAAGATGATTTAAGGTTTGGAAAGTTGATTATATTTAATAATTGTAATGCTTTTGTCAGATCAGTGTAGACACTTTACATTTTATTTAACTGGAAACTTTCAAGGTAGGTGGTAATATTTTTACAGATGAGGAAATTGAGACACAGGGAGCTTAAATGTTGGTTGCTCAGGGTTATGTACTAGGCGCTATAACTGGAATTTAAACTTAACACCAAAACCCCTGCTGTCCTTGTGTTTCCATGACATTCTATGGTTTTCATGAGAATACTTTTTCGATTTACAAATATCTTGTAATTGGAGGACTTTGTTCTGTTTCTTACAACTTGAGCATGAAAAATTAAAAACATTGTTCTTCATATGTATTTTTTTGTATGGGTTCAGGAAAAATAAGCTTTTAAAACATTAACGCAAACTATTAACTAAATTTTTGAAATTTTATGTATTGATGGTTTTTAATTGAAAAATATTGGCAAATAAAAAAAAAGGCTTCCAAAATCCTGCTACTGTGTAAACCTTATATTATGACTGTTTTGAGTTCCTCTGATATAGAGGCACTCTCATATTATTTTTAAAAATGGAGATTGTAGGGCTGGGTGTCGTGGCTTATGCGTGTAATCGCAGCACTTTGGGAGGCCAAGGCGGGTGGATTACGAGGTCAGAAGATCGAGACCATCCTGGCCAACATGTTGAAACTCCATCTCTACTAAAAATACAAAATTATCTGGGCGTGGTGGTGCGCACCTGTAGTCCTAGCTACTCGGGAG
This sequence comes from Homo sapiens, assembly GCF_000001405.40. Taxonomy (NCBI): domain Eukaryota; kingdom Metazoa; phylum Chordata; class Mammalia; order Primates; family Hominidae; genus Homo; species Homo sapiens. Next base: position 45,342,381 of record NC_000006.12, on the reverse strand, counting down.
GCTGAGGCAGGAGAATCGCTTGAACCCAGGAGGCGGAGGTTGCAGTGAGCTGAGATTGTGCCACTGCACTCCAGCCTGGTGACAGAGCGACACACTGTCTCAAAAAAAAAATTGAGATTGTGTTATATATAACTTAGTATTCTATTTTTTTTTCACTAGGCACAACTGTAGTGACAAAGAGAACTCATTCTATTTATAATAAAAACCCTTTCCTATTTTCCTCATGATCATTGGCACCATCAACCATTCTGTCCTAAGTGGCAGTCTCATTTTCCTTATTCTTTGCCTCTTCCATAACTGCTGCCAAATTCTTCTGTTAGTTTCTTTGTAATATCTCTTCAACTTGCCCATATTTTTCAGTCCAGTCTCCGTTTTTTTTTAATGCTAGGTTAATAACTACTAAATCACCATGTTATTTGTGAATTTATTCTCTGCTGTTTTGGTTGACTGTTCTGGCTGTACACAGAACCTTTTGTCTATCTTCATACATCTTTTTAGTGGCTTCTGATGAAATAAGTGTGAATAATTGTAGGGTTTAAACTAAAAGCGATGAATTATCTTAGTGTGTCATTTTTAATTTGTAACCACATCTTTTTCTAACTTCTTGCCTTCATTGCCAGATAGGGTACCAGAATCTGAGAACTTGTAATAATATTGCTACTGCTGAGGACTTTTAACTATCTGTTATTCCGTAGTTATTTTCATGTGTATACATTTTGCCATTTCATTCCTTTCTTTTTGTTACCTCGAGTCTTATGCCATTGTACTCTTTATGAAGTTGCGGAGACAAACTCACTTTTAACCTTTTTCAGTGGATGTTTCTAATGAAAACTAATATGAAAATTTGTGTTTTCCTTTTAAAATGTAGTTATGACTTTATACTTGCATATGTATTTATTTTAGTGTGATCCTACCTCATGTAGCTTTTAAAAGTTGTTAGTTTGCTCATTAAAATATTACCTATCAAGTTAAATATAGGTGCAGAATGATTGGAGAAGTCTGTTGAGATTCATAGATCCCCAAACAGCTTTTCTCTTTTCCTTAGTGCTTTATCTTTGCAAAATATCTCATGTATCATATCATAACCTATGGTTTCTAATCAGCATTTTTTCTCAAAACCATATAGACTGAAAAATATAATCTCATAGCTTTATTCCTACCCTCTGCCAGAGAAAAAAGCGGAGCACTTTTGTGGCTTGTTTGAGAACTTTTTGTTTTGAGTAATAATGTGGATAATTGTGGTTAAAATTGGGGTGAATAGTACATGTCAAGGATTTACTTCTTAGAATCTTGTGCAGTATTTTTTTGGTAGGCACAGGAAAAAGTACACTTACTAGTGGATTTTTGTGAATATCAAATGAATTAGAATTTAAGAAATTATAATTAGAAGTTAAAGCTTAGAAATAAAGGTTGTCTGGATCACTTAGCATATGTGTAGGGGTATAGGTCTTTGTAAATGGGGCTATGAGACCATAGTATAAGGAATGCTACAGATAAATATAGGAAGTAGGATTTGATTCCAGATCTGACACCAAAGCCTATGATTATAATCATATTTATGATACAAGATTATTTTAATTTTATAAATGAGGATTAGACATTCTTGGTGTTTAAGTGTTTAATTTTTTACCCCTAAATTATATTTTTATATCACATAGAGTATATATGTGTATTGTGGACATTAAGACTATTAATTATAATGATTAAGAATTATCTAATTCCTTGAAACTTTTTTTTTCTGATCAAACTCGACCTAAAGGCCAGGTGCGGTGGCTTATGCTTATAATCTCAGCACTTTGGGAGACTGAGGTGGGAGGATCGCTTGAGCCCAGTAGTTCGAGACCAGCCTGGGCAACATGGCAAAAACCTGTCTCTACAAAAAATTACAAAATTATCTGGGCGTGGTGGTGCGTGCCTGTAGTCCAAGCTACCTGGGATGCTGAGTCGGGAAGATCCCTTGAGCTCAGGAGGTCAAAGTTGCAGTGAGCTGTGATCATGCCAGTGCACTCTAGCCTGGGTGACAGAGTGAGACCTTGTCTTGAGGGGGAAGGGGGCTTAACAAACCTCACCTTAATCTTATTCCTTGATATACTTTTATTTTTTCTTAATCTCTTTGGTTCTGTCAGATTAGTATTTCTTAAAGATATGTGGCAGGGTAATTTGAAGACTCCAGGATTATCTTCTTGTTTGTATTTTATTGGTTTAATAACTTTAGAATAATTATGTTTCTGAGAACTAACACCTTTACAGATGAAATTGATTGAGGACTAGGAAGTAACTTCATTTAGATCATGTATAACACTGTAAAGTGGTAATTAAGAGTTAAAAGGCTTGGGTTGGAATCCCATCTCTTCAACTCTGTAACCTTGAGCAAGTTCCTTTACCTCATTCTCAGCTTCCTCATCTGTAAATAATTATGATACATGTCTCATATAAGGGAGTTGTAAGAATTAAAGGAAATAATGTTTATAAATGGCTTAGCATAGTACCCGGTACAGTAAACGCTCGACAATGAAAGCTAACAAAGTACAGTTTCAATTAAGGTATACTCTATAAAAATTATAGACTATGTTAGTTACATTGATTTTTCAAAATATGTTGTCTAATTAAATTAAAACTTTAATAAATTTTAAATAATTTAAAACAACATTTAAAATAAAGTTTTGGATTAGATTGATTATGTACTTAGAATAGCTATTTGAACCTAATAGAAAAATAAGAATATTAATGTTTTTGGCTATAGTCATCTTATGGAATCCTCTGTACTTCTTATTTTCCTTATTAATATAGCTTGTTAAACACAACTTTATTTTTCTTATTAATATTACTGGTTAAACACATAACCATTGACTATCACCTCTATTGGAAGAAAAGGAAGGAAAGAAAGGAACTAATTTTTTCTTGTGAACAAGCTTTACAAATGTTTATTGGGGACACAATTTGGAATTAATATATTTTGGATATGCATTTTGTCTTTAGCTTATTTCTAGGAGTATTAAAAGTTGGCTATCTATTGGCTCACAATCTTGGCTAATTTATCTAGGGAGTTTTGTTTTAAAAAAGTTCTGAAGGCTTTCTCTCCACAAGCTGCTCTTCCCCAAGACTTACTCCCCAGGTAATTCTGTTGATCAGCCAGATTTGGATACCACTGTAACATAAGAAGTCTTGTATAGGCTAGTGAATTCTTTAATGGAATACTCTTTCAATCCCTTTTTTCTTAAAGCCTTATAGTCAAGTAATAAGATTACTTAGCCTTATAGTCAAGCAATAAGGCCATAACTATCTTAGTTTGCAAGATATTTATGGCAAGTATGTCTTCTTTAATGTAAATATTCTTATTTTTAATTTTTCTTCTTATATTACCTTATTTCTATGTTTTATGTCACCCTGCTTATTACATGTCATTTTATACTCACATGAGTGTAAATAGTTTATACTTATGTGTCTTCAGCTCAGGACTAGAATTTGTATGAGGCAAGCAAAGTGCCTAGGGCACAAAATTTAAGGAGGCTGTCTCTTTGAGGACTGTGCAAGAGTGAGTACCTCCTTAAATTTTGTGCCCTGGATGCCTCCCTTGTCTCATCCAGAGAAATAGGCTGCATATAAATTATTTTTATTTTAGTTTAGCATAATCTCATGCATACTTGGATGTTTTATAAAAAAATTGATGACAAAACGAAATAGTATAGCTGAACCCAAATTTATATTGCCCAGTATAAAAATAAATTAACTATTTGAGAAAGATAGTATTATTATTTTTATCACATGGTCAGTAACCCTCAGAGCTTCCTAAATTCCAGTTCAGCAGAATCTTGTTTGACACTGAAATACACTTGGTTGTTTTACCTACTGGCAGCTACCTGAAATCAGTGCTCTTGTAGCTGTCAAAGTTTCTTAATTCAAAATATAGTACCATCAGCTTTTTATATAAGCTTATATGTGATCATTTGAAGTAATCAGAAATGATACCAGTTTTATTGTATTTTTATTACTGATTTTAGAATTTCTTGAGAAGTTGCCTATAATTTTTTTTTTTTATGAGAGCTACATCTGGAAATGCTCAAAAGTTGTTTGCCTTTTTTGAGAGAACAATCTGCAGTGAAAGTATAACTTCTTTAGAGGTGATGTTTAAGTTAGCAAATGCTGAACCATAATGTGAGGAAGCATAATATTGTGAATTATTTGGCAAACATACCTAATACAGGCATTAGCTGTTGAAACCATTTGTAAAGTACAACTTACAGAAAGCTAGAAAGATAGGCTACACAGAACTTTATCTGTAAACTCTGAGGATGAAAACTAGAGTACAACTTAAGTTTATTCAATAAAGACTAAATTCTGTAAGTTTAAGTTTGATTTGTTTATAGGTTCCATGATTAATGTGTAATTAGAGTATGAAAGAAGCATTTAGAATCCTTTAAAATTTATAGGTGATAACATCATTGTCAAGTCAGGAGTTTTGTTTCTTAAAGTTAGAATTTACTTAAATATACTTTTTCTCTAAAAAAATAAAATCTTATTTCTACTTACAGTAGTACCAAAGTGAGTTTTCGCAAAAAGAATTATTTAATATGTATTTAATATTTGTTTCAAATAAACAAAAATAAACATAACAACCAACAGTGGAGGGGCGTCTTAGATTTGTTTTTAGCTTTCTTTTTCATGGCTTCTAGAAGTGTATCATATTATAAATACATTCAAAATGTTTTGCTCTGAGGATATGTAGCATTCCTATAAAGGTTAAATCAATAAAAATGATTTGGACACATTCCTAAGCATGGCTAGAACAGGTAGTCCGTTGTTTTAGGTACCCTTGAGTTTCTGGAGCAGATCATTATGGCGTAGCAAAAGAACTTACTAAAAGTTGCTTTCTATGTGTAGATGCATCAGCTTAAAAAAATAAGATTTTCTGGCCTTCTAGAAATGAGTATTTTTAGAGTAACCCTTGTATATATTGATTTAATTATATATTTTAAATGCAGTTAAAGTTTTGGAGCTTTTTTTTCTTCGAATGCTGGAGATACACCATAATTGATAAGGAAGAGGTACGTACAGGAAAAATGCAATGGCAAGCTTTTCCAGCAAATTTAGAATAAATGACAGTCTTATGGTTAAAGAAAGTATCACACATTATAATTGCAAAATAGGGATTGGATGTGATTCTTTTTAGTCTTGCCAGTTTAGAAAAAAATTCTGTAAGTCATTGGCATGTTGTTCTGTTCATATGGGCAGTTCAAAAGGCAAGCTTTAATTTGAGCTTTTATTTTAGAAAGCATATGTATATCTCCTATGTTCGGGGTTGGCTTCTCACTATATTATTGTTGCTATGTAGTTTTATGCATTTGCTTGCATTTTTTGTGTTCATGTCATAAGTTTTAAGTATGTAAGTTTTCAGATCACACTGTTTTCACAGCAAGTTTCAAAAAATATTTTTATGCCAGTTTATAATAATGAGTAAGGCCATTTTTATTAAAGTTTCCTTTAAAACAGCATTTAAGATGTTTCTGGATCAAAAAAATTAAGTGAATTGACCATGTATTTGAATGAAGAAAGTTTAAAACAGAGGTAGAAAATTTGAGTTACATGTATTATTAATGAAGTTATATTATAGAAAATCACTTCCTATCTTTTTGTACATCTAATATGTATTTACTTTGTAAGTAAATACTTTATTAAAAATACTGTGTTACAGTATTTCTTGGAGCACAGGATTTAATTTTATAGTCAAGAAAATTGTTTGAATACGTCTGAGTAAAAATTTATTGTACATATATAGAGTGGTTTAACCATTTAATAATTAAATAATTTAGCAATTTAAGCCAAGTATTTTGATGTTTTAAAAAATATTTAAGTGTATCTTGATAGATTCTGATTTTAGTGTGTCTTGTGTCTTGATAGGACCAGAATATTTATGAAAATAAAAATAAGCCTAATAATCAGCACATGGCTCTAAATTTTCTTCCTGGGTACTTGTGAGTGATAATGTTAAAAACAGATCACTTTATGTGTTTTCTCTAGTCCTATTGGTGTACAAAAATATTCTGCAATATGCTTATGCGTGTTATAAGGGAGGGATATTGTTAAATCTTTACTACATAATCAAGAATAAAGCTTTCGTGACAGTACTCATTGTCCTTATCTAGCTAACACTTTTAAAATGAAGTGGTTACTAGTGGTAAAAAGTTTTTAAAATGTTAAGTTTTCCTTCTAAATTACAGAGAGAGAAATAATGTATATGTGTTTGGTTTTGAAAACTGGGAGAATAGAAGAATTCTGGGTGGACACTGGAGTTTATAATATGTGAAAAGGAGTTTCTTCTGTGGAAAGGAGGTTGGATTAATGATCAAAAGTTGGAGTACATTGACTTGTATATTTCCATTTCTTTAGAAATACACTGTAGCACATTGTCTTTGTAAGTAGTATCTCCATAGGCATTATCTTCTTAAATATTTCATTTTTGCATTGACTCTTATAAGAGCAGTAGCAAGTTTTTCTGCATTTTGTCAAAAGCTGAATTACCGAAATGCTTTACAGATTTCATGAGAGGTAAAAAAATTAATCTTATTAGATTATCTTTTGTAACCATTTATCCTGCCTAATGTTAAGATGCTGTTGTCTTGATGGGAGTTTTCTCATAGATTACTTCATGGTGTCTTAATATTTTTGAATTGGGTGTTAGGTTCTTAGTATGAAATGCTTATGTACTTTCACAGGTATCAGCTTTATGGAAAACACAGTGATTGATATAATGTGGATTGTTAGCATAAAGAAGTTTCCTTTCTGTGATCCTGTACAGTTGTTACAGATATCTGTAATCTGACAGTTTATGAAATAAAATGAGAATTTACTTTTATCTAAAAAAATGTATTTTAATGAGCTGTGTTTGCATTAAAGTATCTTATAATAAAATTGTAATTGATTGAAGAGAATCCATACTGTGTACCTTTTTGATACACATGGATTTTCTAGGATCGTTATAGTGATACAGCAGTAGGTTGACATGTTGTAAAATGTAATACCATATTACATAGTAAAATAAATGTCATGATCCTTTCTTTTAAGCTTCAAAGTAAATTCACATTGTTTAGATACATTTAAATAATTTGTAATCATTTAGTAAAATTATATCTTTTCACTTAAAATTATATTGGGAATTTGAAGTCTTAAACTGGGAAGTTCAGTACAGAAATTTAAAAAGAAAGTTAATTCTAGCAATTATCATAGAAAAATTAGAAATTCAATGCTTAAATTGTTTACCCAGGTTACATGGTCAATGAGAAAATATACCTGTTTAGCTTCAAGCCAGAGTTGTTCTTTGAGATAATATTTATAAATAGGAATCTATTAGCAAATTAATTCCATTCATATTTGCCCTTATAAACTCTAATACTTTGTTTAACTGATATCAGTTTTTAATTATTGTTACTTAAGTTTATAACTGGAAAATAACATCTTTGGATTTTATAAGATTGATTATTTTAGTCTTGAAATTCCTAGTAGATGCCTAATCCCTGTTACTGGTTTTATAGATTGACATTTGTTAACTTACATGCAAAAAAATTTTGATTATATTTCATGACAGAACTATAGTACCTCAGTTACATAATTTACAATTTTTTTCCTGGTTTATAATCATTATTACAAGTTCTGTAGTCATTGGTGTGAATGCATTCACACTCATGCATGTGTATATGCCATGTATAAAAATGTTAAGACAAACATAGCCAGAAGAAATTTAAGTTGAACATATATGACACGTATTTTGTTTCGGTGTAAAAATACATCGTGTTCATGTGAAGTTCTGTGGAATATCACGTTATTATTCTGATATTTCTAAAGAAAGACTGCATATATATGTATTCAAACCTTATTGATGATTGTTATTGTGATTTGGCTAGCATTTAACTTTGTCTTTTTTTTTTTTTTTTTTTTGCTTTTCCTGAAGCACAAAATAGATGTAGGTGTAAGATACATGACTATAAGGAATATGTAAATAATGGTATGGTTCATGTAATTTAGGGGAACCTACAAATGTGTATTTAAGTTCTTGAGTTTTAACTTAGTCTATTATGTAAATATATGTTTATAGTTGATGGTATATAATGATTCTGGTAGACATCATTGATGTAAAAAATCGATGTAACTGAAATGTAAAATAAAATTACCTTATTTGACTTTGTGGTGAAAATTATTTGCCTTACATAGGATATTTAGATATACCTTTTTAGAAATGTCACTAATCTGATGTAACTAATGTATAATTAAGAGAATTGGCAATAGGAATAGTAGAGATAAAAGAGTCTTTAAACTGTTTGCCAAAATAATCTTAGATATATTTCTGGGAATAATGTTAACTTGGTAAATTTTCTAACATCAGTATGATAATTTTTAAATATCTCAAACATTATCGAAATTGCGTATGTATATATGTCAGAGATTTCCTTGTTTTGTGGGCAGTTGATTTAAAAGATGAAAATCATCTAATCAAGGTAAACATTTATCTTTTATTTAGAGCTCAAGTCACCCTTGGTATGATTTTTGTTCCTTGGGTGTATATTGGATTTATGAGTATTAACAAGAATATAGAGTAGAGGAAGTGCATGAATAACAATTTTTTTCTCTTCATGTATTAAGTACTTATGTAGCAACTAGCCTTTAAAGGCCTGTTTTAATTCTACAGCTCATCTTATTTGGGGATTGTTTTTTATATCAGGTTAAATGATATAAAAAATGATTGTTTTTTATATCATGTTAAATGATGCAGTTTCTGTTTATTAGTGTTTATGAAAAACTTTGCTTTAGTTAGGCTTCTTTCTATTCAGCAGTAACAACAAAACCTAAAGTGTTTGATAACATGTTGCTTACATCCACTCAACACTGTTCCAAATCTTGAGTCCTATGCCCTTAATAAATAGTATAAAGGGGAGGAAATTCCTAAGAATTCTACATAAAGTGAAGATACTGTATACAGTAAAAGAGCATTTAATCTGAATTGCTATACAGGTCTTAAAACAGTTGTATGGGAATGTATGGTCTGTTTCATGTGTATGTGCTGTTGAATGGACAAAAGCTTGTGGTTGACTGTGGTTAAAAATGTAAGGAAACTCCCTTTTAATAAGGTATAGAATTTCCCTGTTATTTTTTGAATCGTAACACATTAATCAAAAAATATATCCAGTGAATTTCATAATCTTTTTGAAATGGCAAGAGATTATATTAAGGCATAAAATTTCATTATGTGAGACTTCTTTTAAAGATTTGTTTTAAGATACTAACATCTCAGATTTGATGAAGAATTTTCACATGCTTTAGACAGTTAGCTTAGAATATTTTATTATTTAGAAAATACCAAGTATTGGAGTTCATTGTTATCTTTATTATGGGAGTTTTATGATTTTTTGGGGGGTGAGGAGAGGCAGAATTTTATCTATCTTCAGTGGAAGTTGCAGCGTTCATTGGTATAGGAGAAAAAATAGTACATTAAGGTAACGTATTGAGAAGTCTCTGCTTAAATTACCATTGGATCTGCTAGCACCTGATTAGTAATGTCTGACTTGTGAGTGACTAGAAAAAATAGTTATGCTTTGCCATAATTACAATTTTAGTATTTGCAGGAAGGATTTTTTTCACATTGAGTTGATGGCATTTGTCTATTTGGTCACATGTTTTTATATATTTTTAATAGATGCTATAGAGGTAGACTGTTTCGGTGAATCCTTCATATAAAATGTCTAAAGATTTTTGTTAGGTAATAGTATTTGCAGTTTTAATGCATTTAATGAGCTTTTGCATGACTTCACTATTGACTTAGAGTTGTCATATCTTAGTATCCTAGAACAAAGGTTAGAACAGTATGGAAGATTGGTATTTGTATGCTTTGGAGAGGGATTTGAGATGTTACCCTGTTTTGCCGTCAATTTTCAAGTATGCACGGGTGCATCATTAATCATGAGAAATGCAAAAATAAATAATATAGTCCCATTGGATTTTTTTCTATGAATACTTACCTTTTCCTTTTTTTTAAATATATATATACAGTTGAGGTATTTAGGTAACCCCTAACCTTTTGCTTCAACAAAGAAGTACAGTATAAAAATATTACCACAGTTTTCATGTGAGCAGCTCTTGAATCGGGGGGAGGGGGAAAGCCCTCTAGATGAATATTTGTTGAAAAAAAAAGTTGTGATACAGAATGTCTTAACTCAGCCTCAGTACAGTACTTGAGGACCACCAGTGTGTAAAATTGAAAGCACATGAATTTTGAAGCACTAGAAAAGGTTTGTAATTGATTAGCGCTGCTTTAAAGTATTGGAGTACAGTGAGTTTTGATTTGTGAATGGTTCTATTCAATAAATATTAATTCTGTGTGTTTGATAAAATCTTAGTGCCTTCAATGAGTTAGCTCCCCCCGCCCCTGCAGTTTATTTAACCATCAAATATTTCAGTGTTCTTTTAACAAACTGGAACATTTCTATCTTACCGAATTTAACTTTAGCATGACTGATTTAAACAAGTCAAACTATCAGTTGTTAGCTGGAAGAGAGTAATTGAATAAATTAATATTTTGTTCTTTTAAGATAACTAAAATATATCATAATGTAATCATGTATATTTCATGCCTTGTGATATAGAGACGGATTGATCAGGAGAGTCAGACAGACCAGCCAGATCTTTTTCCACAATTTCTTTTCAGTGTTTTAGATTTCAAAACATTTTTTAAAAATAAAAACTAAAAATCTTTAACAGTTTGTAATGTAAAATTAGGATTATTATAATTTAAAATAATTTATATGAGTCTTTGGGAATTACTTTGACATTTTTAGCTTTTGATATGTGTTAGAGTGATTTTCTGTGTTTGTTCTTAACTTTGTAATTCTGCTCCCTAGTTTTGGAATTTAGCTCTGTATTTTAAAAAGAAGCTATAAAACTTTGTCACTACTGAATCTTGAAACTATAAATATATTATTGATATGGACCACAATTGCTGTTTTGGAAATCAGTGTTCACACATCATGTTCAAGCAGTTACAAAGATTTTATGTAGATAATCAGTCAGCTGATATATTTTCATGAGTCATTAATTTTAAGATACTCTATGAGTCACATCTGTGATTTTCAGCAAGCTATATTTATGATAAATGATGGACAGATTTTGAGTAGTACAGATTGAAAATTTTTGATTAACTCAAAGTGAAGTATGCTGAGAGATCAAGGACACAGACATACTCTTTCTCTAGCATGTGCGCGCGCGCGCGCACACACACACACACACACACACCACTCATTGTATTTGAGGTGAAGCAGTTGTTAATGTGTGCTTTGTACCTCACCTAGGAAAATCCTAAACTTTCTTTTTAACTATTTTACAAAATTGGGGCACATACTTAAGACATTTCATTAGGTGGTGGTGATAATCATTATATAAAAATCTAAAGCCTGAAGTGAGGTTTTAGGCTTTGCATAGATTATAGAATGGGGAAATGTTTGCAATGTGATAACATATACATGATGTCCACTACTCACCTGTAATTAGTCTGAGGTAGTGGGTTGATGTTAAGTTCTCTATTCAGGCTTCAAGATACTGTTTGGGGGCTGGCGGGGAGGGAAGGTGCAGCCCACTTTTCAAAAGAGGAAGAACTGGTTGTAATGTTGGAAAAAAAAAAGGTTCACTACCATGCCTTGCTTAGAATCCTGTCAAGTTTTGGAAATTTTGAATAGTTATTAAGAATGTTACAGAAGTATAAGATCCCTGTTATGATAGAATAAGAAGCAGTTTAATATATTCTTTGTGAGAATTTTAACATATTCTTCATGATAACTTTACTTCTAATACTGAAGAATTTTTTGAAACTTGTGTTGTTCCTGATCTGGTTTTTAAAATGTGTTTAAAATAAATAGTTAAACAGAGTGATAACGTGAAAGAGTAACTTAACTGCCTCTGTTATCCCTCCCTGATATCTCTGTTATCCCTGTTTCAAGTTATCCCTCTGTGTAACAGTAGTTTTAACTATTCTTTTTCCTTTTATCTCTTGGGTAGTAGTAACAAAACTTTCGATGTATAAGCTGTAATTATGCTATGTGTTGTAATGTAGTCTAGCTGTGTTTATGTCCTGCTTCCTTAATATAGAAGTTTTTAGAGTAATACTTGGTACCCATCATTAAAATTTTAAATTAATCTGTGATTATTATATTGTATATATTATAACTGAGGGGGCCCACTTACAGCTATTGAGGGAGTCACTAAAGCAATTTTACATTTTTTTTTGTAAAATACAAAGTACATTTCCTCACCCTGTAAGAGAAACCATTTTTTCTCCCTTCAGGTTTAATTATTTCTGTTTGACCTAAACTGAGACTGATCCTCTAGTAGTATCCAGTTAAAATGTGTGAAGTAGGAGGAGTAAAGGAAACTCCAGTCATTAGTTGTAAGTTAAAAGCAGAGTTAATATAGATGTACACAGCAAGAAGGTTTATTTTAATGGATATAAGAAAAATTTTTGAAAACTTGCCTTGTAGTTGGAACATGTTGGAGATCATAAAGAGAATCTTGTAAGTGTGTTTAGATATTTTGCTATAATAACACATCAGCTGATGAATGTTAAAGTCATTTACATATCTGTATCAACAGTAACTTGAAATTAAATATTAAGGGACAAGATTATGCCTACTTCTTTTAAAGTCCAGCATGGTTTAATAGTTGTGGCTTTTAAAAATCATACAGGGTATCCTTATGGAGCTTTATTTTTCATGAGACTAAACAGCAGTTATTCATTTTGGTAGGTCCAAGAATGTGATTAAAAGAATCTTAGACGTTTCAGTGTTTCAGTGTGTTTATAACAAGGTCTATGGATAACAGTGTGTAGATGTAAAATTAAAATTACATAGAAAAATGCAGTTGCATGTAAGTTTTAAAATACTTCCATGAACTTTTTAATATCCTGGGCAACTATAAAGATCTTTTAAAAATGGCTGTGATGTGCTTATCATAATTTTATTTCAGCTGAATGTATACTTATATAAAGTTGTTTAGAAACAAACTTATTTAGATAGGATACAGTTTGAATTTATAAGTAGATTTCTTTTAGTTGAGCTGGTTAAAATGTTAACTGTACTACAGGTTTATTTCTGTGTTATACATGGTAGACCATAATGTTGAGATAATTCTGTGGTCTGTTATTTTGTAAAATTGCTTCCTTTTTGAAGTTTGCTCAAATATTGGGAGCTGCCGGAGTCAATAATTTATAATGCTTTGATTAATTTAGGATCTGACTTTTCTTCTGGTGAGGGTTAATGAGAGTATTAAACTGTTTCTTTTACTGTTTTCATATCCTCACCTCTATAACTCTAGAAAACATTTTGATCAATGTGAGATAATTTAATTTTGTATATTTCAAGTCATTACTTTGAAAATTAGATACATTACAGATACCAAATGCAAATATATACAGAAATTTCATTTTTCAATTCTTAATGCAACAAGATAGCATAATTAGGATCTTTAATATGCTATTTGGAAAAGCTAGCAGTTTATCAAAGAATCATACCTTTATGTTTAACAGGTTCATATCTTACAGGATTTTAAAAATGGTAACACTTACCCCAAAAGAAGTTTTGCTGACATGGTGTCACTGTGCTGAAGAGGCTGTTTGATGCCATAGTCCCTCCTTTTTTTTTCAGATAGAACTTGTACCCTCTGTTGTAAATACTGCTTGCAGCCTTAAACTGAAAATACAAACCATACCCAAACCTTGTTTTAGTTTTACAGTATGCCTGGAGTACATAGACTTTATATTTATTTTTTTCTGTCAAGAAATTATGTAGCTGGTAACATGTGAAAAGCAAAGAAACAAAACAAAAAGAGAATGAGCAAATATTTGAAGGACCTACTATTACTGCATAGACTGTGGTTAGAGAGCACTCACTGACTCTGTTGGTCTCGGTGGCTGGTAGTGACCTGCGGAGATTAACCATTTAAAAACCAGAGACTTCTTGCTGTCCTCCTGGAGAAAGTTTGCACCGCACTTGTGGTTCTGTGGTTGTTTGTGAGGCGAATGAAGCATTCACACAATCCAAAAAAGCAAAAGCTTTAAAACTCCTTTTTTTTGCAAGCACTATTACTGGAGAGGCAGAATCATGTGGTTTGTGACCTCACAGTACTCTTAAGTAAAGTGGGACTGCCTACCACTGTGGCTTTTCCCCCTTGCTCTTTCTCTCTCTCTCTTTCTCTCACAAAAGGCTTGTGGTAAGGCCTTTCCTGGCATCCAGAAGGATATAGCTTTTTAATTTTTGTGACTCATGAGGATTTGGATAGAATACAAATGCTGAAGGAGCCCAAACTCCTGTAAGGTTAAGCATTTGTAGAGCAGAGCTCTGCAGTTAAGGGCTTTCCTTTCTACTCCCCGCTCAACCTCTGCCTTTTTGCCTCCTCTTTTTAGTTCATTATTGTGTCTGTGGAAAAATGAACAAAATTGGCTCAAGAGTCTGTGTGAAATTCTGAACAACAGTGATGATATACAATAATTCACATCTTTGGACTGTATCACATTCTGGGGTCTGCTTCATATTTGCTGGGTGGCTGGATTCCTTCTGTTTTCCTTTTTCTTGTCTTCTTAAACTTGTGAATCTGTAACTCATTGTAAAAAAAAAAAAAGTTTACCTTAAGGTCTGGTTGCAAACTGCTTGCTAGGCTTGACTATAATTGGCTGTCATGAAAGTGTTAGTCTGGGCATTCTTTTACAAATTTTAAATCACGTCTGTCTAGTTTATTATCAATCTATTAGATGGCGGCCTTTACAATAAAGATTAAATGTAATGTTTCATGTATACCATTATCTCATGCCTAGTTTGAAGATCTTAAAAAAATGAATGACAGGGATTGTAATATAGTTTATTGGATGAATCTTAGTTTTCTTTATGATTGTAATATTTTTTGTCTTTCATTGAAGTGTATTCAGTTTATATAGTTCTTTAAGTAGTTTAGACATTAATAGAGTTTCTGATAGCAGATCTTCTATAAAGTAAAATGCTTATGTTATAATGTAGATTGTTCAGTATTTGATTCTATGAGCTTAGAATAGAGTGGGTTAACAGAAGCTATGTATTTTTTTGTTTCTAATGGAAGCTTTGAAATAAATTACAAAATGCTGTGTGTAGTAAGGAATAATGCCCACAGACAGAGTATGTTAGTCGTCTCGATTTGCTAATTCTGATTCAGAAGAAAATTGGAAACATCTTTGGGAAACTATCTCCTTTTTTGCCCCTTTGGACAAGTATGTATAGAACTCATTTTCTTATTAGGATGATTATATATCATAGGCAGTGAATTTTATATTTATGAATAGAGCTTCCTGTTTTCATCAGTTGGGAGCGATGGAGTATTTTTCAACCAAAATTATAAAGGCGAACAGACCAATTTTCTAGGCATTTTTTTGCCATTTATCCATGCCACTCTAAATCTGCATGTTAGACTTCTTCCTAGTGTGACAGTAACTAGGAGTGGCATAAAGTAAATGGGGTGGGCGGAGACAGTGAATTACAAAAGATTATTTGGAATGTGCAGGGAGGTAAGGGCTAGGGAGACAGGAGGGTGTTAGAACTAAAATATCCCTGTGTTCTTCCTAGTGCTATTCATTATCTGCTTTTGGTTCATATTAGATCACAATAACTGTACAAATATGTTCATAAGTTTCTTTACAGAAAATTTGATTTTCCCAAAATACACTGGTAGGGTATGGGAATGATTCTAGTCCTTTATTTTTCAAATGTCCAGAACCTTTTCAGAATAAACTTTTAGTGATAAAAAACCAGAAATACATTTTGGTGTTTTATTTTAACTATGGATTTATCATGCCTTATTGTATGTGTAAACAGATTTTACATTGAAAGGTAAAAGCGTTCATTTAACATGCAGTTATTCATGTGAAGGAGAGAAAAATTATTTTTTCTCTTTTATAAATAAGTCGTATCCATATTATCTGTATCTCTAATTAGTATCCAAAGTAAACAAAAGGAGGGTTTTGTCCTTATAGCTTGTGGGATTTCCAAACATGGTTTCATGTGTACCTATAATAGCAGAATCACTTAATTGAAAATATGTAGGTAGCTGCTGTAGTATGATCAGCAAATGGTTTTCTTCTTTTCAAATAAGCTTATAGTTTCTACATTAGCATTCACTGAAACATCTTACAAACCCAACATTTTGCTATTTTCTTCCTTAAAATCTTCTTTATGTAAACTTTGGCTCTTCAAATTGACCTGATAAGAATTTAAGTAATTTTTAACATCTATTTGTCATTTAATTACCTGTTCACTTTTTGCAGGTAATCCTCCTGCATGTAATTTTTGGACCAGGATTTGAGAGTTTAGTAGATATTGTTATATATGCACTTTTTGTCCTCTGTGAGGCCTATCAAATTCTAGCAGGAGAAAGATAGTGAAATCATGTGCTTTAAGTTAGTATATTCATTATCCACATGAATTTTTTTCCTAAAACGAAAATATATCCTCTTTGGAGCAAATATTACTTTGTTGTAAAAATTTAAAAAACAATGACAACTGGGGCACATTTGATAATTGGTACACATTTGATAACAGTGTGTTTCATTAGAAATAGCTTACTACACGTGGTGAAGAGATACTGATTTAGAAAAGTCAATGCAAATAAAGCTCTTGATTATAGATTTATACCATGGTTATAATCAGAAATTGAAAACCACAGATTTATTTTTATTTTTATTTTTGCTTTTTAAAGACCCATAAAATTTTATCCTCTCTGGGGACATGTTAGTATTTGCTGTTTTGAAGTAAGCAACAAGTTTAGGTATACTGTATAAATCACATACTTTAATGCCATGGAAATGAAATACAGTTTTGATCTTGAAATCAATTTCAAAGAAAAAAAGTTGTTGGTATCTTGCTTCTCCATTGCTTTGTAGTGAATAAAATGTGTTAGAATTGGTTGAACTTTTGAAAATACCAAGGTATTTGTGTTTAAATGCTATGTGTGTCTTCATTGTAACCATTTGAGTAATTTTTTATTTTCTTAACTAATGATCATATTTTAATACATTAGTTTTACTTTATCAATATTGTGCTCATTTCTATGCATTTTTTTAAGGATTATTTTAGACTTATTTGCTGCTAACTCTATTCTTTTATTTGCTGCTCATTCTTTGAAAAACAAAGGAGAAAATGGTTTGATGCAGGAATTTTTAAACTTTAGAAGTCCTAATTTGGCTTAAAATGTTCTGATTATGAGGTTTTACGAAGGAAGTTTTTAACTTATTGTTTCATCTTGGTATGTGACTGTTTCTTATTTTACTTTTTTTTGACAATTTTTCTTTTTTTTGGATTTGATGTATAGCTGTTTAAGCTTACACGGGATCTATTTGGCCTTATATTGACTACTTCTGTTAGTAAAATATGTATAGTTTCATCTGTTAAATTATGGTGACTGTGCAGTATTCCATTTCCTTGTTTAATGGGGTATATGTTTATGTACACAACTGCATGCACATTTGTCTTATTGCGTATGTATACAAGGCATTGTTTTGTAGTACTTTTTGTAATAAGAGCATTTTTCTCAGTTTATTTTAATTAGATCAGGTAAAAACCCAAACTAGCACCATTTCCCTGATTGTTTGAACAACTTCATTTGATTAGTTTTAGCAGCTGTCTAAATGTGAGATTATGTGGAATGCCAGAAGAGAAAATGCTAAGTCAATCTCTCCTGCCTTCCCTCCCTCCCTCTCCCTATCTCTCTCTCTCTACCAATCTCTCTCCCTCTACCTGTCTCCCCCATTCCTCCTCTTTCCCTTTCTTTCTCCTTCAGGCTTTTTTGGGTTCTCTTCCTTTTTTCCCTCATTTCTATACAGCCTCAAAGTAGATTCTTAAGTTCTAGTAGGGGATATTGACATTAATCCTCACTAATGAATACTCGGTAGATTTGGAGCTCTTAACATTCATTAGAAATTGTTATATTCTAATATGTAATGCCTCAGTTGTTAGATAGTATTGGCATCTGATTATAGAGACTTAATTTCTTTCAGCTGTTTTTAATTGTTTCTTGAATCCTTTTATGCTAATTTACTTTAATACATTGTTCACATAGTATTAACACTTTAATTATGAGGATTACTTTTTTTTCTTTGATTATTCTTTGAAGTGCAGAGTGATCCATACTTGTTTAATGTAGCTGTATAAGTAATTCATGTTTCTTGTAATTATTAGAACAATTCATCTTTGAATGCTGTCATTTTTGTAATAATAAAAAAAGGCGAGAACTTGCAGAAAATATGGGAAACATGCTCATATGACAGCTGAGGATGTGGCTAGACTAAAGCAGGAAACTACTACCCACAATGCAATGTTACATACACTACCACTTAATATAATTTATATCAAACATGCTACTGACAAAACCAAAGAAAAATAATATCCCAGCTATGCTATTTAACGTATCTAGGGAGAAGTGAAAGTAATCTTTTTAGAACCTTTGTACTTAGAGAATATAGTAAATGAAACTGTAGGACATTATAGTATACGTTGGAACACTGCTGTAACTTTGTGCTATGGAACATGGCTGTAGGTAAAACTGTCCTATAATGAGAATCTTTTGTATATTAGCTTTCTTGGAAAAGGTACAAAAGGAAAATCTCCTCTCTTTCAATTGAACTCTTTTAGTATTAAATAGGATTAGAGGATATTATCACTTGGAAAAATAAGTTAAATTTTGAGATACTCATTGTCATTATCTAAACTTTTAGTATAGTCATGTATATTTCGTTACAATTTGTTTTAAGATGTCTTTTATTGCCAAGTTGGGGGTGGGACTTGAATTGTCCACTGAGGCATATTTCTTTTTCAAGTAATTGTTTTTCTTGCTCTTTATTCATGTTAATGGCTTGCTCTATCAGTCTATGTGCTTTACTGTAGGGAGGTTATTCTAAAGCAAAAATGTGAACTGCTTTTATAATGTGGTTGAAAAACATGTTAAGGCATCATCTAAAAAAATCGGGTTTTAATATATTTAAGGTTTCCGTTTATAAATCTTAATCCACTGTGCTCTTAGCTGTCAGACTTCAGCAATTTTGATGAAGTTAGTAACTTAATAATTTAGATGAATTTTGAGGTTTATAAAGGAGGTTGTTGAAGGTTTAACCGAACATAATAGAGTTTTTGAATTGATAACCAATGTATACAAGTTTAGTTAGAGGAAGAATAGAGAAGATTGTAAGTTAGTGTTACTTATGAAGGATTCCCCTCTGAGCATTCCAGTATATAAATTGTCAGTGTTTTGTTTCACAACCGGCACAGTAATTGTCATCTCATAATTTAAACATGAATATCATCGTATGTCTGTCTGTATCTCTATTAAGGATGATTTGCTTAATTGTTTGAAGTTTTTTCTCCTTTAGAAACTGCTTATCAATAACAGCTGTAGCACTGTGGCTTTTCTCCATGGACTCATGGTGGTCTTTGGAACAACGTTCTTCAACTTTGACAGGTGAGACAGAGGCTCTCCAGTGCCACTGCTTTTGGATGAATCTAACTGTGGTTGGAGAAAGTGCATCTTGCCAAAATATATGGGCGAGACCACACACAGCCTTTAAAATAGTTATTGTAGGCTTATTTTTAGGAATACATGTCTTGACAGTTCTTTTATTTGCATGCCAGTTTCATTACTGTGTATAGATTTTTCATTGGTTTCAGTAAAGGCGATCGCAGATTTAGGTCTCTATTTGTTAGGCCTTGTGTATAACTTATGCTGGAAAATACCTTGAGTTCTAGCATAATTAACAATATAGAAAATATATTGAAAATGAAGCGCTAGAATACTGATCTTTTTGTTTTTATATATTTGACAGTATTCCCATTGGAAATCTCAATTTCTCAGAAAGCATAGCAGTGAAAACTTGCACTAATTTTACTTTTAAGATTAAGGAAGTCAGGAAAGAAATGTTAAAATATTCATATATTTTAATTATATTAATATTAGAAAATTATAAAAGTATACATTTTTATAATATTGGTATAATAAAGCATTGTTTAAAATGTAGGTTTTACACTTTAATAGAAGCTTGAAAGCATTGAAACTAATTCCTGAAGAAGTCTGTTTCTTGATGCATAGGCATAATATACGTGTTATTCAGTCTTTTTATGGGATGATTAAAACTTTATTCAGCTTAATGAACTATAAAATTGTTTGAATATGTTTAAAAATAAGTATTTCTAGTTTTCTAAAACTAGCTTTTTTAGTGACCAGTAGAGATCACTCTAGACTTTTATAAAATGTTAATTGTTTCTTTTTATAAAATGCTGCATTGGATAATTATTCATGATTCTTATTAAGTTATTAGTATTAACAATATTAAAACTTCTTGGGAACTGGGAGGTCACAAGACTTTTTACTTGATGATTAATGAATATTTCTTAGGTATTTATTTATAATATGTTTTAACCATCTAAGGTGAGATTACAATTTTTTTTCTAGCTTCATAGGGAAAACAGATTCTATAGAAATAATTGGAAAATCAGTTTTTCCCTATTGTTATCACAATATCCTTCCACTGCTGAATGATTCTGGCAGGTAAGTAGTGGGAAATTGTGTTCCTATCGCTTTTCAAGAGAACAAGTTTATGGGTAGAAGAGAGAATGTATTAGATACAAATAGATTGTTTAGAGAAAGATCTGGTGCTTACCTGTCAGAAATCAACATGCATGTGAAACTTGATTGGTTGCTAGATTGAAAGTAGAGCTGCATAGTTCACTTTTAGGATATTTGAGAAAACTTGGAATATGGACTGGATTGCGACGATACTATGGAATATGTATTAAGTTAGATGTGATAATGCTATCATGTTTTTATAGTACAATATCCATAGTCTTAAAAGAGATATGAGCTGAATTAATAAAATTTAATTAAATACATTCATAAAATAAATACATTTGTAAAATAAATGTGTCAAAATGTTAATTGGTGAATATAAGTAAAGGATATATAGGCATTTTTCAGCTTAAACAGTGAATTCTGAAAGGTAAACCATTTTATGTTTAAGTGATACAGAAATTTGATTTCAAATGGAAATCATACTTGAGGAAAATTCACTCATGTATAAATAAATTTTTAAAAATGAGTGAATATGAGTAGCTTGGGCTATACAGCAATTTTAGATTTTAGTTTATAGTTTTAGTCTTTAAATTTTATTCACAGTAAAAAAATGGCTAGTTTTCACAGTTTATTTATATATGGCAAATATAAATTGAAGATGGTAAAAGATTTTTGAAAATCCTAACTTTAAGAATTATGAGTTTGTATTATGGTAATTCAAGGCTAGAAATTTTTAGAGGATCAAAACAAGCATCTGTTATTGGTATGTCATTTGTGTATTCTTAGCTATATGCTTCTGGAATATATATATAAAAGCCTTAAAAAGTTTATTTACATTAAATACTATTATATTGTACTACTGTTACTAAATTATTTATACTACTACAACTGTACTAATACTACTAAATTGTTTATACTACTACATTACACTTTACAAGGAGTATTTTAATGATCAGAAGACTACGTCTCTATGTACAAAGTATTAATTTTGAATTTGTGTTATACTAGTTGATGCCCTACCAGGAATTGACACACTTTTTCTAAAAGGCCAGGTAGTAAATATTTTTGGCTTTGTGGGCCATAGGATTTCTGTTAACTACCTAACTCTGCCATTGCCGTGTGAAAGCAGATGATAAGTAAACAAATGAGTATGGCTGAATTCCAGTAAAACTTTATTTACAAAAACAGGAAGTTGTGGCCAGGCATGGTGGTTCACACCTATAATCCCAGCATTTTGGGAGGCTGAGGTGGGAGGATCACTTGTCCCCAGGAGTTCGAGACCAGCCTGGGCAACATGGTGAGACCCCATGTCTACCAGAAAAAAAAAAAAATGGAAAAGAAAAATTAGCCAGGCATGGTGACGTACGCTTGTGGTCCCAGCTATTAGGGAGGCTGAGGTGAGAGGATCACCTGACCCCAGGAGGTGCAGGCTGCAGTGAGCTGTGTACTTGCCACTGCACTACAGCCTGGGCGACAGAGCAAAGCCCTGTCTCAAAAAACAAAAAAAACCTGGGAAGCTGCCATAGTGGTTTGTCCACTCCTCTTATAGAACAGGCAAGAATGACTTGTAATAATGAAGATCATGTTTCTTATTTATATATTATAATAGAATTCTTGAAGTATTTGGAAATTTTTTTAATAATATTGTTACGTGAAAGATCGTGTCTATGGTATGTAATAACCATCTCTTGAATTGAGTCATGCAAGTTCATCTTGATCATATAATCATTATATTGTGTCACCCTAAAGTCCTTTTAGGATGAGGTTGGAATCCAAATAATTTTGATTAGAGTCCATCTATAAATTATCTTCAATCTCAATATTTAATTTATTTACTTTTCATTATTACTAATAAGATGTTAAGATTTATGTACTTATTATCCACAGAAATGTTCTCTCTTTTAGAGTTCACTACGTTTAATGCCTAAGCATGAAATATTTTAGCAGAAATCTTAGTAACAACTATGATCAACTATTTTCCCTCTGTTTTATCCATATTTGAATTTCATTGAGTGGAAAAAGTAACTAGTTATATTTGATATTACTATGTATTTCCAGAAACAGTCATTGCATCTTCCATTGGACATAATATCCAAAGTAAATTCATTTTCTGAGGATTTACCTACATTAGGTAGACTTTGAGTATTATTTGATGATGGTGGTTACTACTGAGTAAGAAAAGTAATATTTTATGTATTTTTATTGGTAAATAAAAATTGAGCTTGTATTCTGATCTGAATTTCAGATCTTTAGCCTGTTAACACTTAAGGTTTTATATAAATGGGATGGCTTTAAGTAACAGCTTACAGTTCAAATTATTGTGTACTTTATTTTGTCCATGATCATTTTAAGCAATTCTAATTATTAGATATACCGGCAAGAATATGTCTCAAGTAATTTTGTTATGGAGGAGGAATCTTTCTGCCTGCTTCCTCCTGCCTTACAAACTCTGGTGATTGCCTGTTTGCCCTCATTTATGATAAAGTTCCAAAGTGATTGTTTGTACCTCCCATATTTAATTATAAGACACATCATAAGACACATAATTATAAGACACCTATTTAATTATAAAACACATAAATCATTGCAAGCAGTAAGAAAGATAGCTCGTCTGAGAGAGAAACACACACATATACAAACCCAAAAAGCATCTTCAAGGGTCATTTAATGTGAGGGCAGATTGATTGCCCTGTCTGCCTCAGTACATTTTAAAAGATATCAGTGTAGGAATTTAATGAACTAGTTGACAAGAGGAACATTTTTTTAAACATACTTTTTTATGAAAGACTGGGAAATATTTAATATTTATGTAGGGAAGATTTTCATCCAAAATTAATAAATTAAAAATAGTTTTGACATTTAAAGTTATATAATGATCATGTAGTAGGAAAATCTCTGAGAAATAAAATCTTGACTAATAATAAATGGTTAATATAG
Organism: Homo sapiens; assembly: GCF_000001405.40. Classification (NCBI taxonomy): domain Eukaryota; kingdom Metazoa; phylum Chordata; class Mammalia; order Primates; family Hominidae; genus Homo; species Homo sapiens. The sequence continues at coordinate 45,318,837 of NC_000006.12, read as the reverse complement.
ATTTACTTTATTTATTTCACTATCTCTTGGTACTATTTTAAATCTCTAGGACTCCTGTCATTTTTAGTTATAAATTCATGTTTTTTGAAAATTGAGAAATCCTAAAGATGGCATATTTTTGAAATAATTTATGGATTATTCAATACAACTGGTTGGTGTATACTCTAGCATTGCTATTTAGTTATTTACTGCATGAAATATTTATAAAGTTGATTAGTGATAATATCTTAAATTAATAGACTTTATTTTTCAGTGCAGTTTTAAATTTACAGACAAATTGATCACAAAGTACAGAGAATTCCCATAAGCTCTCACCTTCCTGCCACTGCCAACAGCTCTCAGTTTACTCTTACTAATATCTTGCATTGGTGGTCTACACTTAATAACAATTGATGAACCAATATTGATACATTATAGTTAGCTAAAGTCCACAGTTTACATTAGGATTTTTTCTTTATGTTGTACCATTTCATAGGTTTTGCCAAATGTATAATGTCCTGTCTCCAAAATTACGGTGTCATCCAGAATAGTTTCACTGCCCTAAATATCCTCTGTGCACCTCCTATCCTTCTCTCTCCACAATCCCTGTTAATAACTATTTTTTTCTTCCCTTTCTTTTTACTGATACATGTATGTAATAGTGGTTAAATACATATAACATAAATTTACTATCTTAACCATTGTGACAACGGATCTTTTTACTCTGTCTATAGTATTGCCTTTTCCAGTATGTCATGTAGTTGGAATTGACTCCCAATCCTGCAAGTCCTTTTCATAATGGTGTTAATCTATTCCTGAGGGTGAGGCTCTCATCACCTGAAAACCTCCCATTTTAAAAATTGTGTTACTTGTTTTTTTGCATTCCTTATGTATTTTAGATATTAACCCCTTTGCAGATGTATGGTTTGCAAATATATTTTCTCATTCTGTATGCTTGTTTCTTTACTCTGTTGATTGTTTTCTTTGTTCTGTAGAAGTGTTTTAGTTTATTGTAATCCCATTTGCCTATTTTTGCTTTTGTTGCCAGTTCTTTTGGGGTCATATCCAAAACATTATTATCCAAACCAATTTCATAGAGCTTTTCCCCTCTGTTTTCTTCTAGCAGCTTTGCAATTTCATGTCTTATGTTTGTGTTTAATGCAGTTTGAGTTGATTTTTGTGTATGTTGTTAGATAAGGATCTAATTTTATTCTTCTGCATGTAGCTAACCAGTTTCCCCAGCACCATTTATTGAAGAGACTATCCTTCCCTCATTTTGTGTTCTTGGCATCTTTATTGAAAATCAGTTGACAGTAAATGTATGGATTTACTTCTGGATTCACTGTTCTGTTCCGTTAGTGTGTGTGCTTTTATGCCCGTACCATGCTGTTTTGATTACTGTAGCTTGATAGTAGATTTTCAAATTAGGTAATGTGAAGCCTCTGGATTTGCTTTTTGCTCAAGACTGCTTTGGCTATTTGGGGTCATTTGTGGTTCCATATGAATTTTAGGATTTTTTTTCTGTTTCTGTGGAAAGTGTCATTAGATAAAGATTGCATTCAGTCTTTAGGTCACTTTGGGTAGTCTGGACATTTTGACAATATTCTTTTTTTTTTTTTTTTTTTTTTTTTGAGACAGAGTCTTCCTCTGTTACCCAGGCTGAAGTGCAAGTGGTGTGATCTCAACTCACTGCAACCTCTACCTCCCAGGCTCAAGTGATCCTTCCACCTCAGCCTCCTGAGTAGCTGGAACTATCTGTGCATGCCACGATGCCTGGCTAATTTTTGTATTTTTTGTAGAGATGGGGTCTCGCCATGTTGCCCAGGCTGGTCTTGAACTTCTGAGCTCAAGTGATCCGCCCACCTTGGCCTCCTAAATTTCTGAGATTACAGGTTCCATATGGCATGAGCCACTGTGCCTGGCCTTAACAATATTCTTTCAATACATAAAGTTAGAATATCTTTCCATTTAATTGTGTCTTCTTCCATTTCTTTCCTCAGTGTTCATGCAGGCATGAGCCGCTGTGCCTGGTTTTAACAATATTCTTTCAATCCATAAAGTTAGGATATCTTTCCATTTAATTGTGTCTTCCATTTCTTTCATCAGTGTTTTGTAGTTTTCACAGTATAGTGTACAGGCTGTACTTCTTTGGTCAAATTTATTTCTAAGTATTTACCTTTTTTTGGTAGCTATTGTTAATGAGTTTTTTAAAATTTCTTTTTTGAATAGTATGGAAATGATACTGATTTTCACATGTTAATTTTGTGTCTTGCAGAATTACTGAATTTGTTTATTTGTTCTAACAGTTTATTCCAGAGTCTTTAGGTTTTACTCCATGAAAGATTATGTTGTCTGCAAACAGAGATGATATAACTTTTTCCTTTGGATGCCTATTATTTCTTTCTCTTATCTAATTTTGCTTGATACAGTATTTTTTTTTTTTGCTTTTTATAGGAGTTATTTAGTATTTACAGCTTTCAACATAGACATCCCCCTGATTCATTTTTATTTTTTATTTTTTTAAAATTTTATTTTTCCATAAGTTATTGGAGTACAGGTGGTATTTGGTTACATGAGTAAGTTCTTTAGTGGAGATTTGTGAGAACCTGGTGCACCCATCACCCGAGCAGTATACACTGCACCATATTTGTTGTCTTTTATCCCCCACTTCACTCCCACTCTTCTCCCCAAGTCTCCAAAGTCCATTGTATCATTGTTACGCCTTTGTGTCCTCATAGCTTAGTTCCCACATATCAGTGAGAACATACGATGTTTGGTTTTCCATTCCTGAGTTACTTCACTTGGAATAATAGTCTCTAATCTCATCCAGGTCATTGCAAATGCTGTTAATTCATTCCTTTGTATGGTTGAGTAGTATTCCATCATCTATCTATCTATCTATCTATCTATCTATCTATCTATCTATCTATCTATCTGTCTATCTGAGCTTCTTTATCCACTCATTGATTGATAGGCATTTGGGTTGGTTCCATGATTTTGCTATTGTGAATTGTGCTGCTATAAACATGCGTGTGCAAGTATCTTTTTAGAATAATGACTTCTTTTCCTCAGGGTAGATACCCAGTAATGAGATTGCTGGATCAAATGGTAGTTCTACTTTTAGTTCTTTAAGGAGTTTCCACACTGTTTTCCATAGCAGCTTGTACTGGTTTACATTCCTACCAGCAGTGTAGAAGTGTTCCCTGTTCACCGCATCCATGCCAACATCTACTGTGTTTTGATTCTTTGATTATGGCCATTCTTACAGGAGTAAGGTGGTATCGCATTGTGGTTTTGATTTGCATTTCCCTGATCATTAGTGATGTTGAGCATTTTTTCATGTGTTTGTTGGCCATTTGTATATCTTCTTTTGAGAGTTGTCTATTCATGTCCTTAGCCCACTTTTTGATGGTATTGATTGATTTTTCTTGTTGATTTGAGTTTGTTGTAGATTCTAGATATTAGTCCTTTGTCAGATATATAGATTGTGAAGATTTTCTCCAACTCTGTGGGTTGTCAGTTTACTTTGCTGATTGTTCCTTTTGCCATGCAAAAGCTCTTTAATTAGGTCACAGCTATTTTTTTTTGTTTTTATTGCAATTGCTTTTGGGTTTTTGGTCATGGAATCCTTGTTTAAGGCAATGTCTAGAAGGGTTTTTCCAATGTTAACTTCTAGAATTTTTAGTTTCAGGTCTTAGATTTAAGTCCTTAATCCATCTTGAGTTGATTTTTGTATAAGGTGAGAGATGAGGATCGAGTTTCATTCTCCTACATGTGGCTAGCCTAGTGTCTGAGCACCATTTGTTGAAAAGGGAGTCCTTTCCCCACTTTATGTTTTTGTTTGTTTTGTCAAAGATCAGTTGGCTATAAGTATTTGGATTTATTTCTGAGTTCTCTATTCTGTTCCATTGGTCTATATGCTTATTTTTATACTAGTACCATGCTGTTTTGGTGACTATGGCCTCATAGTATATTTTGAAATCAGGTAATATGATGCCTCCAGATTTGTTCTTTTTGCTTAGCCTTGCTTTGGCTATGTGGGCTCTTTTTTGGTTCCATATGAATTTTAGAATTGTTTTTTCTAACTGTGGAGAATGGTGGTGCTATTTTGATGGGGATTGCTTTGAATTTATAGATTGCTTTTGGCAGTATGATGATTTTCACAATACTGATTCTGGCCATCCGTGAGCATAGGATGTGTTTCCATTTGTTTGTGTTGTCTGTAATTTCTTTTAGCAGTATTTTGTAGTTTTCCTTGTAGAGGTCTTTCGACTCCTTTGTTAGGTATATTCCTAAGTATTTTATTATTTTTGCAGCTATTGTAAAAGGGATTGAGTTATTGATTTCTCAGCTTGATTGCTGTTGGTATATAGAAGAGCTACTGATTTGTGTACTTTAATCTTGTATCCGGAAACTTTACTGAATTCTTTTATCAATTCTAGGAGCTTTCTGGAGAAGTACTTAGGGTTTCCAAGGTAAACAATCATATTGTCAGCAAACGGCAACAGTCTGACTTCCTCTTTACCGACGTGGATGCCCTTTATCTCTTTCTCTTGTCGGATTGTTCTGGCTAAGACTTCCAGTACTATGTTGAAGAGGAGTGGTGAGAATGGGCATCCTTGTCTTGTTCCCATTCTCAGGGGGAATACTTTCAAGTTTTCCCCATTCAGTATTATGTTGGCTGTGGTTTTGTCATAGATGGCTTTTATTACATTAAGGTATGTCCCTTGTATGTTGATTTTGCTGAGGGTTTTGATCATAAAGGGATGCTGGATTTTGTCGAATGCTTTTTCTGCATCGATTGAGATGATTGTGTGATTTTTGTTTTAAAATCTGTTTATGTGGTGAAATATATTTATTGACTTGCATATGTTAAACCATCCCTGCATCCCTGGTATGAAACCCACTTGATCATGGTGGATTATCTTTTTGATGTGTTACTGGATTTGGTTAGCTAGTATTTTGTTAAGGATTTTAGTATCTATGTTCATCAAGGATATCGGTCTGTAGTTTTCTTTTTTGGTTATGTCCTTCCCTGGTTTTGTTATTAGGGTGACGCTGGCTTCATAGAATGGATTAGTGAGGGTTCCCTCTTTCTCTATCTTGTGGAATAGTGTTGAAAGGATTGGTACCAGTTCTTCTTTGAATGTCTGGTAGAATTCTGCTGTGAATCCGTCTGGTCGTGGACTTTTTTTTTTTTTTATAATTTTTAAATTACCATTTCAATCTCGCTGCTTGTTATTGGTCTGTTCAAGGTATCTAATTCTTCCTTATTTAAGCTAGCAGGGTTGTATTTTCTAGGAATTGATCCATCTGTTCTAGGTTTTCTAGTTTATGTGTGTAAAGGTGTTCATAGTAGTCTCGAATGATCTTTTGTATTTCAGTAGTGTCAGTTGTAGTATCTCCTGTTTCATTTCTCAGTGAGGTTATTTGGATTTTCTCTCTTTTCTTGGTTAATCTTGCAAATGGTCTATCAATCTTATATATCTTTTCAAATAACCATCTTTTTGTTTCATGTATCTTTTGTACTGTATTTTTTGTTTGTTTGTTTCAATTTTGTTTAGTTCTGCTCTGCTCTTATTTTTTTTCTTCTACTGGGTTTGGTTTTGGTTTGTTCTTGTTTCTGTAGTTCCCTGAGGCGTGACTTTAGATTGTCTGTTTGTGCTCTTTCAACCTTTTTGATGTAGGCGTTTAGGGCTATGAACTTTCCTCTTAGCATTGCCTTTGCTGTGTCCCAGAGGTTTTGATAAGTTATGTCATTATTGTCATTCAGTTCGAAGAATTTTTTAATTTTCATTTTGATTTCATTTTTGATCCAGTGCTCATTCAAGAGCAGGTTATTTAATTTCCATGTATTTGCATGGTTTTGAGGGTTCCTTTTGGAGTTGATTTCCAGTTTTATTCCACTGTGGTCTGAGAAAGTGCTTGATAGCATTTCAATTTTCTTAAATTTATTGAGGCTCTTTATATGGCCTATCATATGGTCTATCTTGGCGAAAGTTCCTTGGCTGTTGAATAGAATGTGTATTCTGCAGTTGTTGGATGAAATGTTCTGTATATATCTGCTCAAAGTCTATTTGTTCCAAGGTATAGTTTAAATTTATTATTTCTTTGTTGACTGTCTTGTTGACCTGTCTAGTGCTGTCAGTGGAGTATTGAAGTCCCCCCCCCCCCCCACATTATTGTGTTGCTGTCTATCTCATTTTTAGGTCTGTTAGTAATTGTTTTATAAATTTGGGAGCTCCAGTATTAGGTGCATATATGTTTAGGATTATGATATTTTCCTGTTGGACAAGGCCTTTTATCATTATATAATGTCCCTTTTTGTCTTTTTTTTTTTTTTTGAGATGGAGTCTCACTCTGTCGTCCAGGCTGGAGTGCAGTGGCACGATCTCGGCTCACTGCAAGCTCCGCTTCCTGGGTTCACGCCATTCTCCTGCCTCAGCTTCCTGAGTAGCTGGGACTACAGGCACCCGCCACCATGCCTGGCTAATTTTTTTGTATATTTTGTGGAGATAGGGTTTCACTGTGTTAGCCAGGGCCAGGATGGTCTTGATCTCCTGACCTCGTGATCTGCACACCTTGGCCTCCCAAAGTGCTGGGATTACAGGTGTCAGCCACTGTGCCCGGCCTTTTGTCTTTTTTAACTGTTGTTGCTTTAAGGTTTCTTTTGTCTGATATAAGAATTGCTACTCCTGCTTGCTTTTGGTGTCCATTTGCATGAAATGCTCTTTACTACCCCTTTAAGTTTATGTGAGTCCTTATGTGTTAGGTGAATCTCCTGAAGGCAGCAGATAATTGGTTGGTGAGTTCTTACCTATTCTGCAATTCTGTATGTTATAAGTGGAGCATTTAGGCCATTTACATTCCATGTTAGTATTGAAATGTGAGGTACCCTTGCATTCATCATGTTCTTTGTTACCTTTATACTTTGTTTTTTTTGTTTTTGCTTTTTAACTTGTATTTTTGTTTTATAGGTCGTGTGTGCTTTATGCTTTAAAGAGATTCTGTTTTGATGTGTTTCCAGGATTTGTTTCAAGATTTAGAGCTCCTTTTAGCAGTTCTTTTAGTGGTTGCTTGGTAATGGTGAATTCTCTCAGCATTTGTCTGAAAATGACTGTATCTTTCCTTCATATATGATGTTTAGTTTCGCTGGATACAAAATTCTTGGCTGAAGATTGTTTTGTTTGAGGAGGTTGAAGATAGGGCCCCAATCCCTTCTAGCTTGTAGGGTTTCTGCTCAGAAATCTGCTGTTAATCTGATAGGTTTTCCTTTATAGGTTACCTGGTACTTTTGTCTAACAGCTTTTATGATACTTTCCTTTGTCTTAACTTTGGATAACCTGACGACAGTGTGCCTAGACATTGATCTTTTTGTGATGAATTTCCCAGGTGTTTTTTTGTGCTTCTTGTATTTGGATGTCTAGGTCTCTAGCAAGGCTGGGGAAGTTTTCCTTGATTATTCCCCCAGATATGTTTTCTAAGCTTTTAGAATTGTCTTCTTCCTCAGGAACACTGATTATTCTTAGGTCTGTTAGTAATTGTGCATTCTCCACAGAGTATTCTTAGGTTTGGTTGTTTAACATAATCCCAAACTTCTTGGAGGGTTTGTTCATATTATTCTGTTTTCTTTTTCTTTGTTGGATTGGGTTAGTTCGAAGACCTTGTCTTTGAGCTCTCAATTTCTTCTACTTGTTCTGTTCTATTGCTGAGACTTTCCAGAGCATTTTGCATTTCTAAAAGTGTGTCCAAAGTTTCCTGAATTTTTGATTGTATTTTCTTTATGCTATCTATTTTGTTGAATATTGATCCCTTCACTTCTTATATCACTTTTTGGATTTCCTTGCATTGGGCTTCGCCTTTCTCTGGTCCCTCCCTGTTTAGCTTAATAACTAACTTCCTGAATTCTTTTTCAGGTAAGTGAGGGATTTCTTCTTGGTTTGGATCCATTGCTGGTGAACTAGTGTGATTTTATGGGGGTGTTGATGAACCCTGTTTTGTCATATTACCAGGGTTGATTTCCTGGTTCTTTCCTATTTGGGTAGGCTCTGTCAGAGGGAAGGTCTAGGGTTGAAGGCTGTTGTTCAGATTTTTTTGTCCCACAGGGGGTTCCCTTGATGTAGTACTCGCCCCCTTTTCCTGTGGTTATGGCTTCCTGTGAGCCAAACTGCCTGATTGTTTTCTCTCTTCTGGGTCTAGCCACCCAGTGAGTCTACCCAGCTCCTGGCTGGTGCTGAGGGTTTCTGTGCACAGTCCTTCTGATGTGAACCGTCTATGGGTCTCTCAGCAGTGGATACCAGTGCCTGTTCTGGTGGAGGTGGTGGAGGGTGCAACGGACTCTGTGAGGGTTCTTAGCTTTGGTGGTTTAATGCTCTATTTTTGTGCTGGTTGACTTCCTGCCAGGAGGTGGTGCTTTCTAGAAAGCATCAGCTGTAGTAGTGTGGAGAGGGATCAGCAGTGGGTGGGGCCCTAGAACTCCCAGGATTGTATGTCCTTTGTCTTTGGCTACCAGGTTTCCTAGGGAAATCCTGTCAGGTGGGGATGGGGCTAGGTGTGTCTGAATTCAGACTCTACTTGGGCCGTCTTGCTGTGGCTACTGTGGGGGATGGGGTGAGATTCCCAGGTCACTGGAATTGTATACCTAGGAGGATTATGGCTGCCTCTGCCGAGTCATGCAGGTTGTCAGGGATGTGAGGAAAAGCGGCAATCACAGGCCTCACTTAGCTCCCAAGCGAACTGAAAGGCTGGTCTCATTCCCACCGTGCTGCCCACAACAGCCCCAAGTCTGTTTCCAGGTGGAGGGCACGCTTGAAAACTTACCAGAGGCTTTCCACTTCCCAGAGTATTTGAGGTGTCTCCCAGGTACTGCAGGAGCAGTCCGCTTTCTTCAGAGGTTCTGTGGGTCCTCTCAGGATTGCTGGTTTGTTCCTGCAGTTGATCAGAAGCTAACATTCACAATCTGGTACACTATTCTTGGTGGACATTTTCTCCCCATCCTTTTCATCACTTTGACTATATCATCCCATTCTCTCCTGGTCTGTAAGGTGTCTACCGAGAAAACTGCTGTTAGCCTTATTTGAACTCTGTTATATGTGATTTCTTTCTTTTCTCTTGTTGGTTTCAGGATCTTTTCTTTATGTTTGATTTCTGACAGTTTGGTTATAATATACCTTCGTCTATTCTTGTTTGGATTAACTCTGATGGGAGATTTTTTTCCCTGCCTATATGTTGATATTTATATCTTCTTCAGATTTGGGACATTTTCTGCTATTTATTTAAATAAGATTTCTATCACTTTTTCTCTTTCTTCTTCTTGAACTCCTATGACCGAAATATTTGCTGTTTTGATGCTGTCTCATATATTTTATAAGCTTTCTTCAGTTACATAGTTTTTTTTTTCTCTTTTGACTATATATTTTTAACTAACTTGTCCTTAAGATCACAGATCTTCTGCTTGATCAGTTCTGATATTGTTGATACTCAGTTAAAGTTTTAATTTCATTTCATCGTGTTTTTCGGCTTTGGAATTTGTTTCTTTTTATAATTTCAATCTATTAGGTTTTTCATTTTGGTCATTTATTTTCTTGAAGTTCACTGAGCTCACTTAAAATGATTATTCTGATTTCTTTCTCAGGCAGTTTATCTTCATTTCTTTGTGGTCAGGCACTGGGAGATTGTATTCTTTTTTTTTTTTTTCCTAAATATTTAGACATCTATTTTTAAAAGGCATAAACACTCACAGTGTTATCATAATCCTTTCTCCATTTATTTTTCTTTTTATTCAAAATGACTAGCTAGCTTATATGCATATTTTAAAGTAGCTGAATAGCTCAGGAAAAACAAAAATTTGCATAACCAAATTGTGCACCTTTTTTTTTTCCAAATATTTAGACATTCTGTTTTTAAAAGGCATAAACAGTGCTATCATAATCATTTCTCCATTTATTTTTCTTCTTATTCAAAATGACTAGCTAGCTTATATGCATGTTTTAAAGTAGCTGAATAGCTCAGGAAAAACAAAAATTTGCATAACAAACCAAATTGTGCACCTTTTTTTTTTTAATTCAGAATTTTCATTATTTTTTTTGACTTTTTTTTTTTTAAATTTATTTTTTTTGTTATACTTTAAGTTCTAGGGTACATGTGCACAACTTGCAGGTTTCTTACATATGTTTACATGTGCCATGTTGGTGTACTGCACCCATTAACTCGTCATTTACATTAGTTATATCTCCTAATGCTTTCCCTCCTCCCTCCCCCGATCCCAGGACAGGAGCTCTTGTAGGGCAGGCCTGGTGGTGACAAAATCTCTCAGCATTTGCTTCTCTGTGAAGTATTTTATTTCTCCTTCACTTATGAAGCTTAGTTTGGCTGGATATGCAATTCTGGGTTGAAAATTCTTTTCTTTAAAATGTTGAATATTGGCCCCCACTCTCTTCTGGCTCGTAGTTTCTGCTGAGAGATCAGCTGTTAGTCTGATGGTCTTCCCTTTGTGGGTAACCCGACCTTTTTCTCTGGCTGCCCTTAACATTTTTTCCTTCATTTCAACTTAGGTGAATCTGACAATTATGTGTCTTGGAGTTGCTCTTCTCGAGGAGTATCTTTGTGGCGTTCTCTGTATTTCCTGATTTTGCATGTTGGCCTGCCTTGCTAGATTGGGGAAGTTCTCCTGCAGAGTGTTTTCCAACTTGGTTCCATTCTCCCTGTCACTTTCAGGTACACCAATCAGGTGTAGATTTGGTCTTTTCACATAGTCCCATATTTCTTGGAGGCTTTGCTTTTGTTTCTTTTTATTCTTTTTTCTCAAAACTTCTCTTCTCACTTCATTTCATTCATTTGATCTTCCATCACTGATACCCTTTCTTCCAGTTGATCAAATCGGCTACTGAAGCTTGTGCATTTGTCACGTAGTTCTCGTGCCGTGGTTTTCAGCTCCATCAGGTCCTTTAAGGACTTCTCTGCATTGGTTGTTCTAGTTAGCCATTTGTCTAATCTTATTTCAAGGTTTGCCATGGGTTTGAACTTCCTCCTTTAGCTCGGAGAAGCTTGATCGTCTGAAGCCTTCTTCTCTCAACTCGTCAAAGTCATTCTCCATCCAGCTTTGTTCCGTTTCTTGTGAGGAGCTGCGTTCCTTTAGAGGAGGAGAGGCACTCTGATTTTTAGAATTTTCAGTTTTTCTGTTCTGCTTTTTCCCCATCTTTGTCTTTTTTATCTACCTTTGGTCTTTGATGATGGTAATGTACAGATGGGGTTTTGGTGTGAATGTCCTTTCTGTTTGTTAGTTTTCCTTTTAACAGTCAGGACCCTCAGCTGCATGTCTGTTGGAGTTCGCTGGAGCTCCACTCCAGACCCTGTTTGCCTGGGTATCAGCAGCGGAGGCTGCAGAACAGCGTATATTGCTGAACAGCAAATGTTGCTGTCTGATTGTTTCTCTGGAGGTTTCGTCTCAGAGGGGTACCCAGCCGTATGAGGTGTCAGTCTGCCCCTACTGGGGGGTGCCTCCCAGTTAGGCTACTCGGGTGTCAGGGACCCACTTGAGGAGGCAGTCTGTCTGTTCTCAGACCTCCAGCTGTGTGCTGGGAGAACCCCTACTCTCTTCAAAGCTGTGAGACAGGGACGTTTAAGTCTGCAGAGGTTTCTGCTGCCTTTTGTTTGGCTATGCCCTGCCCCCAGAGGTGGAGTCTACAGAGGCAGGCAGGCCTCCTTGAGCTGCCGTGGGCTCCACCCAGTTCGAGCTTCCTGGTGGCTTTGTTTACCTACTCAAGCCTCAGCAATGGCGGGCACCCCTCCCCCAGCCTTGCTGCCGCCTTGCAGTTTGATCTCAGACAGCTGTGCTAGCAATGAGTGAGGCTCCGTGGGCCTGGGACCTTCTGAGCCAGGTGCGGGATATAATCTCCTGTGTGCCGTTTGCTAAGATCATTGGAAAAGCGCAGTGTTAGGGTGGGAGTGACCTGATTTTCCAGCTTTGCTTGGCCATGAAAGGGAATTCCCTGACCCCTTGCACTTCCAGGGTGAGGCGATGCCTCGCCCTGCTTTGGCTCACGCTCAGTGGGCTGCACCCACTGTCCTGCACCCACTGTCTGACAAGCCTCAGTGAGATGAACCCGGTACCTCAGTTGGAAATGCAGAAATCACCCGTCTTCTGTGTCGCTCATGCTGGGAGCTGTAGACTGGAGCTGTTCCTATTCGGCCATCTTGGAACCGCCCGATTGTATTCTTTTGGTGGTGTTTTGTCTCCTTGGTTTTTCATGGTTCTTGTTGCATTATGTTGATGTCTGAGCATTTGGTGGAGTAGTCACCCCTTGCAGACTTTTTGGGCTAGTTTTGCTATGGAAAGACCTTCACCTTATGAGGGCGCTTGTTGGTTAGGGTACAACAGTTCTGGCACCAGTGAGGGTTCAAGCTGGGTAATCTGTGTAGCTCTGCCAGCCGAGGTTGATTTTAGACCAAGATTGGAGGGATGCTCAGTGGCCAATAGTGTGAATCCTCAGTGGCTAATACTGATGTCTGTGGTGGCAGCAAGGGTTGTTGGGGTCTTTGGTGACAATGGCTGCTAAGGTCCTTGTGATCTCTTTTACTCCTAACAGGGAAGTTGTGGCTGAGCATGGATTCGTTTTGGTACTGGGTATGGCTTGTGGACTTGCTTGAAATAGCAGTGGTACTAGTTTGTGATGTGTGTTGCCTGTGATGTGGCCTTGGAGTTGAGACCTGAAGCCTGGGTACTTGTGGAGGGAGTATGGCTCTGGCATCTGGGTCCATAATGGCACTGATATGTATCATGTAGGCACCTCACCTGCCATGTTGGCAGCAGTATGTGATGCCTGGAGGCTTGTGAACACATCAGTGGAGATGAGAATTGGGAGTACAGGTATATGCAGAATTAGAGAGGCTCCTAGGTAGACGTGGGGCCTAGCTCTGTGTGATAGCTGGTTTGGTACTTGGAGTACAAGCATGAGCAGTGAGGGCTTGGCTTTTAGCCCAGGGAATATGAAGTTGCTCACTAAGGTGATGGCTCAGATATCTGAAATGTGGGCCCAGTGCAGCCACATTGCCTGGGCTTGGAGTGGGTTATTTGTAGAATGACTGCAGTTCTGGGGTTGGGGCAGGTGTGGAGTTGGGAAAGATAGTGGCTTCTACTCTGTCGTTGGTGATGTCATTTCCATTATTGGATTTTTAAGGCAAGGAGTTACATGATGTATGGTTTTGAATCATCTAATAGCAATGTGGTATATAGTGTATATTAGAAGGGACCAGAAGGATTTTGTAGTGAACAATGCTGAGGGCTTGAATGAACTAAAACCACATAAAGAAAGGGAACTCTGAAAACTGGTTGAAAATTAGTTTTGTGCATGTAATTTAATTTATAAACAAACAAGTTGGTGGAAGGAACATTTTGTCAAATGTTATTAGAATAATCTAGCTGAATTTATGTAGATGTATTTGTGAAAAGACTTTTGTAACTTCTTGAAAATTTCAAAACACGACCATTCATTTTATATGTGTAATAACACTGAATCATAAAATGCAGTAGGTATAGCGGAAGCAATAAATATTGTAGTTATATTGGAGTTGGTATGAAAAGACCATGATATTATGTAATACAGGTGGTGAGATGAAACGAGTTATGTTCCGGTAATATGGAAACAATTCATTTAGATTTAGAGCTAAAAGCCGATGTTTTTCGTTTGAGGTAGTTCAGGGAGTCTAATGGCTTAGATTAAAAAGTTCTACAAACTATAATTAGCCATGTCATTCTCTGGAATTTATGCCTCATGAAAATAATACTTTTCTTTGAAAAGCAAACGAATAAGCAAATATAAAAGCGTGAAGAAAATGCCTATTCCTCTGTGATTCCTATTGGATACATTATGTATTCAAAAAGAAGATCAGGCCATGGTGTTCTTGAGTTGGGTTTCTGTAATCAACTGTTTGTAAAAATAAACGTTTCAGGCTGTTGATTTCTTCTATTTGTGTTCTTTTAGTGCTCAAGTGGGTTTTCATTTTAAGTACATTATTGACTGATGATGGCCATTGGTGCTTAAAAAGAATCTAGGTATAATGGCATTGTGCATTTTCTAAGATATTTTTGGCATTCTTACCCATTAAATGGTTACTTTGCGAGGATAAGCAACTGGAAAAAAATCATTGAAGCCATTCTTTTCTATTCGTATTTTTGGTTTTGTTTTGAATACTACTTCTTTTATTTTCTCACCCTGTATTCCTAATAACTTCTTCCTCTTTGACCTTTCTTTTTAGGAAAAAAAATTTAACAGAAACTTTCTGAGGTCTGTTTGTATAGCTTTGAAATAACTTCTGCTAACAGTCTGTTTAGTTTTAGAAAATGATACTAGCCTTGTAGAGCAGTAGAATACTAAGTGGTATCATTAATGCCAAACATAACGATAAAATAGTGGAAAAATTTATTACATATTTAGTTTTTTGGATGGTTTCATTGAGGTGTGTCTTTGAGCATAATTATCAAAGTGATTTTTCCTTTAAATTAAGTAACATTCCTCTGCTAAATTGATTTTCAAAATTAGACCTCTATAATTTGGATGGATGGGTAGAGATTAGTAACTTTTATCTGTAATATTTTCCTGTATAAAGCAGTTTTAAATGTCTTTTAATATATTTTAAGTGAAATATAATTATTAGATATTGCTGTTTACACATTTAAATAGATAAAAAGTATATTATTTTTCCATTTATAAAGCATCCACTTTGTGAGAGTGACTAACTCTTACTGATCCTGATCTGTAGTATACTAGTACTTAGTTCTCATCTGCCAACATATTTAGCTTTCTACAGTATATAGTCTATTAAAAGAGAAGTACAACAAATTTAATTTAAAGATTTAATTGGCTTTGGTTTTTTTTTTTTTTGAGACAGAGTCTTGCTCTGTCGCCCAGGCTGGAGTGCAGTGGTGCAACCTCCCCCTCCTGGGTTCAAGCAATTCTTTTGCCTCAGCTTCCCGAGTAGCTGGGACTACAGGCGCGCACCACTATGCCCAGCTAATTTTTGTATTTTTATTAGATATGAGGTTTCACCATATTGGCCAGGCTGGTCTTGAACTCCTGACCTCGTGATCCGCCCACCTTGGCCTCCCAAAGTGCTGGGATTACAGGCATGAGCCACTGTGCCCGGCCTGGCTTTTTTTGTTTGTTTCTTTTTTTTTTTTTTTTTTTTTACTTCTAGAATCAGGCAACATCTCATTCTATTAAATAGAATGGACTGAGCAGAGATAGTTGGCTTTATAGGCCAAAAATGGCTGAAGAAAACAGAAACGAGAAACAAAAAGCAAATTGGTTGTTTCAAAGTTACTTTCCTTAGTGATGTTAAGCATTTTTTCATATGTTTGTTGGCCATTTCTCTATCTTCTTTTGAAAATTGTTCATGTCCTTAGCCCACTTTTTGATGGGATTGTTTGCTTTTTTGTTGCTAATTTGCTTGAGTTCCTTGTAGATTCTGGATATTAGTCCTTTGTCGGATGTATAGCTTGCGAAGATTTTCTCCCACTCTGTGGGTTGTCTGTTTACTCTGCTGTTTATATCCTTTTGCTGTGCAGAAGCTCTTTAGTTTAATTAAGTCCCACCTATTTGTCTTTGTTTTTGTTATATTTGCTTTTGGGTTCTTGGTCATGAAGTCTTTGCCTAAGCCAGGGTCTAGAAGGGTTTTTCTGATGTTATCTTTGAGTATTTTTATAGTTTCAGGTTTTATATTTAAGTCCTTGATCCATCTTGAGTTGATTTTTGTATAAGGTGAGAGATAAGGATCCAGTTTCACTCTCCTTTATGTGGCTTGCCAGTTATCCCAACACCATTTGTTCAATAGGGTATCCTTTCCCCGCTTTATGTTTCGTTTGTTGAAGATCAGTTGACTGTAAGTATTTGGGTTTATTTCTGGCTTCTCTCTTCTGTTCCATTGGTCCTGTGCCTATTTAAACCAAAACCCAATGCAATACCACTATACTCCTGCGAGAATGGCCATAATCAAAAAATAAAAAATTAATAGATGGTGCCATGGATGTGGTGAAAAGGCAACACTTATATACTGCTGTTGGGAATGTAAACTAGTACAACCACTTTGGAAAACAGTGTGGAGATTCCTTAAAGAACTAAAAATGGAACTACTATTTGATCCAACAATCCCAATCCTGGGTATCTACCCAGAGGAAAAGAAGTTGCTATACAGAAAAGATAGTTGCACACACATGTTTACAGCAGTACAATTTGCAATTGCAAAAATATGGAACCAGCCCAAATGCCCATCAATCAATAAGTAGATAAATAAATTGTGGCATGCATATATATATATATATATATATATATATATATATATATATATTCCTGAGATACTTCATTATATATTATATATTCCATATATATATATATGTATATATGGAATACTACTCAGCCATAAAAAGGAACTAATGGCATTCACAGCACCTGGATGGAACTGGAGACTATTATTCTAAATGAAGTAACTCAGGAATGGAAAACCAAACATTGTATATTCTCACTCATAAGGGGGAGCTAAGCTATGAGGATGCAAAGGCATAAGAATTATGTAATGGACTTTGGGGACTTGGGGAAAAGGGTGGGAAGGGGGTGAGGGATAAAAGACTACAAATTGGGTTCAGTGTATACTGCTTGCATGATGGGAGCATCATAATCTCACAAATCACCACTAAAAAACTTACTCATGTGACCAAATACCACCTTTCCCCCGCAAAGCCTATGGAAATAAATTTATTTAAAAAGTTACTTCCCTCATACAATTGACGCAGAGGGGACTTCCTTATCATGCTGGCTCCAGGTAAACTGGGCCTCATTGGTTGCTGTGGAAAACTGGCCCATCTCAAAATTCAGTTCATTTACTTGGCACTTAACAGGAGTGATTCCATTTTGGTTTGGTTTTGTCTGCTAAAGTTTAGTGTGGGAGGCTAGTCTAAAACAGTGACTTGCCATAAACTTTAACAAATCAAATCCACTTGCTAAAGGACACTGAAAGATACAAAGTTAAAAAAATACTGTACCTTTGGCTCTTTTCTAGTTATATTAAAACAAAGTACAGCTTAATTCAACAAACTATTTTCAAATTCCCATTAGGTGCCACATACCGATAATATAAAGATTGATAAACTAAAATGATCCTTGCTTTCAAGTATTTGACAATGTTAAGAGTAAACAGTCTTGCACACATGATACATATGAAATAATACAAATCATAGCTATAAACAGGATTTTTAGGGACATAAATTAGAAGAACCACTTCTGTAAGGTGATGTAACATTAACTAGGAGATTGCCAGGAGGGAGAACTGATGGCAAAGGTCATTTCAAGCAGAGATGAAGCAATTATCCTCAACCCCTGCCTGCACCAAAAAGACCCAAAACAATAAGAGAAAAACCCTAAACTAAAAAGAATAAGGGGAAAAACTTAAAGGGCTAATGAATAGAAAAAAGAGAACTTCCCATTATGTTTTAATAGGTTGAAATTATATAAAGCTGGAATGGAAAAGAGCATGAGTTATAAGGTAAAGAGAATAAGTTTCAAGTTCCAATTGTACCTGCTCTGTGTTTCCAGATAAGTCACTCAGTTTTTGTAAGCTTCCTTTTTCTCGTTGCAGTAGATGCTGTTAGTACCCCATCCAGTCCCTTTTTATCTGGATGGTTTATTTACCTATCCCTCACCCATAGTGTTGGTGACTTACAGCTCTCAGTTCTCACTAGTGCCACAGAATTGCCAGGACCTGCCTGCCCAGAAACCCCAGAGATCTTAAGCTTCCCACTTTCCCAGGGGGTAGGTAGGTGACTTGTAGTCAATGACTGGTTGATATAAGGGTATAAGGCCTTGTCTTTGTCTCAATATGTGACATCTCCCTGGTGCCAGTTAGACTCCAGAGCTCACTCTGAGATCAGGTTGAGGCTAGTCTTTAGCTGAACCCACAGTTTTGTTGCCTCATTCACTTCTTTAAATTTTTTACTAAGAGCAGTTCCTCAATCATGTGCACAGAGTTCTTAGGTTTTGCCTCTCAGGGACTTGACCTAACACCCACCCCCACTTTCCCCAGCCCTTTAAAAAATCTGCGATCAGGTATACATAATTTAAAATGTACAGTTTTCACCATTTTAAAGTATACAATTCAGTGGCATTAAGTATATTCCCAATGTTGTGCAACTGTCACCACTATCTCTTTTCAGAACTTTTTCATCAACCCATAGGATAACTCCAAACCCATTAAGCCGTCGCTTCCTATCTTCCAGCCCCTAAGCAGCCACTGGTAACACCAAGGAGTAGAATTATCTCATCATATGGTAATTTAACTCACTGAAGTACTTGCCAGCTGTTTTCCAAAAGGGCCATGTAGTTTTATATTTCTACCAGCAATTTTGAAGTATTAGTATTTTGATTCTCCACATGCTCACCAATGCTTGTTATTTTCCAATTTTATTTTGAGGGTCATTCTAGTGGCTGTGGATACTCTTCTTTCAAATTGAACTAACTCTCCTCTTAACATTATTGTGAGAATCAACTTGTGAGAGAAAACTTTTGGCGTATTACAAAGCACTGTATAGATGCCTTTACTTGTGATGTACGATTCAAACTGAAATCGGATTTAAAAGATTTGTTCTATCTTTGGTTTTATAAGACTTGCATAGAAAGAAAATAATAAAATTCAGTTGTGATTAACTATTGGGCAGTCTAATAGAAGTATACAGTATTAAGCTTTTGGTTGTCCCTTTTTACATTTGAGAGATGTTATTCTTGACATAGTTTCAGTGTAAGAAAAGATAATTGGGGCTCAGTTTCATTTTCAGTGCCTGCTATTAATTAAAGGGCCACTTATGCCAGAATTTCCCATTGATATGTTTTGTTGTGTGTGTGTGTGCACACATATATATATATATTCACATATATAATACGCATATAAAAGTCATGTTATATACTTACCACTAAGAAAAATGACAAAATGTTGGACAATAAAAAGAACATAAAAACATTTTTCCTATAGATAAAAATTTTAAATCAGTCTACTTTTGTATGTATTTGAGATGTATATATATGTACATGATACTGTTAATTAATTAATTTTTTTTTTTTTTTGGCAGAGCCGGGGTCTCACTGTGTTGCCCAGGCTGGTCTGAAACTCCTTGGCTTAAGTGATCTTCCTTCCTCAGCCTCCCCAAAGTGTTGGGATTATAGGCTTGTTAATTTTTTTAGCTACCATTAAAATTTGTTTTCTGAATTGACTAAAAAATCTCTGTAGTGTGATTTTTAATGACTGTGTACAGTATTCCTCCTTGTGGATATTACAGCATTTTCATAAAAAGATAAATAAAATTGAACTTTTACTTATATTACACATTTTTGTGTGTGCATATGAATTAAAATCTCTAATCTTCAATCTTCAGTTAAGATTTCTTTTGTTAAAGGGGACACATATCTTATATTACTGCTTTTGTTTTTAACATAGTCATCAGTTTAAGATCATTACTTCATACAATTCTTTTTTTTTTTTTTGAGGCAGAGTCTTGCTGTGTTGCCCAAGCTGGAGTGCAGTGGCGCAATCTCAGCTTACTGCAACCTCTGCCTCCTGGGTTCAAGTGATCCAAGTAGCTGGGACAACAGGCCCCTGCCATCACATCCGGCTAATTTTTTTTTTTTGTACTTTCAGTAGAGATGGGGTGTCACCATGTTGGCCAGACTGGTTTCGAACTCCTGACCTCAAATGATCCACCTGCCTTGGCCTCCCAAAGTGTTAGGATTATAGGTGTGACCACTGCTCCTGGGCACTTCATGTAATTCTACAAAACATTTTAATTTATTTTGATGTTTTTTAAACTTTGCATTTACGTGGTTTTATGGTTTTTCGTCAAGGATAATTTATTGCCACAGGATTAAAATGGTCCATGTTTTAGAAGCATTAGTTTTATTCTTTGATGAGTAATTAAAAATTTTTAATATAAAAAGACACAGGGATCATTGTGAGATCAAGGTAAAGTTGACAGGAACTTAAAAGATAAATTTGGTTATATACTTTGAAAGGTTTCCTATATTCTAGAGAGTTACTTTAGTGGAGAGGTTTAGTTTGCAATATGGGATATTTTCAGATTTTACCATTCAGTAAATAGAAAAGTAACAATTACATTGGCCAATTTTAGTCATTTTTCTGTCTCATTTGAGCAGATCTGATAACTTTGTATGTTTTACAAAGTGTTGTTTGGATGTTTGAGTTATTGGTCATTAAGAGATAACATTTTAGGGAGGCCAAGACGGATGGATCACGAGGTCAGGAGATCGAGACCGTCCTGACTCCATCTCAAAAAAAAAAAAAGAGATAACATTTTAATGAATATTCTTCATATGTGTTAGGCCCATCTTGGAAGGCTCTTTTCTGATTTTTGTAAATTACTTTTTTGATATGTTACAGGTGGATCAAAGAACAGATATCTAGGAATTAACTGTGATACACCTCCCATTCTCCTCTTGATAACCTACTTTTTTTTTCTTTTAAGTGACAAAAATAATTTTAGTTTTTCCTGATTCTAAAACTTATTCATGCACATTGCTAAAATGTAGAAAACAAAATTTCTTAATGGCACTGTCATCCTTCCAGTCTGTCTTCTGTGTTCGTGTTCCTATTCGTTCTTTGGTCTATAATAATCTTCCTGTCTCTACTTTCTGAAGTCATGATCATTCATTAAATTATCGAAAGTCCTAACTCTTCATAAAACTTCTCAGTGTAGCCTTGTGGAAAAGAGATGAACTTCATTGTGAGAACTGCATGAAGCTGTAAAAAGTTACCAGCTTTGGATTTTGTCAAATTGCATTCCACTCCTGGCTCTACAAATTATCAGCTTGGTGGCCTGAAGCTTGTTATTAAACTTCTGTGTTTTTATGCTTTTTTATCTCTAAAGTAGGCATAATAATCTTTTTATGGATATTGTGAGCATTAAATGAAATAATATGTGTAAAGTACCTAATACAAGGAGCTGATAAGCAATTCATGTTGAATCGTTCATTCAGTAAATACATACTGGATGTCTACTCTGTGCTAAGTTTTCTCTGGGTGATAGGCTGCATAGGGAGCCTAAAGTATTAAAATTTTATATACCATTAGTAATGGGGAGAAGGGAAGTATCTTACTGAACTTCAAGTTCATTATGAACATGTGTGTAACATTGTGTGTGTGTAGTTTGTTAATATGTTAAGTTTTAAAAAGCCTCCAACAATTTATTGGTTCCCAGAAGACAATAAAATGAGCTCAGATTTAAAATAAATGTGTTAGCATATTTATAGTAATCCTTCTAAACTTGCATTTCTGCCAACCTGTCTTGGAACTTCAGTGACAGAGGGACTCCTAGTGTTTAAAATATTTTATGTAATTTTTGTATAACACAAACCTTTAAACACAAACCAACTATTTTATCTAGAAGTACAAAAAAGACAGTGATCTGACACACTGGTGAAGGAAAATCTAGCTTTGTTATGCCTATGAGACAGTACTATTCTGCACTTTATTAAAAACTTAAGGGACTTTGTATAGGATAACTCTGAATACAGTTGATTTCCTCTTTTCCTTATAAATCTGCACCTAAGACAAAAGTCTACTATAGAGAATTTTAGTTAACAATGACAGGTAGATAGATATCCCTTCCTCTAAAATTTTTCTTGTATAATGGTTGAGTTAAACTTCATGATGTCTGAAACCTGGCTTTACTATTTGCTCTGTAATGGGGGATGAAGCACATCATTTTTTTTTCCTTTTTTTTTTTTTTAAATTTATTTCCGTAGGTTATTGGGGTACAGGTGGTGTTTGGTTACATGAATAAGTTCTTTAGTGGTGATTTGTGAGATTTTGGTGTACTCATCACCTGAGCAGATTACGCTATACATTTGTAGTCCTTCCTTTTTTTTTTTTTCTTGAGACAGAATCTCACTCTGTCAGCCAGGCTGGAATGCAGAGTGCAGTGGCATGATCTCCACGGGGCACAGGTGGTGTTTGGTTACATGAATAAGTTCTTTAGTGGTGATTTGTGAGATTTTGGTGCACCCATCACCTGAGCAGAATACGCTGCACCCTATTTGTAATTTTTTTTTTTTTTTTTTTTTTTTTTGAGACAGAGTCTTACTCTGTTGGCCAGGCTGGAGTGCAGTGGCACGATCTCAGCTCACTGCAACCTCCGTGTCCCGGGTTCAAGTGCTTCTCCTGCCTCAGCCTCCCGAGTAGCTGGGATTACAGGCATGTGCCACCACGCCTCGCTAATTTTTATATTTTTAGTAGAGACGGGGTTTCACCGTGTTGGCCAGGCTAGTCTCAAACTCCTGGCCTCAGGTAATCTGCCCACCTTGCCCTCCCAAAGTGCTGGGATTACAGGCATGAGTCATCACACCTGGCACTGTTCGTAGTCTTTTATCCCTAACCCCCTTCCCACCCTTTCCCCCTGAGTCCCCAAAGTCCATTGTGTCATTCTTATGCCTTTGCATTCTCATAGCTTAGCTCCCACTTATTAGTGAGAAAATAACGATGTTTGGTTTTCTATTCCTGCATTACTTCACTTAGAGTAATAGTCTCTAGTCTCATTCAGGTAGCTGTGAATGCCATTAGTTCATTCGTTTTTATGGTTGAGTAGTGTTGCATTGTGTGTGTGTGTGTGTGTGTGTGTGTGTAGTATGTGTATGTATATATGTATGTATATGTGTGTATGTATATGTATATGTGTGTATATATACTTATATATATATCACAATTTCCTTATCCATTCGTTGATTGATGGGCATCTGGGTTGATTCCATGTTTTTGCAGTTGCGAATTGTGCTGCTATAAACGTGTGTGCAAGTATCTTTTCCTATGACTTTTTTTTCCTCTGGGTAGATACCCAGGATTGGGATTGCTGGATCAAATGGTAGTTCTACTTTTAGTTCTTTAAAGAATCTCCGTACCATTTTCCATAGTGGTTTTACTAGTTTGTACTCCCACCAGCAGTGTAGAAGTGTTGCCTGTTTAGTGCATCCATGCCAACATTTACCCAGTTTTTGTTTTTTGATTATGGCCATTCTTGCAGGATTTGGTGGTATTGATCATTAGTGATGTTGAGCATTTTTTCATATGTTTGTTGGCCATTTGCATATCTTCTTTTGAGAATTGTCTGTTCCTGTCCTTAGCCCACTTTTTGATGGGATTGTTTTTTTCTTGTTGATTTCTGTGAGTTCATTGTAGATTTTGGGTATTAGACCTTTGTCAGATGTATAGATTGTGAAGATTTTCTCTCACTTTGTAGGTTGTCTGTTGACTCTGCTGTTTTTTTTTTTTTTTTTTTTTTTTTTTTTTGCTGTGCAAAAGCTCTTTCGTTTAATTAAGTCCCAGAAATTTATCTTTGTTCTTATTGCATTTGTTTTTAGGTTATTGGTCATGAAATCCTTGCCTAAGCCAATGTCTAGAAAGGTTTTTCCAATGTTACCTTCTGGAACTTTTATAGTTTCAGGTCTTAAATTTAAGTCCTTAATCCATCTTGAGTTGATTTTTGTATACAGAGAGAGATGAAGATTGAGTTTCATTCTCCTACATGTGGCTAGCCTAGTATCCCAGCACCATTTGTTGAAAAGTGTTCCCAATTTATGTTTTGTTTGTTTGTTTTTTTCAAAGATCAGTTGGCTGTAAGTGTTTAGGTTTATTTCTGGGTTCTCTATTCCATTGGTCTATGTGCCTGTTTTTCTACCAGTACCACGCTGTTTTGGTGACTATAGCCTAATAGTATAGTTTGAAATCAGGTAATGTGATGCCTCCAGGTTTATTCTTTTTGCTTAGTCTTGCTTTGTCTATGTGGGCTCTTTTTTGCTTCCATATGAATTTTAGAATTGTTTTTCTCTAATTCAGTGACGAATGATGGTGGTATTTTCATGGGAATTGCATTGGTGAATTTGTAGATTGCTTTTGGCAGTATGGTCATTTTCACCATATTGATTCTACCCATCCATTAGGATGGGATGTGTTTCCATTTGTTTGTGTTGTCTGGGATTTCTTTCAGCAGTGTTTTGTAGTTTCCCTTGTAGAGGTCTTTCACCTCCTTGGTTAGGTATATTCCTAAGTTGTTTTTTTTTTTTTTTTTTTTTTTTTTTTTTGCAGCTATTGTAAAAGGGGTTGATTCTTGATTTGATTCTCAACCTGGTCACTGTTGGTGTACAGAAGAGGTGCTGATTAGTGTACAATAATTTTGTGTCCGGGAACTTTGCTGAATTCTTTTATCAGTTCCAGGAGCTTTCTGGAGGAGGCTTTAGGGTTTTCTAGGTAAACAATCATATCAGCAAACAGCAACAGTTTGACTTCCTCTTTACTGATGTGGATGCCCTTTATCTCTTTCTCTTGTCAGATAGCTCTGGCTAGGACTTTCAGTACTGTGCTGAAGGGGAGTAGTGAAAGCTAGCAGCCTTGTATTGTTCCTGTTCTCAGAGGGAATGCTTTCAACTTTTCCCCATTCAGTATTATGTTGGCTGTGGGTTTGTCATAGATGGCTTTTATTATATTGAGGTATATCCCTTGTATGCTGATTTTGCCAAGAGTTTTAATCATAAAGTGATGCTGGATTTTGTTGAATGCTTTTTCTGCTTCTATTGAGATGATCATGTGATTTTTAATTCTGTTTATGTGGTGTATCACATTTATTAACTTGTGTATGTTAAACCATCCCTGTATCCCTGGTATGAAACCCACTTGAACATAGTGAATTGTCTTTTTGATATATTGTGGATTTGGTTAGCAAGTATTTTGTTAAGGATTTTAGTATCTGTGTTCATCAGGGTTATTGGTCTGTAGTTTTCTTTTTTTGGTTATGTCCTTTCCTGGTTTTAGTATTAGCGTGATAATGGCTTCATAGAATGATTTAGGGAGGGTTCCCTCTTTCTCTATCTTGTAGAATAGTGTCAATAAGATTGGTACCAATTCTTTCAGTGTCTGGTAGAATTCTGCTGTGAATCCATCTGGTCCTGGACTTTTTTTTTGATAGTAATTTTTAAATTACCATTTCAGTCTCACTACTTGTTATTGGTCAGTTCAGGGTATCTAATTTATCCTGATTTAAGCTAGGAAGGTTGTATCTTTTCAAGAATTTATCCATTTCTTCTAGGTTTTCTAGTCTGTGGATGTAAAGGTCTTCATAGTAGCCTTGAAGGGTCTTTTGTATTTCTTTGGCGTCAGTTGTAATTTCACATGTATTGTTTCTCACTGAGCTTATATCGATTTTCTCTCTTCTTTTCTTAGTTAATCTTGTTAATGGTCTCTCAGGTTTATCATTTGAAAGAACCAGCTTTTTGTTTCATTTATCTTTTGTATTTTTTTTTTGATTGTTTCAGTTTCGTTTAGTTCTGCTCTGATCTTGGTTATTTACTTTCTTCTGCAAGGCTTGGGTTTGGTTTGTTCTTGTTTCTCTGGTTCCTTGAGGTGTGACCTTAGATTGTCTGTCTGTGCTCTTTCAGACTTTTTGATGTTGGTGTTTAGGGCTATGAGCTTTCCTCTAAGCACTGCCTTTGCTGTGTCCCAGAGGTTTTGATAGGTTGTGTCACTATTGTCATTCAGTTCAAAGAATTTTTTAAATTCCATTTTGATTTCATTTTTGACCCACTGATTATTCAGGAGCAGGTTGTTTAATTTCCATGTATTTGCGTGGCTTTGGAGGTTCCTTTTGGGGTTGATTTCCAGTTTTATCCCACTGTGGTTTGAAAGAGTGCTTGATATAATTTCAGTTTTCTTAAATTTATTGAGGCTCATTTTGTGCCCCATTGTGTGGTCTGTCTTGGAGAAAGTTCCACACCTTGTTGAATAGAATGTATATTCTGTGGTTGTTGGATGGAATGTTCTGTATATATCTGCTAAGTTCATTTGTTCCAAGGTATAGTTTAAATCCATTGTTTCTTTGTTGACTTTCTGTCTTAATGACCTATCTACTGCTGTCAGTGGAGTATTGAAGTCCCCCACTATTATTGTGTTGCTGTCTATCTCATTTCTTAGGTCTGTTAGTAATTGTTTTATAAATTTGGGAACTCCAGTGTCAGGTGCATGTATTTTTAGGATTGTGATATTTTCCTGTTGGACAAGGCCTTTTATCATTATATAATGTCCCTCCTTGTCTTTTTTAACTGCTGTTGCTTTAAAGTTTCTTTTGTCTGGTATAAGAATAGCTACTCCTGCTTGCTTTTGGTGTCCTTTTGCATAAAATGTCTTTTTCCACCCCTCTGCCTTAAGTTTGTGTGAGTCTTTATATGTTAGCTAGGTGAGTCTCCTGAAGGCAGCAGATAATTGGTTGGTGGATACGTATCCATTCTGCATTTCTGTATCTTCTAAGTGGAACATTTAGGCCATTTACATTCAATATTAGTATTGAGATGTGAGGTACCATTTTATTCACCATGGTATTCGTTGCCTGTATACATTAGATTTTGTTTTTGTTTTTTAAATTGTATTTTTGTTTTTGTTTTTTAAAATTGTATTTTTGTTTTATAGGTCCTGTGAGATTTATGCTTTAAAGTGGTTCTATTTTGATGTGCTTCCAGGATTTATTTCAAGATTTAGAGCTCCTTTTAGCAGCTCGTGTAGTGGTGGCTTGGTAGTGGCGAATTCTCTCGGCATTTGTTTGTCTGAAAAAGACTGTATCTTTCTTTCATATATGAAGCTTAGTTTCACTGGATACAAAATGCTTGACAAAAATCATTTTGTTTGAGGAGACTGAAGATAGGGCCCCAATCCCTCCTAGCTTGTAGGGTTTCTGCTTAGGTATCTGCTGTTAATCTGATAGGTGTTCCTTTGTAGGTTACCTGGTGCTTTTTTCTCACAGGTCTTAAAATTCTTTCCTTCATCTTAACTTTAGATAACCTGATGTCAGTGTGCCTAGGCAGTAATCTTTTTGTGATGAATTTTGCAGGTGTTCCTTTTGCTTCTTCTATTTGGATGTCTAGGTCTCTAGCAAGGTCAGGGAAGTTTTCCTCGATTATTCCCCCAAGTATGTTTTCCAAACTTTTCAATTTCTCTTCTTCCTTGGGGACACCGATTATTCTTAGATTTGGTTGTTTAACATAAGCCCAGACTGTTTGGAGCCTTTGTTCGTATTTTCTGATTTTTTTGGTCTTTGTTGGAGTTTGTGAATTAGAAGACCTTGTCTTCAAGCTCTGAATTTTTCTTCTACTTTTTCAGTTTTATTGCTGAGACTTTCCAGAGCATTTTGCGTTTCTATGAGTGTCCATTGTTTTCTGAAGTTTTGATTGTTTTTTATTTATACTGTTTCCCTGAATATTTCTTCCTTCACTTCGTGTAATATTTTTTGGATTTCCTTACATTGTGGCCACCTTTCTCTGGTGTCTCCCCTATTAGCTTAATAACTATCCTCCTGAATTGTTTTTCAGGTACATCAGGGATTTCTTCTTGGTTTGGTTCCATTGCTGGTGAGCCAGTGTGTGATTTTGGGGGGTGTTAAAGAACCTTGTTTTGTCATATTACCAGAGTTGGTTTTCTGGTTCCTTCTCATTTGGTTCCTTCTCTCTGTCAGAGGAAAGGTCTAGCGCTAAAGGCTGTTGTTCAGATTCTTTTGTCCCATGAGGTGTTCCCTTGATGTAGTACTCTCCCCCTTTTCCCATGGATGTGGCTTCCTGGGAGCCGAGTTGTAGTGATTATCTCTCTTCTGGATCTAGCCACCCAGCAAGTCTACCAGGCTCTGGGCTGGTATTGCAGGTTGTCTGCAGAGTCCTGTGATGTGAACCATCTGTGAGTCTCTCAGCTGTGTATACCAGCACAGTATTTGGGGTGTCTCCAGGGTCTTGCAGGAGGAATCTGCTTCCTTCAGGGGGTCTGTGGGTCCTTTCAGGTTTCCTGATTTATTCCTGCAGTCGTTCTGGAGCAAAAATTCATGATGCGAGCCTCCACATGCTGCTCTGTCCATCCGAGTTAGAGCTGCAGTCTAGTCCTGCCTCCTGTCTGCCATGATCCATCCATTTTCTTGGGCCTCAGATTCCTCATTTGTGAAATGAGACTAGAAAAGCCTCTGGCTCCATAGGCTTATGTGATACAATACTGTGGGATACTTAGTACATAGAGTAAGTCCTCAGTGTTAGCTACTGTTATCATGTGACACTACAAACAATAGTTTAGAAATAATTCGGAATTGGATAGACCTGATACCTGGTCTAACTCTGCTTTTAGCTTTGAATGAGAGTTTCAGCCACTTCTTTGGACTTAGTTTTTAGTTTTTTAAAAATATTTTTAAAAGAGAGATCATAAGGCCCAACTTACGGGATTTTTGTTGATGTTTAAAGGAGTATATAGTTAAAACAGTGCCCAGAAGAGTAAATACAAAATAAATGCTAGATTTCTCTTCCATTCCACTCCCTACCCTCTGCTTTTTTTTTTTTTTTTTGATCATCCATGCCCTGATCTTTTTCCAGAAGAGATTCACTTAATCCTATGACAGTGCAGTTCAGACCTGACTGGAGTACTACAAATGTAGTTTGATCTGTGCCTGGTAGATAATTTAAATTGACCAACTCCAAGGTAGTTATATGTTAAGTCAGCATTTGTCTTCCTTTTTGTTCACAAATAAAAGCAAGAGCCTTTTTACTTTCCAAATGATTTTAAAATTTAGATTGAATTTGTCCAAAGGAAGAAAAATATATTTAATTTTTTTTTCTTTTTTTGAGACGGGGTCTCACTCTGTTGCCCAGGTTGGAGTGCAGTGGCATGATCATGGCTTACTGCAGTCTTGAACTCCTGGACTTAAGCGATTGCCCCACCTCAGGCTTGTCAGTAGCTGGGACTACAGGTGTGTGTCACCACGCCTGACTAACTTTTTAAAATTTTTGTAAAGATGGCATCTCTGTTGCCCATGCTGGTCCTGAACTCCTGGGCTCAAGCAGTCCTCCTGCGTCAGCCTCCAACATGCTAGGTGACTATAGGTGTGAACCATTGCACCAGGACTTTAATATTTTTGTTAAGAAATTGTTGCTGTTAAAAACAATCATAATTCAGTCTCCTCTGTACTAGTGTTACCAGCTGACGTACCATTTTTTGTTTAAAATCTAAACAGCAAGCATATTTAGTAAATATCTCATCCTTACCTGTGAAACTTATAGCATATGACGTAACAGAGGTATGACTGATGGATGTTTTCTCGTGTTTACTTATTCCTTTTTGAGGAACTGAAGAGCAATAATGGTTTATGCATAAGTATTTTCTAAAAAGCCTATGTGTTAATATATTATCTGACCTCTCAAGTTATTCAGATGATATCTCTTTAATATGCCACTAAGAATGGAAGGAGAGTGGCTCAGGGAAGATAAGACAAAAACTTTTCATGTTATTATTTTTTAAATTATGAATTACTTTAAAGATACAGTGAATTACTGAGAAATCCTCAGATTTCCACTTCCTCAATATTTTATTTGATAAAAGAAAGGTGGATGGTGGCTTTCTATTTCCTCAGTAATACTCTGTATCTTTATAGTACTTTATAATTTCAAAAATGAGTGAGAAGCAGTTTGTCATTAGAATTTATTAATATCTTATTTTGGCTCTTCTTACGGTTCTTTTTTATTTATAATACATGATTCTGGATTTTTTTATGGTAGGGATATAAAAATTCCCTTTAAAATTAATTTTAGTAACAATTTAACAACATAAAGGGTTGATAATTTGAAAAAATACTTGAAGAAAATATTAAGCAAATAAGAGTGCAATAGTATGCTGATATGCAAGATGGTTAAACATGGAATATGAAAAACACATTAGAAAGAACCATGTTTTAAGATACAGTTTCTTATTAAAAGAAATGTGTTACTAATCCTGGCCCGATGCTGAGAGTAGAGAGAAATAGCTCCTATGGATCCTATATTAGAGGACACTGTATAATGTTTGTCACCTGTATCAAATGTAGAATGTGTATATAGGACCTCGTCTCATGTAATTCTTTAAAACTGAGTCAGTGGAAGGGAGAGAAGATAAGTGGAAAGATGGATCAATGGACAGAGGATGGGCAAAAAGTTCTCTCTTTTTCTTTCTTTTAAATGTCTTTTGTGAAAACTGTCAGAAAAAGTTGTGTTCTTTATAATGGTAATGGTTTGTCTTTATCAAACGGTGAATATTTAGAATATATTAAAGTATCCCACAGTGTGATTATTGCAAGGAATTAATGAATTTATAAACAGTACTCAGAACATTGCATGTAGACTGAAAAATGCTTTGCTATATATATATATATATATATACATATATATATATACACATATATATATATACATATATATATATATATACATATATATATATATATACACACACACACACACATTGTATCTCTTATTGTGTGTAAATACTGTGATTAATAAAGTACAAATACATTTTAAAACATTATTGAATTTATAATAATTTTGCCATCTATATTCTAAATCAGCATTGCATAGTTATTATGTTTGAATATGTGATTTTTTTGTGTTAAAGAAATTACCTTCTGACTTAAAATGGCAGGAAACCACTGTTACTGATTCAAAAACTATCCTTAAGTCTCTTAATAAATACCGTTATTTATGCTTCTCAGTTATAATCCCTAAAAGATACATTAGTTTCAGCCCTTTTTAGTTGTCAGTTAAGTATTGAGTTATGTTTGAGGTTGAGGTGGAATGGATTTGATATCATATTGTGAAAGGTGAGTAGCAGAAGGTGGCTTTGGCACATAAAAGATGTCAACTCAGAAACTACCTGATGGCTGCTCTAGGATTCTCTTTAGAAAATAGTATTAGGTAAGTTCTAGTAAGAAATAGGTGCATCAAGCCTTATAATTTCATAAAATACATGAATGGCTGTCACGTTAACCTGGAAACTTTAAAGGCAAATATAACAATTAGCTGTTCTCAGCTACAGAAGTAAAATTTTAGGAAAGGAATGTGCAGCAGATCTCATTTTCAAAAAGTTACAAAATAACACGAAGAACTAAGTGTGGTAAGTTGCTTTAAGTAATTTTTAGGATAAGTCTGTTACAGTTCGGAAGTTGCAGTTATTTTTGGAAACTATTGAAATTGATTAATGGTCTTGTGCTTTTCAAAATTGTAGTGATACATTAAATTTACCATTTGCACTATTTTTAAGTGTAGAGTTCATTGGCATTAAGTACCTTGACATTGCATAATCATTACACCTATTCATCTCCAGAACTTTTTCATCTTCCTAAACTGAAATTTGGCAACCATTAAACAATAACTGCTCCTTCCCCCATCCTCCCAGTCCCTGGCAAACAGCATTCTACTGTTTCTTTCTTTGAATTGGACCATACAAATTATATGAGGTCACTCCTATAAGTAGAATCATGCAATATTCATCCTTTGGTGACTGGTTTATTTCACTAAACAACCTTCATGGTTCATCCGTATTGTAGTGTGTTACAGAATTTCCTTTCTTTTTAAGGCTAAATGCCTTATATGGATATACAGCATTTTGTTTATCAGTTTATCTGCTGAGGGACAGTTGGATTTGTTGACCTTTTGGCTATTGTGAATAATGGTGTTATGAACATCAGAGTACCGATATCAGCCATTCACTCATGTTATAATTTTTTATATTTTTTATTTTTTATTTTTTATTTTTATTATACTTTAAGTTTTAGGGTACATGTGCACAATGTGCAGGTTTGTTACATATGTATACATGTGCCATGTTGGTGTGCTGCACCATTAACTCGTCATTTAACATTAGGTATATCTCCTAATGCTATCCCTCCCCTCTCCTCCGACCCCACAACAGGCTCCGGTGTGTGATGTTCCCCTTCCTGTGTCCATGTGTTCTCATTGTTCAGTTCCCACCTATGAGTGAGAACATGTGGTGTTTGGTTTTTTCTCCTTGTGATAGTTTGCTGAGAATGATGGTTTCCAGCTTCATCCATGCCCCTACAAAGGACATGAACTCATCATTTTTTAGGGCTGCATAGTATTCCATGGTGTGTATGTGCCACATTTTCTTAATCCAGTCTATCATTGATGGACATTTGGCTTGGTTCCTAGTCTTTGCTATTGTGAATAGTGCTGCAATAAACATACGTGTGCATGTGTCTTTATAGCAGCATGTTTTATAATCCTTTGGGTATATACCCAGTAATGGGATGGCTGGGTCAAATGGTATTTCCAGTTCAAGATCCCTGAGGAATCGCCACACTGACTTCCACAATGGTTGAACTAGTTTACAGTCCCACCAACAGTGTAAAAGTGTTCCTATTTCTCCACATCCTCTCCAGCACCTGTTGTTTCCTCAGTTTTTAATGATCGCCATTCTAACTGGTGTGAGTTGGTATCTCATTGTCGTTTTGATTTGCATTTCTCTGCTGGCCAGTGATGATGAGCATTTTTTCACGTGTCTTTTGGTTGCATAAATGTCTTCTTTTGAGAAGTGTCTGTTCATATCCTTTGCCCACTTTTTGATGGGGTTGTTTTTTCTTGTAAATTTGTTTGAGTTCATTGTAGATTCTAGATATTCGCCCTTTGTCAGATGAGTAGATTGCAAAAATTTTTTCCCATTCTGTAGGTTGCCTGTTCACTCTGATGGTAGATTCTTTTGTTGTGCAGAAGCTCTTTAGTTTAATTAGATCCCATTTCTCAATTTTGGCTTCTGTTGCCATTGCTTTTGGTGTTTTAGACATGAAGTCCTGGCCCATGCCTATGTCCTGAATGGTATTGCCTAGGTTTTCTTCTAGGGTTTTTATGGTTTTAGGGCTAACATTTAAGTCTTTAATCCATCTTGAATTAATTTTTGTATAAGGTGTAAGGAAGGGATCCAGTTTCAGCTTTCTACATATGGCTAGCCAGTTTTCCCAGCACCATTTATTAAATAGGGAATCCTTTCCCCATTTCTTGTTTTTGTCACGTTTGTCAAAGATCAGATAGTTGTAGATACGTGGCATTATTTCTGAGGGCTCTGTTCTTTTCCATTGGTCTATATCCTCTGTTTTGGTACCAGTACCATTCTGTTTTGGTTACTGTCACCTTGTAGTATAGTTTGAAGTCAGGTAGTGTGATGCCTTCAGCTTTGTTCTTTTGGGCTTAGGATTGACTTGGCAATGCAGGCTCTTTTTTGGTTCCATATGAACTTTAAAGTAGTTTTTTCCAATTCTGTGAAGAAAGTCATTGGTAGCTTGATGGGGATGGCATTGAATCTATAAATTATCTTGGGCAGTATGGCCATTTTCACGATATTAATTCTTCCTACCCATGAGCATGGAATGTTCTTCCATTTGTTTGTATCCTCTTTTATTTCATTGAGCAGTGGTTTGTAGTTCTCCTTGAAGAGGTCCTTCACGTCCCTTGTAAGTTGGATTCCTAGGTATTTTATTCTCTTTGAAGCAATTGTGAATGGGAGTTCACTCACGATTTGGCTCTCTGTTTGTCTGTTATTGGTGTATAAGAATGCTTGTGATTTTTGCACATTGATTTTGTATCCTGAGACTTTGCTGCAGTTGACAATCAGCTTAAGGAGATTTTGGGCTGAGACGGTGGGGTTTTCTAGATATACAATCATGTCATCTGCAGACAGGGACAATTTGACTTCCTCTTTTCCTAATTGAATACCCTTTATTTCCTTCTCCTGCCTGATTGCCCTGGCCAGAACTTCCAACACTATGTTGAATAGGAGTGGTGAGAGAGGGCATCCCTGTCTTGTGCCAGTTTTCAAAGGGAATGCTTCCAGTTTTTGCCCATTCAGTATGATATTGGCTGTGGGTTTGTCATAGATAGCTCTTATTATTTTGAGATATGTCCCATCAATACCTAATTTATTGAGAGTTTTTAGCATGAAGGGCTGTTGAATTTTCTCAGAGGCCTTTTCTGCATCTATTGAGATAATCGTGTGGTTTTTGTCTTTGGTTCTGTTTATATGCTGGATTACATTTATTGATTTGTGTATGTTGAACCAGCCTTCCATCCCAGGGATGAAGCCCACTTGATCATGGTGGATAAGCTTTTTGATGCACTGCTGAATTCGGTTTGCCAGTATTTTGTTGTATTTTTGTATCGATGTTCATCAGAGATATTGGTCTAAACTTCTCTTTTTTTGTTGTGTCTCTGCTAGTCTTTGGTATCAGGATGATGCTGGCCTCATAAAATGAGTTAGGGAGGATTCCCTCTTTTTCTGTTGATTGGAATAGTTTCAGAAGGAATGGTACCAGCTCTTCCTTGTAACTCTGGTAGAATTTGGCTGTGAATCCCTCTGGTACTGGACTTTTTTTGGTTGGTAAGCTATTAATTATTGCCTCTATTTCAGAGCCTGTTATTGGTCTATTCAGAGATTCAACTTCTTCCTCGTTTAGTCTTGGGAGGGTGTATGTGTTAAGGAATTTATCCATTTCTTCTAGATTTTCTAGTTTATTTGCGTAGAGGTGTTTATAGTATTCTCTGATGATAGTTTGTATTTCTGTGGGATCAGTGGTGATATCCCCTTTATCATTTTTTATTGCATGTATTTGATTCCTCTCACTTCTTCTTTATTAGTCTTGGTAGCGGTCTGTCAATTTTGTTGATGTTTTCAAAAAAAACCAGCTCCTGGATTCACTGATTTTCTGAAGGGTTTTTTGTGTTTCTATTTCCTTCAGTTCTGCTCTGATCTTAGTTATTTCTTGCCTTCTGCTAGCTTTTGAATGTGTTTGCTCTTGCTTCTCCAGTTGTTTTAATTATGATGTTAGGGTGTCAATTTTAGATCTTTCCTGCTTTCTCTTGTGGGCATGTAGTGCTCTAAATTTCCCTCTACACACTGCTTTGAATGTGTCCCAGAGATTCTGGTACATTGTGTCTTTGTTCTCGTTGGTTTCAAAGAACATCTTTATTTCTGTTTTCATTTCATATTTCATTATGTACCCAGTAGTCATTCAGGAGCAGGTTGTTCCGTTTACATGTAATTGAGCAGTTCTGAGTGAGTTTCTTAATCCTGAGTTCTAGTTTGATTTCACTGTGGTCTGAGAGACAGTTTGTTATAATTTCTGTTCTTTTACATTTGCTGAGGAGTACTTTACTTCCAACTATGTGGTCAGTTTTGGGATAGGTGTGGTGTGGTGCTGAAAAGAATGTATATTCTGTTGATTTGGGGTGGAGAGTTCTGTAGATGTCTATTATGTCTGTTTGGTGAAAAGCTGAGTTCAATTCCTGGGTATCCTTGTTAACTTTCTGTCTCGTTGGTCTGTCTAGTGTTGACAGTGGGGTGTTAAAGTCTCCCATTATTATCGTGTGGGAGTCTAAGTCTCTTTGTAGGTCTCTGAGGACTTGCTTTATGAATCTGGGTGCTCCTGTATTGGGTGCATATGTATTTAGGATAGTTAGCTCTTCTTGTTGAATTGATCCCTTTACCATTATGTAATGGCCTTCTTTGTCTCTTTTGACCTTTGTTGGTTTAAAGTCTGTTTTATCAGATACTAGGATTGCAACCCCTGCCTTTTTTTGTTTTCCATTTGCTTGGTAGATCTTCCTCCATCCCTTTATTTTGATCCTATGTATGTCTCTGCACGTGAGGTGGGTTTCCTGAATACAGCACACTGATGGGTCTTGACTTTTTATCCAGTTTGGCAGTGTGTGTCTTTTAATTGGAGCCTTTAGCCCATTTACATTTAAGGTTAATATTGTTATGTGTGAATTTGATCCTGTCATTATGATGTTAGCTGGTTATTTTGCTCGTTAGTTGATGCAGTTTTTTCCTAGCCTCGATGGTCTTTACAATTTGGCATGTTTTTGCAGTGGCTGGTACTGGTTGTTCCTTTCCATGTTTAGTGCTTCCTTCAGGAGCTCTTTTAGGGCAGGCCTGGTGGTGACAAAATCTCTCAGCATTTGCTTGCCTGTAAAGTATTTTATTTCTCCTTCACTTATGAAGCTTAGTTTGGCTGGATATGAAATTCTGGGTTAAAAATTCTTTTCCTTAAGAATGTTGAATGTTGGCCCCCACTCTCTTCTGGCTTGTAGAGTTTCTGCTGAGAGATCAGCCGTTAGTCTGATGGGCTTCCGTTAG
Source organism: Homo sapiens (assembly GCF_000001405.40). Lineage (NCBI taxonomy): Eukaryota > Metazoa > Chordata > Mammalia > Primates > Hominidae > Homo > Homo sapiens. Next base: position 45,282,852 of record NC_000006.12, on the reverse strand, counting down.
TGGGTAACTTGACCTTTCTCTCTGGCTGCCCTTAACATTATTTCCTTTATTTCAACTTTGGTGAATCTGACAATTATGTGTCTTGGAGTTGCTCTTCTCGAGGAGTATCTTTGTGGCGTTCTCTGTATTTCCTGACTTTGCATGTTGGCCTGCCTTGCTAGATTGGGGAAGTTCTTCTGGATAATATCCTGCAGAGTGTTTTCCAACTTGGTTCCATTCTGCCCGTCACTTTCAGGTACACCAATCAGATGTAGATTTGGTCTTTTCACATAGTCCCATATTTCTTGGAGGCTTTGTTTGTTTCTTTTTATTCTTTTTTTCGAAACTTCTCTTCTCACTTCATTTCATTCATTTGATCTTCCATCACTGATACCCTTTCTTCCAGTTGATCGAATCGGCTACTGAAGCTTGTGCATTTGTCACGTAGTTCTCGTGCCATGGTTTTCAGCTCCATCAGGTCCTTTAAGGACTTCTCTGCATTGGTTATTCTAGTTAGCCATTCGTCTAATTTTTTTTTCAAGGTTTTTAACTTCTTTGCGAAGCGTTCGAACCTCCTTTAGCTCGGATTAGTTTGATTGTCTGAAACCTTCTTCTCTCAACTTGTCAAAGTCATTCTCCATCCAGCTTTGCTCTGTTGCTGGTGAGGAGCTGCGTTCCTTTAGAGGAGGAGAGGTGCTCTGATTTTTAGAATTTCCAGTTTTTCTGCTCTGTTTTTTCCCCATTTTTGTGGTTTTATCTACCTTTGGTCTTTGATGATAGTGACGTACAGATGGGCTTTTGTTGTGGATGTCCTTTCTGTTTGTTAGTTTTCCTTCTAACAGTCAGGACCCTCAGCTGCAGGTCTGTTGGAGTTTGCTGGATGTCCACTCTAGACCCTGTTTGCCTGGGTATCAGCAGTGGATGCTGCAGAACAGCAGATATTGGTGAGCAGCAAATGTTGTTGCCTGATCGTTCCTCTGGAAGTTTTGTCTCAGAGGGGTACCCGGCCATGTGAGGTGTCAGTCTGCCCCTACTGGGGGGTGCCTCCCAGTTAGGCTATTCGGGTATCAGGGACCCACTTGAGGAGGCAGTCTGTCTGTTCTCAGATCTCCAGCTGGGTGCTGGGAGAACCACTCTCTTCAAAGCTGTCAGACAGGGACATTTAAGTGTGCAGAGGTTTCTGCTGCCTATTGTTTGGCTATGCCCTGCCCCCAGAGGTGGAGTCTACAGAGGCAGGCAGGCCTCCTTGAGCTGTGCTGGGCTCCATCCAGTTTGAGCTTCCCGGCTGCTTTGTTTAGCTACTCAAGCGTCGGCAATGGTGGGCGCCCCTCCCCCAACCTCGCTGCCACCTTGCAGTTTGATCTCAGACTGCTGTGCTAGCAATGAGCGAGGCTTTGTGGGCACAGGACCCTCTGAGCCAGGCACGGGATATAATCTCCTGGTGTGCCATTTGCTAAGACCATTGGAAAAGCGCAGTATTAGGGTGGGAATGACCCGATTTTCCAGGTGCTGTCTGTCACCCCTTTCTTTGACTAGGAAATGGAATTCCCTGACCCCTTGCGCTTCGCGGGTGATGCGATGCCTTGCCCTACTTCGATTTATGCTTGGTGCGCTGCACCCACTGTCCTGTCCCCACTGTCTGACAGTCCACAGTGAGATGAACCGGTACCTCAGTTGGAAATGCAGAAATCACCCGTCTTCTGCATTGCTCATGCTGGGAGCTGTAGACTGGAGCTGTTCCTATTCGGCCATCTTGTCTCCACCCCTCATAAATTTTTAAAGATATTAAAAACTAAAACAGTCTTTTATAAGTTGCTTAATTTGAAATGAGCTATCTCAGTTAATTACTATTACTTTGAAAAACAAATAATCTACATCTGGTTACATCGAAGTGCAGTTTTCCCCCTTTATTTTTGTTAGCTATTTTTAATTGTATGTTTTTTATGGACATTACAGATGTTAATGGCAATTACTCAACCATTTTAGGAAGTTTTAAATATTTAGGAATGTTTAACCACTCTGTTGTTATAGAACATGTTATATTTTTAAATAGGAGAAATAAAGTTGATAAGGCATAAACTATTCTTAATAATTTGCCCATATATTTTATCCCATGGTTACCACTCTAGGTGAAGCCACTAGGAGTTCTGTAGTTGGTTTCCTCTTATCCACAATAGACCTTTTATTACCAGTTCATGTTACAAGGGGAGTAATTAATAATAATCCTCACGTGTTCTGAATATATTGAAAAGAGACAGAAGATAGACAAATGATAATCAAAGTATAAACCTTTTTTTCTTTTTCTGTTTTTTAATGATAAGCTGATTGGAAAATGTGGTTCTGTATCTATACCTAAGAGGTTTTTTTTGTTGTTTTTTGGTTTTGTTTTATTTTTGAGATTTTGCAGTGGCATGATCTTGGCTCACCATAACCTCCACTTCCTGGATTCAAGTAGTTCTCCTGTGTCAGCCCCCCGAGTAGCTGGGATTACAGGCATGTGCTATGTTTCCTGGCTAACTTTTTTTTGTATTTTTAGTAGAGACAGGGTTTCACCATGTTGGCCAGGCTGGTCTCAAAATCCTAACCTCAAGTGATACACCCACCTCAGCCTTCCAAAATGATGGGATTACAGGTGTGAGCCACGACACCTGGCCTATACCTAAAAGTTTGTGCTCACATTCTTGGTGTACCCTCATTTAGTTCTTGGAACCTGTTTTTGATTGTGGAAAAATTTGGCTTCCCGTGTTAGACATACATATTTTTGCAGTAGAAGAGATGGTGAGACATGATTAGATTCTCGATATATTTAAAAGAGTCAAGATAATTTGCTAAGAGATTGGATGTGGGGATTGAAAATAAAGCTGGAGTTAAAATGACTCAAAAGTTGTTGTTCTTGTCAACTAAATAGATAGGAATGGTCATCAGCTATCATGGAGTGCAAGTAGAGCAGGTATATTAGAAATTAAGTTTTGGTTATGTTAAATTTGAGGTATCTGTTAGATAACCAAGTTGAAATATCAACTAGGCTATTGGATGTGAGTCTGGAGAGATTTCTGGACCGGATATAACAGCTCTATCAATATGATAGCTTTTATAGATGTCTTTGTATAAATACATTGTATTAGGCCATTTTTATATCACTATAATGAAATATGTGAACTCGGTAATTTATGAAGAAAAGAGGTTTAATTGGCTTATGGTTCTGCAGGCTGCACAGGAAGTGTGGTGGCAGCATCTGCTTGACTTCTTATGATGCCTCAGAAAGTTTACAGTCGTGGTGGAAGGCAAAGGGTGAGCTGGCATCTCACATAGCAGGAGCAGGAGCAATTCAGAAAGGGGGGAGGTGCTACACATTTTTAAAAAATCAGATCTTGGCAGAACTTACTCTCAGGAGGACAGCACCAAGCCACTCATGAGAGATCTGCCTCCATGACCCAAACATTTCCTGCCAGGCCCCACCTCCAACATTAGGGATAGCATATCAACATGAGTCTTGTAGGGGACACATATCCAAACCATATCATACATGCACACAAACATACACATAACCTCTACTTAAATGGTTTCTCTCATTGTTTTCATTAAATATGTACATTTTACATTGTCCCTAAATATTTTCTACAGTGTAATGCTTACTGGTCACATGGTATTTTATTTTGCAGATGTCATAATTTGGTTTCATTAATCCCATTTTGGGTCAAAAGATTTTAGATATTTGAAGGCTGTTTTTAAACTTTTAAATAATAAAAGTTGTAGTTAACACTAAGAAACATAAGTATCTTAATCGAGAATTAAATAAAAATTTTAATTAGGTGACAGTTTTTTCATTGTACTTGGGATCTGGAGTTTTAGGTTTCATGAATTATTTTAACTTTTTTCAGAAATATTATCCAAATGTCTTTTTTTTGAAATATGCTAGTTTTAAAAAATTCTACATTGTATCTACTCTATCAATTAAATGATTTTTGTGTTGCTTGAAGGTCACAATTAGCACTTTTTGTGTTTATTGTCTTATTCATGAATAATTTGCAGTGCTCCTAAATATGTCTGCTTGTTGCTCACAGTCCAGTGTTTTTTAAATGATTGTTCTGTCATTTTCTATAATCTGTATTGAACAAGTCACAGACTTCTTATTGTACTCTTCTCTGTGTAATTCTTGCTTATAAATTGTAGTGCTTTGAGGAAATCATTAATTCTTTTGCAATGACATTTAAAATGAAATCAACATTTAGTTGTTTGAAAAAGTAACAGCTGTGACTTTGTAAGCTACTGTTAGTGGCTTTGGAAGCTAGTTCGCTAGTTGTCATAATGAGGTCATTTTCCAAAAGAAGATGAAGTCATTTGCCATTTTGTTTTAGTCATAGTGGGCTTTTTCTTTGCCCAAATATTTTTGGATTACACATTCCCACCCACTTATTTTCATAGTTGCTAATGCTTTTGTGGAATAGGATAATGATGGAACTTTGAAAGGCAACAGTTTATACTTAACATGTTCATTATAGGATTTTTGTTTTGTACCATAGTTGGAAAAAGACCTGTGTAGACTTGAATATCATTAAAGTATATTTTCTTTTTTTTTAAATTATACTTTTAGTTCTGGGATACATGTGCAGAATGTGCAGGTTTGTTATTTAGGTATACATGTGCCATGGTGGTTTGCTGCACCCATCAACTCGTCATCTACATTAGGTATTTCTTCTAATGCTATCCCTCCCATAGCCTCCCAACCCTCCCCCGACCCCACCCACTGCCGACAGGCCCCATTGTGTTATGTTCCCCTCGCTGTGTCCATGTGTTATTGTTCAACTCCCACTTATGCGTGAGAACATGTAGTGTTTGGTTTTCTGTTCCTGTGTTAGTTTGCTGAGAATGAGGGTTTCCAGCTTCATCCATGTCCCTGCAAAGGACATGAACACATCCTTTTTTATGGCTGCATAGTATTCCATGCTGTATAAATTGTAGTGCTTTGAGGAAATCATTAATTCTTTTGAAATGACATTTAAAATGAAATCAACATTTAGTTGTTTGAAAAAGTAACAGCTGTGATTTTGTAAGCTACTGTTAGTGGCTTTGTAAGCTAGTTAATTAGCTAGTTGTCATAAGGAGGTAATTTTCCTTATGTGCCACATTTTCTTTATCCAGTCTATCACTTCTAATCGGAGATCCAAGTCATGTTTGGAATTGCGTGTGTGTAAATCCTGACACAGAGAATATGGAGTTACACCAAAAATTGTATTCTTCTGAGTCCCTATAGGGTAATGCTTTATTCAGAGTCATGTAATAATTCCCACCTACTTGAATGCCTGCCTGTTGCTTCACCATATGTCTACAGTTTTGGAGGGTCTGTGGCCCTCCAGATCCATTTGTGGTGGAAAGTTTATGGCTAGTAGAGATAAAGATTGTATCCATCCCACTGATTGTCATCTATTTTCACTGGTACAAAAAAAATTCTCTTTTCTTCTGGGATATATTCCATATAAACCTGTACGTTTATTGTAGCCTGAGGATTCCAGACATATTAGAAGTGCTAATCCTAGATAATAATTCTAATCTAAACCTCCTTTTCTTTGTAAAGGAAAAATAACTGTAATATTTTATGCAGTAACATAAAAATAGCTATATATAATTTGGACACTTCTAATAGAGAAAAGTATTTCTATGAAGTATTAGAATTTATCTTAACTAATAATAATAATTTGACATTAGTGGAATAAAATGGAGAGTCCCAAAATGAATTCAGTTGCATTTAAGAATTTAGTATAAGCATCACAAAGCAAGAATAAGTGATTATTAAGTAATGTTACATTAGATTAAATGGTTTAATATATTGAGTTTACATTGGATAAGGAGTTTTATGTAATATAAAATCATAAGAAAAGCTTATAGAAAATAGAAATGTGTTTTATCTTTGGAAGTATTGTAATTAAAAGGTAGTTTCTGGTGACCAGTGTCCTAAGTAGTATATAGTTAAGTATCTTGTATCAGTTATCTATTGCTACAGTAATGCAATATCACAAAGCAGTTCAAAGTCTCTGTGGCATGCAACAGTTAAGTCCTCATTGGTCATGTGTGTATGATGGTCAGCTAGGCAGCTCTGCTGATTTTGGATGGCCTTAATTGGAGGAACTGTTTGACTTGGTTTTACTCTCTCATCAAGTAGCAGGTGTGTTCTCCTCATAATGGGAGAGATGTAATAAAGACCAAAAAATGCAATACATTTTAAAGCCTAATCTTGTAGCTGGTGTGCCATCACTTTAATCTATTGGCCAGAGTAAATCAGAAAATCAGCTAGGGTTCAATGAGTGGGAAATATACGCTGACTCTTTAAATGAAAAGAATTGCAAAAATTGCAAAACCACATGGAAAAAGATACAGATATGGGGAGGGGTGAAGAATTGGGGCCATTATTGTAATCTATCTCACAGACCCTAAAGCAACAAAAGCAAATGAACAATAACTATTTTAGTGCATAACTTTTTTCTTTATATAGTATTTGATTATATTGTATAAGTTTTTATAGGAGAGGTTTCTATTTTCATATTATAATTTTGAAAAGCTGTGTAGTTTTTTACATTAATTTTGAAATGTTAAATGGTACTAATATATAAACTCCATTTAGTTGTGCTATATTATTCTATTTATATGTCTGCAGAGTGTGTTTATTCAAACACTGTTTTTAGTAAACTTTTTAGGCTTTTATGTTTATGTATGTTGACATTTTTGGTAAAATAAACAGTAATGCAGTAAATAGCAGAATATTTTAGTGCGTTGTTAGCATAAATTCTGCGACTGGAATTGTTTTATGAAAAGCTGTTTCTGGGGGAAAATAATATACATACCTGACAGGTATGTATTTTCTTATGGTACATTAGAAAAAATAATCTCTGGAAGGGAATAGAAAAAAGATAATACTGGTTGTTCTTCAGTAAGGGAACTAGATAGTTAGTAGACAATAATAGGAGGGAGACTTTTCAGTGTGTGTTTCTTTTTTAATTTTTTAACCTATTGAATATTGAGCTAGATAAATGTATTATTCAGTCACAAGGTAATATTTTTAAAACCTTTTTATTTTTAAATAATTTATGTCATTCTAAAAAGTTGCAACAATAGAGTGGAGAATTTAAGTATTCTCTTCACCCAACTTCCCCTAATATTAACAACTTACCTAACCAAAGTATAAATATGAGAACTAGGAAATGCTATGTTTTATCATACTATTAACTAAATTACAGGCCTTATTTAAATTTCACCAGTTTTTCCTCCAGTGGAATTTTCCTGTTCCAGGAATCAGTCTGTCATTTCACATTACATTTAAATATTCTATCTTCTTAGTCTCTTCAAATCTGTGACAGTTCTTCATTCTTTTCCTGTCTTTCAAGACGTGATACTTTAGATGAATACTGACAATAATTTTACACAATGTGTAACAGATAATTTTAAAAAGAACACTTTTAAGAACAAATTTAGAAATATGTCATAATGATTTTTTCTTTTTCTAAAAAAATGGTAAAGTAAAACATACATCTCAAAAATAACAGAGATTATAAGAATATTATAGATGAATGAATATTGAAAAACTGAACATAGTCATGAAACAAGTAAGCAGACCAAGAAATAGAAGATTGCCTTCATCTTAGAATCCTCCCTCATGTTCCCAGTCACCAAGCCCACTACTTTTTCATCTCCCAGTTTATTTTGTGATGTTAATATTACTGTGATATAAAAAACAGTAATTGCAAGAAAAGAAAGCTGTACACTACTATCGCTTATGAATATAGGTACAAAAATTCTCAACAAAATAATAGCAGCATATAAAACATATATACCAAGTTTCAGGGAAATTTATCTCAGGAATGCAAAGTTGGTTCAGCATCCAAAAATCAATTAATATAATATGCCTCATTAATAGAAAAAAAGAAAAAAATCAAAGCATCAACTCAATAGATACATACAAAAATTAATACTTGACAATGTCCAACACCTTTTCTTTCTTTTTTTGAAACAGGGTTTTGCTCTGTCACCCAGGCCACAGTGCATGTTTGGCTCACTGCAGTCTCGACCTCCTGGGCTCAGGTGATGCTCCCACCTCAGCCTCCAAAGTAGCTGGGAGTACAGGCATACAACACCACACCTGGCAAATTTTAAAAATATTTTTAATACAGACAGGGTTTCACCGTGTTGCCCAGACTGGTCTCAAACTCCTGGGCTCAAGCCATCCACCTGCCTCAGCCTCCCAGAGTGCTGCGATTACAGGCATGAGCTGCAGTTCCCAGCTAATCAACTGATTTTTGATAAAGGTTCTGAAATAATTCAAAAGGGAAAGAATAGCTATTTCAAGGAATGGTGCTGGAACAACATGAAATAATTTGGACCTCTTCTTCATGCCGTACATAGATATTAAAGTGGATCATAGATCTAAATATAAGAGCTCAAACTATAAAATGTTTAGAAATATAGGAGTAAATGTTCATGACCTTGAGTTTGGCAAAACACTCTTAGATATAACACAATGACCTTGAGTTTGGCAAAGCATTCTTAGATATAACAAGCTAACAAAGGAAAAAAGGTAAATTGGACATCATTGTAATTAAAAGTTTTTGTATTTTAAGGACACTTTCAAGACGATAAAAGCACAGTTCACTCAATGGGAGAAAATTTCTGAAAATCACAAATTTGTAAGTTACTTGTATCTGTGAAGAACCTCTTACAAGTCAACAATTAAAAAGACATTACAATTAAAAAATGGGCAAAGGATCTGAATAGACTTTTCTCCAAAGAAGATTTACAAATGGCCAAATAAACACATGAAAAGATGCTCAATGTCATTAGCTATTGGCAAATCAAAACAACAATGATGACTACTTCACACCCACTAGGATAGCTATGATCAAAAAGATAACAAATGTGATGATGTGGAGAGATTGAAACCTTACAATGTTGATGGGAATGTGCTATGGTGTGGCTAGTTTGGAAAACATTTTTAGCAGTTTTTCTAGAGGTTAAATGAATACAGATTTCCCACGTGATCGAGCAGATTCACTCCTAGTGAAGCAGAATGAAGAGAAATGAAAATATAAGTCCACACAAAATTTGTACATGATGTTTGTAGCAGCATTATTTCTAATAGTCAAAAAATAAAAATGACCCAAATATTTGTTACCTGATGAATGGATAGCAAATGTGGAGGAGTCATACAATTAAATATTGTTATTTGATAATAAAAAGGAATTAATTACTGATATACAAGGGGTCTTTTAAAAGTTTGTGGAAAATGTGAATTATGAAATACTATGCCTGGGTTTCACATTTTTTTTAAACAACAAAATAAACTCTTACTAACTTGTTATAACATGTATGACAGGATCTAGTTTGAGGGACTAAGATGGATAAGACATCCATTTGAAAAGAGCAACATGAATTCTGCCCAAGTTGAAGCAAGAACTAATATCAAATTTATGGGGAAGCTTGGGTGGTAGAATGGTGAAATCACTGATGCTTCACAAGAAGTATATGAGGACGACAGTGCCCCAAGAGATCAGCAGTTTACAAATGAACGTCTCATTTCATGAAGGGATGAGGCGATGCTGTGAAACCCACAGCAGCGGACCATCCACATCAATTTTCAAGGAAAAAATGTATCTTGTTTGTAGCCTTATCGAAGAGGATTGACAACAGCAGAAACTGGCCAATACCATAGATATCTCAATTGGTTCACCTTATACAATTCTGACTGAAAAATTAAAGTTGAGCAAACTTTCCACCCGATGGGTGCCAAGGTTGCTGCACCCAGATCAGCTGCAGACAAGAACAGAGCTTTCAGTGGAAATTTCAAACAAATGGGCTCAAGATCTCAAAGCATTTCTTCAAAGAATTGTAACAGGAGTTGAAATGTGTATTTACTAGTATGATCCTAAAGACAAAGAACAATAAAAACCATGGCTACCAAGAGGTAAAAGTGGTCCAGGCAAAGCAAAAGCAGACTGGTCAAGAGCAGAAGTCATGGCAACAGTTTTTTTGGGGATGCTTGAGGCGTTTTGCTTGTTGACTTTCTGGAGGGCCAAAGAATGATAACATCTTATTATTAGAGTGTTTTGAGAAAGTCAGCCAAAGCTTTAGCAGAAAAAAAAATGCCTGGTAAAGCTAGAATCCTTCTCCACCAGGACGGTACTCCTGTCTTTCCTCCAATCAAGAGCAATTTTGTGAGAGTTTCCATGAGATATCATTAGGCATCCACCTTACAGTCCTGATTCAGCTTCTTCTGACTTCTTTTTCTTTACTAATCTTAAACTGTCTTTAAAGGTCAATGTATTAGCCCATTTTCACGCTGTTGATAAAGATATATCCGAGACTGGACAATTTACAAAAGACAGAGGTTTAATTGGACTAACAGTTCCACATGGCCGGGGAAGCCTCACAATTATGGCAGCAGGCAAAGAAACAATGAGAGCCAAGTTAAACGGGTTTCCTTTATCAAACCATCAGATCTCGTGACACTTACTCACTATCACAAGAACAGCATGGGAAAAACCTGCCCCCATGATTCAGTCACCTCCCACTTGTCCCTCCCACAACCTGTGGGAATTCAAGATGAGGTTTGGGTGGGGACACAGCCAAACCATATCATTTCATCCCTAGCCCCTCCCAAATCTCATGTCCTCACATTTCAAAACCAAACATGCCTTCCCGACAGTCTCCCAAAGTCTTAACTCATTTCAGCATTAACTCAAAAGTCCACAGTCCCAAGTCTCATCTGAGACAAGGCAAGTCCTTTCTGCCTATGAGCCTGTCAAATCAAAAGCAAGTTTGTTACTTCCTAGATACAATGGGAGTACATCATTGGGTAAATACAGCCATTCCAAATGGGAGAAATTGGCCAAAACAAAGGGGCTACAGGCCCTGTGCAAGTCTGAAATCCAGTGGGGCCATCAAATCTTAATGCTCCAAAATGATTTCCTTTGACCCCATGTCTCACATCCAGGTCACACTGATGCAAGAGGTGGGTTCCCATGGTCTTGGGCAGCTTTGCCCCTCTGTTTGCAGGGTACAGCCTCCCTCCCAGCTGCTTTCATGGGGTGGAATTGAGTGTCTGCAGGTTTTCCAGATGGACAATGCAAGGTGTCCATGCATCTGTCATACTGGGGTCTAGAGGATGGTGGCCCTCTTCTCACAGCTCCACCAAGGAGTGCCGCAGTAGGTACTCTGTGTGGAGGCTCCAACCACACATTTTCCTTTCACATTGCCTGAGCAAAGGTTCTCCATGAGGGCCCTGCCCCTACTGCAAACTTCAGCGTGGGTATCCAGGCATTACCATGCATCCTCTGAAATCTAGGTGGAGGCTCACAGGCTTCAGTTCTTGACTTCTGTGCACCCACAGGCTCAACACCACGTGGAAGCTGCCAAGACTTGGGGCTTCCACCCTCTAAAGCCACAGCCCGAGCTATACCTTGGCCTCTTTTAGTCATGTCTGGAGCACCTGGCACGTAGGACACCAAGTCCCTAGACTGCACACACCGCGGGGACCCTGGGCCTGGCCCAGGAAACCATTTTTTCCTCCTAGGCCTCTGGAACTGTAATGGCAGGGGATTCCGTGAAGGCCTCTGACATTCCCTGGAGACATTTTGCTCATTATCTTGGGGATTAACATGTAGCTCCTTGTTACTTATGCAAATTTCTGCAGCTGGCTTGAATTTCTCCCCAGAAAATGGGATTTTCTTTTCAGTCGCATTGTCAGGCTGCACATTTTCCAAACTTTTATGCTCTATTTCCCTTTTAAAATGGAATGCCTTTAACAGCACCCAGGTCACCTCTTGAATGCTTTGCTGCTTAGAAATATCTTCTGTCAGATACCCTAAATTATCTCTCTCAAGTTCAAAGTTCCACAAATTTCTAGGGCAGGGGCAAGATGCCACTAATCTCTTTGCTGAAACATAAGAGTCACCTTTGCTTCAGTTCCCATAAAGTTCCCCATCTCCATCTGAGACCACTTCAGCCTGGAGTTCATTGTTCATATCATTATCAGTATTTTGGCCAAAGCCATTTAACAAGTCTCTAGGGAGTTCCAAGCTTTCCTACATTTTCCTGTCTTTCTGAGCCCTCCAAATTGTTCCAGCCTCTGCCTGTTACTCAGTTCCAAAGTTGCTTTCACATTTTCAGGTATCTTTTCAGCAGTGCCCCACTCTGGTGGTACCAGTTTACTGTATTAGTCCATTTTCACACTGCTGATAAGGACATACTCCAGACTGGGCAATTTACAAAAGAAAGAGGTTTAATTAGACTTACAGTTCCACGTGGCTGAGGAACCCTCACAATTATGGCAGAAGGCAAGGAGGAGCAAGTCCCGTGCTACATGGTTGGCTGCAGGCTAAGAGAGAATGAGAGCTAAGCAAAACAGGTTTCCCCTTATCAAACCGTCAGATCTCGTGAGACTTATGTACTACCGCGAGAACAGCATAGGAAAGTCCTCCCCCCATGATTCAGTCACCTCCCACTGGGTGCCTCCCACAACACCTGGGAATTAAAGATGAGACTTAGGTGGGGACACAGCCAAACCATATCTGTCAACCACTTTTTTTTTTAATATAGTTAATAGTGTATAAAAAAAGACTGCACTGACATGGCTAAATTCCCAGGACTCTCAGTTCTTTAGGGATAGAGTAATAAGTGGCTGGTATCATCATTTACAAGTGTCTTGACCTTGATGGAGCTTATGTTGAACATAAGGTTTATATTCTTTTATTTTTATCTTTCAATTACATTTTCCATTAACTTGTCATATGAAGTCCCTTCATATGAACTTAAAAACATTATGTTGAAGAAGCCAGTCATAAATACCACGTATTGCATGATTTCACTTATTTGTAATATCTAGAATAGGCAAATCTATAGAAACAGGATAGATCCGTGGTTGCCTAGGGCTGGGAGCAGGGAGTGAGTAGGGTCAGGATAGAGGAATGACTGTTAAAGGACAGGGTTTGTTTTTGGAGTGATGAAAATGTTCTGAAATTAGATTGTGTTGATGGTTGCACAACTATGAATATACTAAAAACTGTTGAATGGTATAATTTCAGTGGATGGATTTTATGGTATGTGAGTTATATCTCAATAAAATTGTTAAATGATCAATAACCCTTGCGCTTTAAACATCTGTCTCATATGGGAGGCAAGTGTATAAAGCAAACAATTAAATTGATAACGTGGTAAGTGCAATAGCTTAAAGATATTGTGAAGCTTGAAGATTGACTAGTTGTTTACCTGTCAGACTGTGGAAGGGATCTCTGTAGAGGGAATTGTCTTTCCTAACCATTCAAATGTCGGTTGAGGGGATAATACTTTGAGAGATTTACAAATGATTCTGTTTAAGTAGAGATAAAGTGCGTGCCTAATACTCAGAGCTTAGTAGACTCTCAAATTGTAGTTGTCATGGTGAGACAACAGTACTAATAATTTTGATGATTAAAATGGTATAGTCTGAGGAAGTAATTGTTTCTTTAGCGTTTTCTAAAATATGTTCTAAATAAGGCTTTCCTTCAGATGCTTCTTGATAAAATGGTGTTAAACAAATGAGGAATGTGGTATTATTTGTACTTAACAGTGTAGGTACCATATTAAAGGCTCCAAATAGTCCTACAGTAAGGAAACTATTTAATTTTGTTCAACTAAGGGTTTCCCAAATTTAGTTCATTCAGTATCCATTTGATTTGACGATACCTGTTACCATGTTTTGCCGTTATCCTTCTCTGAAACATATTTTAGTATGTGCTGCTCAAATTTCTTTCTTTTCACTAGCTGTGGTGATTGGAGTATGATATACCCAAGCTTTACTTATTTGGCTTTCTAGGTGATTGACTTTCCAGAACAATACCTTCAGTTATAATGTTCATGTCTCTCTTTCATAAAGCTCTGCATGACACCATCTTTTTGAAGACAGGAAAAAAGTTACATTTTCCTGATGAATTGTTGTGCTTCATTTTATTAGGTTAAGCAGTAGGAACATTTTAACCAATATATTCATTAAATCTTTAATAATTTTGACTAGGATGAAGTTCAGAGTAAAAATCCATATTCAATTTGTCAGGTTATCTGAAATAAGTTTCTTTCAGAAACTATCACACATTCTTCTTAGTTATCTAACATTTAGTTTTGTTGAATAGTTATGGTTTTTGTTTTCTATGTGTACACATTCTTCTTAGTTATCTAACATTTAGTTTTGTTGAATAGTTATGGTTTTTGTTTTCTGTGTGCCTCTGCTGTAGTTTACTTTAGACCCTTTTTACAAGTAGGTATACTATACACTTGTATAATTGCTTACAGTGAGAATAAAAATTCATGTCAGTTGATGTATATAAGAATGTCCTGATTATGTTTTGGAGATTGTATTTTAAATGATCTCCAATTTATCCGAATCGTTCATTAAAAAATATTTTAAGGATTTTCTGTTGTGCTTTTATGGAGAATCATGTTTTTTGTTGTTGTTTTTACTCTATTTAGGCAGATCTGTAAATCATGTATCTAGGTGCTAAGCTGTGGAAAAATATTTGACATTCAAGTTTGATGGCATTTTTATGTTTTGGAGGATTTGCCATTAATTTCAGAGTTCCACACGCACCCCTTTTTAATTTCTAAAAGTGTGAATTGTAATTACAAGATATAAATTATTTGGGTCTCTGAGTCTGTCATGTCATAGCAGCAGGACTATGATTGCATATATGTATTCCAGATAAAAGAAGGAACTAATTGTTTCCATTGATGTGTTTACCTTAATGATTTCATTTGTTTTTTAACTTTGAATATCAAGGCCTTTCATTCTATGGAAAGAGAACTAATTTTATATTGTTGTATACTGTTGATGTTTCAACCTTAATGTCAATGAGAATAATGTACCTATAACTCTTTTTACTATTGTTGCATAGCAAATAATGGGTAGCTCAGTGGCAACAATTATTTGTATGTGAGCTGGCAGCTCTGCCTCGCATTGCAGATGTGTGGGTAGGCTGGGTTGGTGCTACTCCCCATGACTTTCATCTTTACTTTTGGATTAGGGGGCAACCTAGGTCATGCTTTTTTTCTTTTTCTTTTGGTGATGGTGGTGTCTCCAGAGGGCCTCTTAAGTCCTTGTAAGGCCTAGGCTCTTAACTGGCACATTTTGTCACTACTGCCTATTTATCATTGGCCAATTTAAAGTCAAGAGGCAGAGAAGTAACTCTGCTAAGTGCAATATATTGGATGTAGATGGTGTATATTGTAATCTATCGTAGTGTGAGAGTTCAAAGGAGATAGGTATTAGGCACTGAAGAATAACACTAAGAAATTGAATATTAGCCAAGTTTTTAAAATAATTTCTTAATATCTCAACTATTTTCAAATATATTTTTTAATTCAATAACTTTCAGTTTACTGCCCTGGCAGACAACATTGGGATCATTTTAAGGCTTGCAATAAAAACATTGCACTTGTATGCATGTGCAGAAATGTGTGCATATTTTTATGTATGAATATGGGAGAGAGAATTAAATATTTTCCTTTTTACTCTATAAAAGGAATAGATTGAAGAAGTAAGGGATTTTAGATGTCCTTGTTAACTCCTTAATTAGGGCATGAATTTTAGGTCTTAAAATGCGTATTCTCTAAATCCGTTATATAAATTAAAATCGGAGATATGTGTGGCATGGTCAGCCTTTTCAATAATACAGGTTGAGTATCTCATATCCAAAATACTTGGGACCAGAAGTATTTTGGATTTTGAGTTTGTTTTTCATATTTTGGAATACTTGTGTATATATAATGAGATACCTTGAGGATGGGACCCAAGTCTAAACATGAAATTCATTTATGTTTCGTATATACCTTATACTTATAGGCTGAAGGTAAATTTATACCATAATTTTAATAATTTTGTTTGCTGAACAGTTTTGACTATGTAAACTGTAACCTGTCACATGAGGTCAGTTGTGGAATTTTCCCCTTGTAGATACCATGCTGGTGCTCAAAAACTTTTGGATTTTGGAGCATTCTGGATGTTCAGGTTAGGAATGCTTAAGC
Organism: Homo sapiens; assembly: GCF_000001405.40. Classification (NCBI taxonomy): domain Eukaryota; kingdom Metazoa; phylum Chordata; class Mammalia; order Primates; family Hominidae; genus Homo; species Homo sapiens. The sequence goes on along the minus strand of NC_000006.12, from coordinate 45,266,835 downwards.
TGTACTCATTTATTGAATATGCCAACATAATTTGTAAAGAAGATGTTCCTTAATGGCTACCTCTGTAAATATGTGAAAAAATATTTTTCATTTTATGCCTCAGAGTTTTTATATATGACTGAATATAGTGTCTCTGAATATAAGGCAGATTTCTGTTTATCAGATGAGAAGATTTTAAAAAGTTGTTTACTTAGTTGAATGTGAAAATTATTAGGGATATAGATGTCATCAAATGTCTATTCATAATATTTAATAATTTAATATACATTCAAATCATATAAATGTTAATTTAAATATACTATTTTTCTATTTAAATTTCTTGAGTCTTTTCATATTGTTACATGCATTTGACTTAAGTGTATTCATCAATCCTAGAAATATTTTTTAAGATATCAACTGAGTTTTCCATGGTATATGATTTTTATTTCTTCTTGGTTGTTTGAGGTTAAGTATCACTTTGACGAAATCATTAGAAATTTTTACCAAGTCCTAAGCACTCATTATTTATGATGTCCATGTTGTAAGTATTTTATTTCTTTTGAAGTTTCTAGATTTTTAAAAAAAATTTTTACAGTAACATCTAGCATTTGGAATTGTAAAGTAATTCTCCCGGGAATAACGGCTAAATCCATTTTGAATTTCCTTGTGGCTTTTCTCTTTCTTAAAAAAAAAATTGTCAGGTTACGTTTATAAGTTTTCAAGCTATAACTCTATAAGCTTCCAACTGATTGAGGTCAATTCAGGCTAGTGTATTTTTCTCAAATGTTACTTTTTGATTAAAAATAAAAAATCGTGGTGGTACTGTGTAATATGAGAATCTTTGTTAGGATTCTAATGTGAGGCAACTGTTTCTGAACATTAATTCTGTGAAAGGTGACTTATATTTGGGCAAAAGATATGAATGAGTTTCTTTTTGATCACTTTTTGGTAGATACATTTTGATATATTTTATCTTCTCAAACATCTATTTTATTGTTATAGTGTGATCTTTTTAACTACTTTAAGGAGATTAATTGGTCAAACATAACATTCTTGCTTGCATAATATATTCAGTACCTCTATCCAAATGGCATAATTTTTGTTGGAATGCTGCAGGGAACACACTAATTTTACGTGATATTTTTTCTTGGCCATGTAATACTGTTAGTACTTTTTCTGCAGATTTATTTCTAAAGGTAAAAGTAAAAACCCTACTTTGGTGTGCCTTATATATTTAAGGATTTTTCAAAAGTACTAGATTTTAACCTTAATGTATTTAAATATATCACCAGTGTTGCTCAATGTGCAGTCTTTTCTTGGCTTAGCTCAAGGTTGTGATTGCTAAGATGTATATCCCAGGAAGTGACGAAGGTTAAAAAACTTTTGAAAGTTATTTAAGACCTAGCCGGACTAGACTCATGCTAAATATCATTAGCCAAAACAATTAGTAGTTGATTCTGTTTGACAGGACAAAGTTCAGTTAAACATTCTCCATCTGTCAACAACTTAGAAAAACTAAGAATGAAATATACAAGGTTTCTTTTGTGATATAACAAAGTAGAATTGAAAGTATGTGGAAAGGACATAAGGTCTTACCTAAGAAAAATTTTCAATTATGTTTAGTACGGTTTTATTAAAATTGAGGATCATTTAAAATACACTGATAATATTAGGTGTCCTATTGAGAGGTCTTTTCTATTGTATGTATTTCATTCATTTCCAAAAATATTGCTTTAATCTGAATAATTAAGATTTTCTTGAGGAAATGCACTGGATTTGAAATAATTGTGTGTATATCAAGGAAAATTCATTGTAACTAGAGCTGTTGTCTTCTCACTCCAATACTTCATAGGGGAAATTTCAGTTCAAATTAATCTCATTAAAGTGATTTTTTTCCTTTAATAGATGTTTATCCTTTTTACATTTGTTCGGATATGTTTTGCCTTCTCTCACTTAAAAATAGTTTCTCTTTTCTTTAAACTAGTTCTCATGTTTTCTAAATTTTGCTCGTCTCCCTACTTGTCTTCATTTGTCTCTTTCCTCTCCTTCCTTCCTCCCTTCTTTCTTTTCTCTTTCTTTCCCTCCCTTCCTTTCTTGGTAGCAAATATTATAAGAGTTAGGCTCATATTAGACTTGTTGTAATGAAAACATAACAAATAGTGACTTAAGTAAGTGATGTTTTATTTATTTTATCCTGCCTCACAAGAAGTGCAGGGCTAGACAGTTTAGGGTTGGTATAGCTGATGAACTGTTGTGCTTTGTTTATTAAGTTAAACAACAGGAACCTTATAACCAATGTTCATTAAATCTTAATGACTACAGGTGTGCACCACCATGCCTGGCTAATTTTTGTACTCTAAGTAGAGACATTGTTTCACCATGTTGGCCAGGCTGGTCTTGAACTCCTGATCTCAAGTGATCCACCTGCCTCAGCCTCTCAAAGTGCTAGGATTACAGGCGTGAGCCACCGTGCCCAGCCAGTTTTCTTGAGGAAGTTAGAAAATGAAAGAAAAATGACTGGCTGGTGAACTTTTACCCACAACAATTTTTACACCACAACAATTAAAAATGTATATAAAAATACTTCTTCTGAAATCTTATTCTGGGTGTTTCTAAAAAATACAGATTTCAAGATCCAATCAGTTTTTTAAATGCACTTTGTCATTTCTGTTTTATAATGCTTATGTAAATTTTTTAAAAAATAAGTGTTTTCATTTCTTTTTCATTAATTAATTCATAGCTAATAGATTTCTACTTCTCTGGTGTACCACCACAATGTTTGACTTAATGAAACAAGTAATTTTTTTCTGTAAATTGAATTTGCTTATTTAATTGGATCTGGTTTTCTTTCAATTTTATGTTGGAGAATCGATCCTCTGGAAGGTATTCAAATGATGTACATAATCGATGTTTAAGTACAAGTTACTGATCAGGTAACATAATTTTCCTAAAAATTTACTTTAGTGGTATTTTTAATAGAAAATGGACTATAATATACAATGTTATGAAATCACCAAGGTGCCTTTGTGTGATGGTTACGATTTTATGGCAAGAAAAAGCACATTTTTGGGGGGTGAGAAGGGACTATGTTTGTTTCTTTTGTTGGATTTGAGACTGTAGGGATACAAGAATGGCATTCCCTTTATCATCATGCAGCAAGTCCGTTTTTTACATTTGTTCATTTCTGTAGCTTTTCAAATGATAGCCTTTTTCCTCCAATTTTATTTTAGATTCAGGGGTGCATGTTCAGGTTTGTTACGTGGGTAAATTGCATGTTACTGAGGTTTGGTGTACGAATTATCTCATCACCCAGGTAGTAAACGTAGTACTCAATATGTAGTTTTTCAACCCATACCCAACTCCCTCACCCACCCTCTAGAAGTTTCCACCTTCTGTTGTTGCCATCTTTATATCCATGTCTGCCTAATGTTTAGCTCCCACTTTTAGATGAGAACATATGGTATTTGGTTCACTGTTCCTTTGTTAATTTGCTTAGAACAATGGCCTTCAGCTGCATCCGTATTTCTGCAAAGGACATAATTCGTTCTTTTTATTGCTGTGTGGTATTCCATGGTGTGTATGTACCACATTTTCTTTATCCAGGCCACTCTTGATGGGCATCTAGGTTGATTCCATGTCTTTGCAGTTATGAACCCTGCTGTGCTGAACATATGTGTGCCAGTGTCTATCTGGTGGAATGATTTATTTTCCCTTGGGTATATATCCAGTAGTGGGATTGCTGGGTCAAATGGTGGTTCTGTTTTAACTTCTTCGAGAAATCTCCAAACTGCTTTCCACAGTGGCTGAACTTACATTCCCACCAGCAGTGTGTAAGCTTTCTTTTTTTCTGCAACCTCACCTACATCTATTATTTTTTGACTTTTTAATAACAACGATTCTGACTGTTGTGAGATGGTATCTTATTGTGGTTTTGATTTACATTTATCTAATAATTAGTGATGTTGAGCATTTTCTCATATATTTGTTGGCTGTTTGTATGTTGTCTTTTAAGAAGCTCCTGTTCATGTCTTTTGCCCACTTTTTAATGGGGTTGTATTTCACATATTAAGTTCCTCCTAGATTCTGTATATTAGACCTTTGTCGGATGCATAGTTTGCCAATATTTTCTCCCATTTTGTAGGAGACATTGTTTGCTCTACAGATAATTTCTTCTGCTGTGCAGAAGTTTAATTAGATTCCACTTGTCAATTTTTGTTTCTGTTGCAATTGCTTTAGGGGACTTGGCCATAAACTGTGCTAAGGTTGATGTCCAGATAGGTACGCTAGGTTTTCTTCTAGAGTTTTTGTAGTTTTAGGTCTTACATCTAAGTCTTTAATCCATCTTGAGTTGATTTTTGTATGTGGTGAAAGGAAGGGGTCCAGGTTCAATCTTCTGCATATGGTAAGCCAGTTATCATATACTGTTCATTGAATGGGGAGTCCTTTCCCCATTACTTGTTATTGTTGACTTTGTTGAAGATCAGGTGGTTGTAGGTGCTTGGGTTTATTTCTGGGTTCTCTATTCTGTTCTGTTGGTCTGTGTATCTGTTTTTGTGCCAGTAATATGCTTTTCTTTTTGCTTAGAATTGCTTTGGCTGTCTAGGCTCTTTTTTGGTTCCATAAGAATTTTAGAATAGTTTAAAAAATTCTGTGAAGAGTGAGATTGGTGGTTTGATAGGAATAGCATTGAATCTGTAAATTGCCTTGTGCAGTATGGCCATTTTAACAATATTGATTCTTGCTATCCACAAGCATGGACTATATTTCCATTTGTTTATGTCATCGCTGATTTCTTTCAGCAGTGTTTTGTAATTCTTGTAGAGATCTTTTACCTCCTTGGTTTGCTGTATTCCTGGGTATTTGATGCTATTTGTGGGTATTGTAGGTGGGATTGCATTTTTTATTTGGCTTTCAGCTTGGGCATTATTGGTATATAGAAATGCTTCTGATTTTTTATGTTGATTTTGTATTCTGAAACTTTACTGACCCTGTTTACCAGTTCTAGGAGCCTTTTAGCAGAATCTGAGATTTTCTAGGTATAGAGTGATATCATTTTTGAAGAGAGATAGGTTGACTTCCTTTGTTTTTATTTGAATGCCTTTTGTTTCTTCTCTTTCCTTGATTGCTCTGGCTAGGACTTTCAGTACTATGTTGACTAGATGTGGTGAGAGTGGTGGCATCTTTGTCTTCTTCCAGTTCTCAAGGAGAATGCTTCCAGCTTTTGCCTGTCCAGTATGATGATGGCTATGGGTTTGCCATAGATGATTCTTACTATTTGAGGTATGTTCCTTTGATGCCATTGGTGAGAGTTTTTAACATGAAGGGATGTTGAATTTTATTGACAGCCTTTTCTACATCTATGGAGATGATCATGTGTTTTTTTTTTCTGATTTTGTTAATTCTTTTTGTGTGGTGAATCACATTTATCGATTTGCGTATGTTGACCCAACCTTGCATCACAAGAATAAAGGCTACTTTATCATTGTCAGTTAGCTTTTTGATGTGCCTCTGGATTCAGTTTGCTGGTATTTTGTTGACAATTTGTGCATCTCTGTTCATCAGGGATATTGATCTGAAGTTTTCTTTTTTTGTTGTGTCTCTGGCAGGTTTTGGTATCAGAATGATGCTGGAGTCACAGAATGATTGAAGGAGGAGTTCCCACTTGATTTTTGGTTTTTTTGGAATAATTTCACTAGGATTGGTACTAGCTCTTCTTTGTATGTCTAGTAGGATTTGGCTGTGAATTTGCCTGTTCCAGGGCAAATTTTGATTGGTTTTGATTGGTAGGGTTTTAAAAAAATTATTTTAAAATATACTTCTAATTCTTGGCTTTATTTTCAGTTATAAACATCAGCTGGCCTATCTGGTGGTGTGCAAGTAGTATACTGTGGGCAGTTTCATCTGTTTAGATGAGGAATTTATTGCAGGGAATTGGACCAGGACACCTGACGCAGCTGGGTCAAAAGTCTTTCAGTGATTTTCGTCTTGGTGACTTCTAATATAGCTCAGGCTGTCACATACTTGTTTACCTTATTTTATTTGCCTATCTTGTTAGCTTGGTAAGAAGTTCCTTCATTGTTCAGAGATGATCTTTTATATAGGCAATTCGTGTAAGGATTTTCAGGAGCTTTTTATTTTTCATAAAGAGGATATTCTTCAAACATCTTTGTATAACTGTTCCTCAAGAAGTTGGTGGAAGCTGTTAAATAATCTTGTGTAGTTAATGTTAATTCATTATTTTACTTGTTAAAATGTAGAGATTAAAAGATAATCTATGTTATGAGAGACTAATAAAAATGGACTAATTTTAATATACTTGTTTTAAAAATGATTTATTATGATTATCATTCAATCAGCAATGCTGCTAGAAAGCTGTTATTTAGCCTGAATTTTAGAAAATGTGTTAATTTTTTTAAAGGTACATTGATTTTTTTTGATAGGAATAAATTGAATGCAGTGACGGTGGCAGCTTTGGCCATGATTATTTAGGTAAACCACAACTAATTCATAAAGTGCTGAGGACCCTTTAATACCTACCAAAAATGGGCAGGCTGTCAATTTGGAAGTTTCCATGTGAAACATATTCTTTGACTTGGCCTCTGAAAAACTTTCCTGCAGTTCCCTGCGTAGAATGTAGTTTATTTACTGAAAAGAAGGAATGATTGAGTCAACTCACAGGAGATAAATCTGTGGTAGGTGTTACAGGGCTGATTTTTATACCATGTAACATAAGTTTATTTTACTTGGTAGTATGTAAATTTTACTGGTGAAAGCAGGAGTACCCATTCAGAGGTATTTTAGACTTCGATGAAGAACAGTGCTTTTTGTTAGGAATAACATATTAGTTTGTTCCTTAGTAACGGAATTCAAAGCTTTTAGAAGGAGATTAAGTTCTTTATTTAATCTGTGTTAACACAAGAGAAAAAGAACTATCTAATGATAATTTATATGTTTAAAGGTTAATTTATAATTTACCTGTGACATACATTGTTACTTTCCATCAGATTAACTGCAATGAACCTGTCATTTCCAACATCAGTTTTGAAGACCAACATTATGCTGCCTTTAATGGAGGGGATCGGTGTAAACAACATCCACATTCCATCCAAGGCCCAGACTAGACACCAGAGTTACTAGTTTTTACATGGCTTGATTAGAAAAGAGGTGGTTCCTATGCACTAAAGTTTTCTCTACTAGAATGGGCACATTTCCCAGCACAAATATGATACTTCTATACTAATCAGGATGGAGTCTTATCCTGCAATGAGACTTAAATTTTGGGCCTTTCACCACATCATTGCTGTTTTCTACGAGGTCAAAAATAGATATAGAGTAAACCAACCCCAAAAGTCAATTACAGGGTTTTATAGTGATGTACTGTGAAAAATTTGGTCATGTTTTTCATTATACAGAATGTTCTTTCCAAAGACATAAACAGAAAAAGCACATACGTTTGATTTTAAAAATAACTCTGCCTAGCCCTTTAAACTAGTGGAGACATTTTGGATCCTTTTAAATGATCATTATTATAATTACATGATAAACCTCTATCTAAAGGCAGCCATTCTTTGTAATTACTTATTCACCCTCCCCCCCAATTGAAAAGAATTTTTTAAAAATGAAATTACAACATAGGTACTTTGAAAGTATTTCTGGTGCGCAATTGGAAGATCTGATAAACGCATCTTATTTTCTCATCTCTTCCCAACAAGCAAATGCTAAAGTGTACTGCATCATTTTTGGAGCATACACACTAATTTACAAGTATAAAATTATAAAAAGTACCGAAAAAATTTGTCTATTATCAACTAATACTATGGTTAAAATATGATTGATGAAATCTGGTTGGTAGTACAGTTGTTAGAGTAACATAGTACTTGAAATTATTTTAAATTAAACTTTACATTTTTAAGACAAGCTTATCTAAGCCTCAAAAAACTTTAAAATGAACAAAAATTTTTGTTATATAAGTGACATTTTATTGGAAGGGATACTTTGAAGCCTTGTAACTTAAAATCATGTTTTTTATTAATGATTAATTGCTGTTTTTCAGCTTTAAATTCCACATAACTCAAGTTTTCAAAGATTAGGAAACGTGCAAATAAATTTTTTTACTTAATGCTTTGCTCCTATAGTGAAGGCTTAGTTTTCCATAGACAGATTTCAACCTAGTGCAAATTTTTGTTTGTTTGCTTTTTTGAAATGGTTGCTTCCTTTGTTGTGAAGTCTTTTACTGACTGACTTGTAATTATCCATTTACTCATACTTATGCAAATAACACTAGCGCAATGGAAGCTGAATGATAACTCTTTAAATCTGGTAACTTTTCTTATTTCTGAGATGGTGTAAAAAGTGAAAACAAAGTTTTGTTTGTTTATACCTGTTGCAGATACTATTGATTTGACTGATCAAGATTTACCTTTCTCGAAGAGCCCTGATTTTGCTTGGAAATCTTGAATAATCTCAGCCAATTATGGTTGCTATGGTTTGAATGTTTTTCCCCTTTAAAACTCATGTTGAAATTTAATTGCCATTGTAATGAAGAAAATGGACTTTTAACCCTTTTCCCATTTAGAAAAGTGCAGTTTGCTGACAACGCTCATTTAATTTTACATAAACATGTTCTTTGAGGCTGAAGAAAATCTGATTTTCAATGTGAAAATAAAATATAAAAACTCTTCTTGGAGTTGTGTCTAAACAGAACTAATATCAGAATTGTCTGATTCGTCAGAATCATCTATTTCAGAAAAATTGGATTCAATAAATGAATCTTTGGCTAACAATTATTCAAGAACGATGTTAACATCATGCCTAGGAATGCTACGTTTTCTGGGATTTGAGGTTTTCCGTGATCGAGAATTATTATGTTTCGTAAATGGAAATATCACTATTAAAAACAGAATGCTGTAAATAGAATGATGTTTTTTGTTTCCAAAGTCAATATATTAGACCAATGCAAAAATAATAAAAATGAGGTATTTTGTGGCAAAGTCATCTCAGGGTAAATGCTGCAGCCACAATCGCCTCCAGTGAGTATTCTCAGGTCACATGGGAAAAAGGTTAAGAGGTGATGAGGCCATCAGGGCTTCACACTCATGGGTAGGACTGTGACATTATAAAAGGGTGAGTTTGGCTCCCTCTTGTTCTCTCTTGCCCTTTCACCTTCCACCTATGGGATGCCGCAGCAAGAAGGCCCTCACCAGATCTTGGACTTCCTAGCTTCCAGAACTGTGAGACAATAAATTTTTATTATAAATTACCCAGTCTGTGGTAATCTGTTATAGTAGCACAAAACAGACTGAAACAACGATGACTGTATTCTTCTTATCAGTAATTGGTTTAAGAAGGGTCATGTGACCCAAACCTAGTCTATGTATGACATTTAAAAAGTTTGAATGGCTTCTGAGAATGTTTTCTCACTGATAAAACAGACTCTCTGGAAATGTCTATCCTTCTTGCATTGAATGAAATGCCTAGAAATGCTGCTGGAGTATAGTAAAATTCTGGGCATGGAGCCAGGGTGCCTGGGTGAAAATCTCAGCATTTCCCTTAGTAGGTTTGTGACCTTGGATAATTTATTTAATATCTCTGTACCTTAGTTTTTCTTATGGTAAAAATGGGGCTCATATTCAAATGGAACATTAGTCGTTTGGAAAAAGCCATTATAGTCATTAATCATTAGGGAAGTGCAAATCAAAACCTTAATGAGATACCACTTCACACTCGCTAGGATAGGATCAAAAAGTCAGATAGCAACAAGTGTTGGTGAGGATGTGGAAAAATTGGAACCCTCATACACTGCTAGTAAGAATGTAAAATGGTACAGCTGCTTTGGGAAACAAACTAGTAGTTCCTCAAACCATTAAACGTCGAATTACGACATGACCTAGCAATTCTACATCTGGGTATGCACTCAAGAAAACTGAAGACATATGTCAGCACAGAAACTTGTACTTGAATGTTTATAGCAACATTATTCATAATAGCCAAAAGGTTGAAACATCCCAAATGTTCATCAGTGCGTGAGTGGATAAGCAAAATGTGGTATATCCACATAACAGATTATTATTCAGGCACAAAAAGGACGGAAGTACTGACATATGCCAAAACATGAATGAAGCTTGAAAACACTATGGTAAATGAAAAAAGCCAGTCACTATATTATTTTACTACTATAAAAGTCTATAATTGGGAAATTTATACCAACAGAAAGCAGATTTGTGGTTCCTTAGAGTGGTGGTGGTGGAGGTTCAGGAAGACTAGTGGAGGGAGGGTGGGGGGTGGAGAGTGCTGTAGTCAGGATGTTTGTGTCCTTCCAGAATTCATGTTGAAATCTCATTCCTGTTGTGGTATGAAGAGATGGGGCTTTTAGGAGGTGATTAGGTAATGAGGGCTCTGCCCTCATCGATGAGATTAATACCCTTATAAAAGAGGCTTGAGGGAGCCTTTACCCCTTCCTCCATGTGAGGAAACAGAGAAATCATCATTCATGGGGAATAGGCCCTCACCAGATCAATGAATGTACTGGTGTCTTGGTTTAGGACTTCCCAGTCTCCAGAATGGTGAGAAATAAATTTCTGTTGTTTATAAATTACTGTCTATGGCATTTTGCTATAGCAGGCTGAACAGACCATGACAGAATGACAGCTAAAGGATACTAGTTTTATTTTTATTTATTTATTTTTTGAGACAGAGTCTTGCACTGTCGCCCAGGCTGGAGTGCAGTGGTGCAAACTCGGCTCACTGGAAGCCCCGCCTCCCGGGTTCACACCATTCTCTTGCCTCAGCCTCCTGAGTAGCTGGAACTACAGGCACCCGCAACCACGCCCGGTTAATTTTTTGTATCTTTAGTAGAGACGGGGTTTCACCGTGTTAGCCAGGATGGTCTCGATCTCCTGACCTCGTGATCTTCCCGCCTCGGCCTCCCAAAGTGCTGGGATTATAGGCATGAGCCACCATGCCCGGCCACTAGTTTTATTTTTTCTGTGTGATAAAAATGTCCTCAAATTGACTGTGGTGATAGTTGCACATATCTGCGAATATATTAAAAGCCATTGAATGAGTGAATTTATGGTTTGTGAATTATGTCTCAATAAAGCTGTTGAAACATGGTGCCAATAATAGTATCTACCTAGTCTGGGTTTGATGGGTCATGCTTTTAGTCCAACCACTTTGGGAGGGTGATGCGGGAGGATCACCTGAGGCCAGGAGTTCAAGACTAACTGGGGCAACATAGTGAGACCCCATTTCTACAAAAATTAAAAAAACATTGCTGGGCATGGTGATGCCTGCCTATAGTCCCAGGTACTTGGGAAGCTGAGGTGGCAGGAGTGCTTGAGTACAGGAATTCAAAGCTTCATTGAGCTATGATTTTGCCACCGCATTCCAGCCTGGGTGAGAGAGAGCGAGAACCTGACTGAAAAAAAAAAAAAAAAAAACCTATTATAGGTTGTTGTTAAGAATGAAATAAATTAATGAACATAAAGTTCTTTGAATAATACTTGGTGCAGAGCAAGCACTTAAATAATGATAAATATGGTAAAAATTAATTATAGCCCTTAGAGGAGCTAGTCAGAAAGAAGACAATATCATAGTCCCCCATTATCCGGGGAATATATTCCAAGACCCTTAGTGCATGCCTGAAATCTCAAATACTACCAAACTCTCTCTCTCTATATATATAGTGTTTTTTCCCATACAGATATACCTTTGATAAAGTTTAATTAATTAGGCATAGTATGAGATTAGCAGCAACTAATAAAATAGTACAATCATAGCAATATGCCAGCATCACTACTCTTATGCTTTGGGGCCGTTATTAAGTAATATAAGGATTATTTGCCCACAAGTGGTGCAGTACAGCAAATTGATCTGATAAACTATATAGCTGCTGAGTGATTAATGGGTAGATAGCCTATATAGTGTAGATCTGCTGGACAAATGGAGAATTCATTCCAGAGGGGAATGCAGCAGGTTGGCATGAGATTTCATTATGCTGCTCCGAATGGCACACAATTGAAAACTTATGAATTGTTTATTTCTGGAATTTTCTGTTTAATGTTTTGAGACTGCAGTTGACTGTAGGTAACTTAAACCATGGGTAAGTGAAACTTGGATAATGGGGAGCAGAGGAAGGAATTTTTTAGAGTTGGAAAGGCCTTGGTCCGCTCTGCTTTGGGATTACTTATGTGATAAAAATAAGGCATGTGATTCAGCGTTTTCTGTTTCTTGCAATGGAAGGCATTTTACCTGATACTACAGCTCTCTTCTGTAATTTTATTTATTCCTTATCAGAACAATAAAACTGTCACTTTTTCTGAACTTCTGCACTTAGAATCTTTGCCAATCTTTGACCTTTCTGTATACTAATGTGTGTGTGTGTTTAGTTTTAGTTTTTATCTCATTACTGATTAACACTTCTTTGAGGACATAGACTGTTTTAAATTTTAGTGTCCTTTGTATTAAATTGCTGAGCACAGATTTGAGCTTGCTAATAGTAGGTGGTTAATCATGTATTAGTACAAGAGAAAAGGAAATGGCTTTTAAATTGTGTGCCTCCTCTAAAGTTTACTAATTTCTGCTGTTTCTATCCTGTGTTTGTCAGTGTTTCATGGTCGAAGTCTCCCTTTGTTGGTTTAATACAACTTGGGTTCCTATTTCAATTCTGATTAAAGTAGAAATATCTCTAAAATGCTAGTAACTATCTGCCCCAGACTTTTATCCCAGTTGCCAAATAGAGTGGGTCCCATTGCTGATTATAAATGTAGTAATACTCATTTAAAGATATAAAATATAAACATATGAGGTACATTTCAAAAGAATTTGTTTGTTGTTCGGTGCCTATTGCTTCACATATCAGTAATGATACAGGTATAGATATGAATGTGTGTGTGTCTGTGCATGTGTACGTGTGTATATATGTATGTATTTTTGTTCTGGTGCTTCCACATAACTTTTGGTTCTATATATGTACTGTGTGTGTGTATATATATATATATATATATATATGCGTATATGTGTACGTGTGTATTTTTTCCTCCAGTACTTAACATTTTATTTATTTATTTTAGAGACAGGGTCTTGGTCTGTTGCCTCGGGTGTAGTAGCACAGTCATAGCTCACTGTAACCTGAAGCTTTTGGACTCAAGTGATTCTCCTGCTCCAGCCTCTCAAGTAGCTAGGACTCTAGGCACGTGTGACCACGCTTAGTTGATTTTTTAAGTTTTATGTAGAGACAAGGTTCTGCTTAGGTTGCTCAGGCTGGTCTCGAGCTACTGGGATCAAGTGATCCTCCCACTTCAGCCTCCCAAAGTTCTTGGATTACAGCCATGAGCCACTGGGCCCAGCTTATAATTTGTTTTGATTCTGAGCTAGAGATGGAATGGGGTAAATGGAGAAGTGGATCAATTACAATTTAAAAATTGTGCTCAGTTACACTGTTTTCTTCGGAGGGCACTTCAAAATGCCCAGTAGTGCTTGATAATTAGATAGTTATCAGATCATTGTTGTCTACAAAAATAGGTTTTTGATGCCTAGCTCTCTGCCCTTACTTCAGGCAGACTAATTCTTTGTAAATTATCTGCTATTCTTTACCCATGTAAAAGTGTTGAGATATTTGTATTTCCCTACTGAGTTATAAGAAATCTTTGTATATTGAGAGAAATTCTTTAATTCTTTGTTTTTTATAAGAAATTTTTAGTTTATTATTTGAAATAATAAACTTATATGTTTATAGTACTTATTTTTATTCAGGAGTTTAAAAATCTATGTCATGTCACACATGAGTCTTTTTTTTGTTTTTTTTCTAGCTTCGATGTCATGCTAGGTAACTACTTTTTGGTAAGGTTAGTATTAAGTCATCCTCTCATAGCCCTCTATGAATAACTCACTGAAGATGGTTAGGCTCACATATTGTATTTTTAGTCTCCATTAATGCTTGTTAGTTTTTGAATCCAGTCCTCCCAGGAATAATCCATAGGAATGCTTTTTTCTTGGGTTTTTTCTTGTGTTCTGATACATTATTTCTAATTTTCTTTTATTCATCACAGCCCTGACCCTACTCACTAACATTTGTCTTGTTGCTCTACCACTAAATATGACTGGCATATAACAGGCTTGTAGAAAATATTCTTTTAATGAATGAATAAACTTCAAGAACCTGCACATGAATCACCTCTTCTGATAGATGTTTTCTGACAGCATCCTTTTTTTTTTTCAGGTGCCTGTTTGTATTTTACCTTAGAACTCTTAACCCTTTCAAATTTACATGTTTAGGTGTCTACTGTGCCATTCCTGGATGTGAAATTCTATTGGACAGAACTGCAGCGCCAGAACAGTGCTTGTTACATCATAGGAAACGAGTGAATTATTCAATGGAACTGAGCTAAAGGGCAGCATACAGACAATTGGCAAATATCTATTTTCCCTGAATCTGTGTTGTTTCATCATATTATTTCATTAATAGAAATAATATTGGTTTCACAGCATCAGAAACATATTGAAGCAAAAGTATAACATTTCATTTTTAAATTGTGCATTACTCATTTTTGGATTAGAGTGACTTCAGCTGGAGAATTAAGTCAGTTTACCTCTCTCTCATGAACTGTGACCTTGGACAAACTGCTTAACCATTTTCAGCACAGTTCTCTTTCTACAAATGAGACTAATATGTTTGTTGTTGATGAGAGCTAAATGAGATGTCTATAATATTATATGTAGAACATAGTTGAGAATCAATAAACATTTGCAGTATTTTCTCATCCATTCTTGTTTTAATTTGGAACATGGAGCTAAAGTTGACCATATCTTCATCTTCTGGTCGGCTGGTTATTTTCTTATTTCCACTCCCTCACCCCATTTATAAGACCTTTTCTTTATTTAAACATGATTTATTGAAATTGAATATTTGAGATAATGTTTTTTTTCTTTTTTTCTTATCGATGACCTTTCTTATCTTGGGACCCTGTTCTTTTATACTATGAACAGTTCATATCTAAACCTTTGGAGACCATCTAGCCTAGTGGAAGAAATACTGACATTTATCATCAGGCAAGGAGTAATTCACTCAATTACTCTGGTTTTCGTTTATGGTAAAATGAAACTAGCACTGGCCTTTGTTTATGGTAGAATGAAACTAGCACTGGAATTTTTTTGAGAAATTATTCAGTTCTGTAGATATCAGAGAGGTGTTTTATTTAAGCATGTCTTTTTCTACTTGAAAATACCTTCTTTTTTTCTGTTATACCTATCTTTTCATTTAAATTTTCCAATTTTTACTTTACTCTTTATTAGGACTTAAGAATTCTGTGACTAGATTGCTGTTCAGATGGAAATTGACAGCTATAAATTTCTTTATACTCACCTGTGCCTGGGAATTACAGCAAATTTTCAGTCTTACTTTGGCTTTCTGCTGGCATCGAACACTGTGTGTGTGTGTGTGTGTGTGTGTGTGTGTGTGTGTGCAGCTTCTCTTCTTAGTCATTTAGAATAAGTTTAAAGAAGAGACTAATTGGTTTTAGAGAAACATAATTTAGATGTTAACTATTGTTGAAAGAATATACATAACATAAATTCTAAAGCCGAGAATAATGATTGGGAACACATACATACACATACATCTCTGATCATTTGTATATAAACTTCATATTATTTGACAATAGGTTTTATATTGCAAATCATTTTCCCTTAAAAATTTGAAGTCTTTGTTCTGCTCTTTTCTAGCTCGTATTGTTGCTGTTGAGAAGTCCTGGCTGGGAACGGTGGCTAACACCTGTAATCCCAGCACTCTGGGAGGCTGAGGAAGGAGGATTGCTTGGGCCCAGGAGTTTGAGACCAGCCTGAGCAACTTAGCGAGAACCCTGTCTCTACTAAAAATGAAAAAATAAAAATAGCTGGTGTGGTAGTACTCATGTGTAGTCCCAGCTACTTGCTTGAGCCCAGGAGTTCAAAGCTGCAGTGAACTATGATAGCACTACTGTATTCCAGCCTGGGTGACTGAGCAAGACTCTGTCTCAAAAGAAAAAAAAAAAGGCAGTCTTATGCCCTTCTGATCCATGAGCTTTTCTATAAACCCTTTTTTCCCCTTACTTGATGCTTTTAGGATCTTTTTTTCTGTTGTGTTCTGAAATTTTGTGATACTGTGCTGTGAGATGGGTGTTTTTTCCATCAATTTGCTAGATATAGTTATCTTTCAGTTCTTGGAAATTTTTTTGAATTATTTCTTTGATAATTTTTTTCTCCTGTTTCCTCTGTTTTTCCATCTTTCAGCTTTCCGGAATTGCTGTTATTCAGCTATTGGTTTTCTTGAAGTGGTCCTTCAGCTTTCTTTTCTATCCTGTTTTCCATTTGTTACTTTTTTGTTTTACTTTCTAGGAGATTATTCTCAACTTTATCTGGAAAATTTTAACAGTTTTTTATTCTTCTAGTCAAAATTTTAATTTGTAAGAGCTTTTTTTATTGTCTTTGTTTTATTTTTTATTGTTTTATTTTTTTATTGCCTTAATGTTTCTTTTACATTTTTTTTTCATTGAAAGAAAAGCCTCTGGGGTCTTTTCATAGATGTAAGATTCTGTCTGCCTTAGATATTTGTCATGATTGCATGAAGTTTTCTTTTACTCCCTTTATTTTTCTGCTGCTTCTGATTTCCTTTTTATCCTTTTTGTTTTGCTCACCATCTTTCATGTCAGAGGCTTTTCCTTATTCTTTGGTGATTTTTGATGCCTGTTCATACTTAAGACCGAGGCATCAAAATGTATTTGAGGTAGACCTTTATTGTAGGATGACCAGGTAGAGATCTGGCTGTTTTTTTGTGCAGGATTCCTCAGTGATAGAATTAACTGTAGATTTTGTTTCTCTTAGACTGAACATTTCTCCAAACAGGAACCTTTTAGTCTTTTGTCTAGGGTTTATAAGCCTGGTTGTAAATACTTTTGCAGCTGAGCAGAAGGGATCTGGTATAAGGTTTGAGGGTGTTTTCTCATAAATTGGTATGTAGATTTTTCTTTTCAGTATGATATATCATCAACCCTTTCCCCTTGGCCCCCACCCCCCCACAGATGTGTTGTTCACAAACACAGCGTTTCTCTGGTGTAACTTCCCCAAAGATGAAAGCTTCAGTGTTTTGCAGGAGTGGTGAAGGAATAGTGGCATGGCTTGAGTGAGGTTGGAAAAGGGATTTGGAGTTCTGTTTCCTTTAACAATTTACAATGTGTTTTGGTTGTCAGTGCCACCGTGGATCCCTGCCTTCAGGTCCCGAACTTTGTCAGAGTTCTGTGGCATACAGCTTCTTGATTGTTGCTGAGTTAATCCCCCTGGGCTTAGGTTTCTATTTCATCGGGTGTGCTTTCTAGCTTCCAAAATGCTATTAACATTTTTTGTGTGCTGTCTTCCTTTCCCTTTTTTTTTTTGTGTGTCTGTTGTTTGTATTCCTTTAGAATTTTTACTAAAATAAAAAGACTAGTAATTTTGCCTTTTTAGTACAGAGAAGAGTTAAATGTCATTTGACTAGATATACTATTTCCTTCTTAAGTTAGAGCATGTAATGTTTGCTTACAGTTTTATCTACATGATAGACAATAAAATGCAATACAGAGAAACTATAAGCAAAATAAAAGAATAATGCTAAGTAAATCTCTGAATGAAATAGTAAATCAGAAAATGAGGGAAGATTAACATATGAATATTAGTCAGGAAACTATTTAAATGAAATATTCTTATATCTGGGAAAGAATAACTGCTATTCTTCAACTCCTTTTTTTGTTGCTAAAAAAGTTTAGAAACGATATCACGTGGTTTCTAAGTGGTAAATTCCTGGGAGTAGAATTCCCAGATTGCATGGTACGTATATACTTAATTTTGTTAGAAACTGCCAAATTTTTTTCCAGAGTGTCCTTTGTATTTCGCATTGCCATCAGTAATGTATGAGAGTTCTTTTTTTTTTTTTTTGAGATGGAGTCTTGCTCTGTCACCAGGCTGGAGTGCAGTGGCGTGATTTCAGCTCACTGCAACCTCCGCCTCTTGGGTTCAAGTGATTCCCCTGCCTCAGCCTCCCAAGTAGCTGGGACTACAGGTGCGCTCCACCATGCCCAGCTAATCTTTTGTATTTTAGTAGAGACTGGGTTTCACCATGTTGACCAGGGTGGTCTCGATCTCCTGACCTCGTGATCTATCCACCTTGGCCTCCCAAAGTGCTGGGATTACAGGCAAGAGCCACGCCTGACC
The DNA here is from genome assembly GCF_000001405.40 of Homo sapiens. NCBI lineage: Eukaryota > Metazoa > Chordata > Mammalia > Primates > Hominidae > Homo > Homo sapiens. Next base: position 45,248,637 of record NC_000006.12, on the reverse strand, counting down.
AATGTATGAGAGTTCTAATTCTTCCACATCCTCTTTGGCACTTCGCATTGCCAGTTTTTTCTCTTTTTTTGATTTAGCCATTCTAATAGGTGTGAAGATGTGTCATACTATGATTTTCTTTTGCATTTCCTAGTGACTAATGATGTTGATGGCTTATTTGCTATCTGTAAACCTTCCTTGGTGAAGTATCTGCTCAGCATTTTCCTTTTTTATTTACTGGATAATTTTTCTTATTTTTTTTATTTGGAGAGCTTTTTATACATTCTGGATACCAGTCCTTTAGAAGTCCTTTGTCTCATATGTAATTTGAAATATTTTCTCCCATGGAAATATGTAGCTTTTCATTTTTCCAACAGCATCTTTGGCAGAGCAAAAGCTTTTAATTTTTATGAAATTCAATTGGTCATTTTTTCTTTTATATATCATGGTTTTGGTATTATATCTAGGAACTCTGTACATAAACAAATGTCACAAAGATTTTCTTCAGTTTTTTCTCTAAGTGATTCGTAGTTTTTTTGTATAGGTTTTTTTCTGTTTTATATTTAAGTCTGTGATTCATTTTGAATTACATTTGTATAAGTTGTAAAGTATGGGTCAATATTCATTTTTTCTGCATATGGGTGTCCTGTTATTCTAGCACTATTTGTTGACAAGTAAGTCTGTCATTTCTCCAATGAATTACTTTGCATCCTTGTGAACAGTCAATTGACTATATTTCTTTGGGTTTATTTCTGCACCTTCTATTCTGTTCCACTGATTTTTGAGTCTAACATTTCTCCATTACCACACTGTCTTGATGACTGTAGCTTTGTAATAAGTCAGAAAATGTCTTAGAGTGAATTCTTTTTGTTCTTCTTTTTCAACATTTTTGGCTCTAGTTCTTGTTTTCTTACCTTTTTTGTATGAAAGTTAGAATTGGGTTTCTATGTCTACAAAAAAAAAAAAAATGGAAAAAGAATCCAGTAGAGTCTGGAGGCATCTAGATTTAAGCTTCCAAAGTTCTCCCTATTGAGAGTGGTAGGCACAAAGAACACACTTCTTCCAGCAGTGAATTGTAGTAATGCATGTGCATTGTTTCTATCTAGAAAGCCCCCTTAAGACTTAAGAGTTTTTTTATTAAGGGTTGGTCATGTAGGCACATGGTACCTGCATGACTAGCCATAACTAGTAAAATACTTGACTCCAAGAAAGAGAACAGGTCTTTATAATAAATCACAGTGTTTCTACAAAAGACCTAGATTAAGCTGGTATGTCAGGGTTTTGTGCCCAAAACAGGCAAAATAACCATGTTACATGGGAACACCCCAAAGGCCAAGTTTTTACATGCCAGCTGAAGGCCAGCTCTGCAGTCAGGCTCCCCAAAAGATAGCAGAAGGGCTGCTCAACTCTTTCCTGAAAAATATAGGGCTATTCCAGTTGTCTCTTTCTACTTCAGTGAATTTTGGTAGTTTGTATGTTTCAAGGAAATCATCAATTTCTTTTAATTCGTCAACGTTATTATCAGAGATTTGCTTATAGTATTCCTTTATTATCCTTTTAGCATCTGTGGGATCCATTGGGATAGCTCTTCTTGTACTTTGTGCTTGGACTGGCTGGAAAATTATCAATTTTAAAGTTTCTACTTTTATTGATTTTACTCTGTTTTCAATATCATTGATTTCTGTCTCAATTATATCTTTCCTTCTGCTTACTCTAGGATTACTTCTTATCTTTTTAGTTTCTTAAGAGGGAAGGTTTGGTTATTGACTTAAGACCTTCTTTTCTAATATGTGTAATTAATGCTGTAAGTTTTCCTCTTAGCACTGCATTAGGTGTATCTTACAAATTTTGATATGTTGTATTTACATTTTCATTTAGTTAAAAATATGTGTAAATCCCCTTAAGACATCTGCCTTGACCCGTGAATTGCTTAGATACGTGTTTTACAATTTCTGATTACTTGGGGGATTTCACAGGTACCTTCCTTTTGTTGATTTCTAGGTTATTTATGGTCAGAGAACATACTTTGTAAGAAGTAATAGCGTCTTATTTTCCTATTTTGAATCTGCATTACTTTCTATTTTTTACATGCTAGTAGGAGTTAAATATTGATTCTTAAGAGCAAATGCTTTTCATAATTTGGAGAAAACAAACCATGGGACTGATAATTTTAACTTAGTGCAAAGTTGCACTCTACTTCCTGTTACGATGATGGTTAAAAGTTCACCTGTGTTGATAAAAGACCTGAATGTAAGAGCTCAATCTGTAAAACTCTTAAAGGAAACATAGTGAAGAAGCTTCAAGACATTGAATTTGGCAGTGATTTCTTGGATATTATACTAAAAACACAGGTAACGAAAGAAAAATAAAAAATTAGACATCATTAAAATTTAAAAGTTTTGTGCATCAAAGGACGCTGTCAAGAGAGTGAAAAGGAAATCCACAGAATGGGAAAATATTTCTAAATCATATGTCTGATAAGGGGTTAATATCCAGAATACATAAAGAACTCCCAAAACTCAACAGAAAAACTCCCAAACAACCCAATTAAAAAATGGGCAAAAATGTTGAATAAACATTCTCCAAAGAAAATATACAGGTGGCCAATTAGAATATGAAAATATGCTCTATATTACCAGTCCTTAGACAAATGCAAATCAAAACCACAATGAGTTACCATTTCATACCCATTAGAAAGGCTATTTATTAAAAAAACAGTGTTGGCAAGGATATGGACAAATTAGAACACTTCTGCATGGCTGGTAGGAATTTAAAATTGTTGAACTGCTGTGAAAAATGGTATAGTGGTTCTTCAAAAATTAAACAGAATTACCACATGATCCAGCTATTGTATTTCTGGTTATATACCCAAAAGAATTGAAAGCAGAGTATCAAATGGATATTGGTACACCAGTGTTTGTAGCAGCATTATTCACAATATCCAAAAGGTGGAAACAACCAACATGTCCATCAGTGGATGAATGGATAAAAAAATGTGGTACCTACATGAAATGGAATATTATTTAGTTTTACAAAGGAATTAAATTTTGAACTTCTTGCGTCATGGATAATTTTAGAAAACATTAGGCTAAGTGAAATAAAGCAGACCTAAAAGGACAAATGTTATGCGATTCCACTTATATGAGGTACCTAGAATGGTCAAATTCATAGTGACAGAAAGTAGATTACCAGGCGCTAGAGGAGGGGGAATTTGGAGCTTTTGATTAATAGGTGTGGAGTTTCAGCTTGGTATGATAGAAAATTTCTGGTTATGGATAGTGGTGATGTTTGCTCAATAATGTGAATGTACTTAATGTCACTGAATTTTAACCTTAAGAATGGTTACAATAGTAAATTTTATGTTATGAATATTTTACCACACAAAGAAAAGTTCACTTGTATTTTAATTGTTTGGAACTCAGAATACACATTACCTTGGTAATGGTATTATTTAGGGACTTAAATTCCCAGATTAACCAAAATAGATATTCTTGAAAAAACATGTGAAATATCTGAAATACTACACATTTGCAATGAAAAACTTGTAGAAAATATTTATGATCTTACCAATCAAAGCATTACCAATCTTAAAAAATGATTTTTACAAAATCTTTTAATGCTCGAAGGTAAAGCTAGTTTTACTGTGGAAGAGTTTGTAAATAATGAAATGGGAATTTTAGGTGCATTCATAGATATTTAGTAACTGGTTGTATTTATTATGTCAAATTGCAGCTCAAATAATAAGATTTTTCATTTATTTAGTATAGATTTATAAGACATCTATATTATAAGCACATAGAAAACTTTATTCTCAAGAAATTTAACCCTCAGAATGAAAAGTGCTGAAATATTGGAATGGAGAAGGGAATGAACATGTGTATTTTAGAAGATAGGGAAGTAGGAATTAGGTTAATGTGAAAGAGAATGTTGGGTGTGGAAGAGATAGAAGTTTACTGAGGTGTAATAGCAACAGGTAATGAGTTAGAAAATTACATGCAATTAAACTCTAAACAGTGTTAAACAGGTAGAGATGATAGGCAAGAAAATTGGGTAAAATTAGTGTAGAAGGTATTAACCAGGAAGAATTTAGTATTGTGTGGACAGCACCAGTTTTCAGGAAAAGGTAGTGGGGTTGTTTGTTTAAAATGTTCACTTATACAAGAGTACTGTTTTGTGTAAGATTTAAATAATGAAGGAGAGCATAAGATTGGAAAATTTTCCTAAAGCTATTTGGGAAAAATAATGATTTAAAAATGAGATGAATAATGAAATTATTATTAAGGATATAAATAAGGTGTGGCTAATAGGTTTTATCTTTATATGCAGCTCCCCTTGGTTGCTTGAAATGTTTGAGAAGAACTGTGGGAGCGTATCTAGGCTTTAGTAGGAAAAAGATTTGTGATTGGTTGTAATGGCTCCTATAGGTGAATTACGGAGGCCGTGCCATCTCTGATCTAAATGGTAATCAGCCAAAAGCAAAACAGCCAGATGCCATGGCTCATGCCTGTAATCCCAGCACTTTGGGAGGCCAAGGATCACTTGAGCCCAGGAGTTTGAGACCAGCCTGGGCAACATAGTGAGACCCTGTCTCTACAAAAAATAGAAAAAAATTAGCCAGGTGTGGTGGCACATGCCTGTCTTCCCAGCTACCCAGGAGGGCAGATGTGGGAGGATGACTTGAGCCCAGATGTTGAGGCTGCAGTGAGCCATGATCACACCACTGCACTCCAGCCTGGGTGACAGAGTGAGACCTTGTCTCAAATAAAATTAAATGAACAAATAGTAAATTAAAAATATAAAACAGATCGGGTATATTGTAATCTGATACAGGGGAAATACAGGCAACAGTATTAGTGCAAAGAAGGAGAACTGCTCTTTGTAATTCAGAATGATATTTATTGGAAAATTTTTACTTAGTAGTTTAGTATCTTTAATACATATAGGGCTATTCAGATTTTCAAAGTTTTATACCATTTTTGGTAGTGTCTTTCAAGGAGTTTGTCCATCTCATCTCAGTTGTTGAATTTATTGGCATAAAGTAACTCAAAATATTACCCTATTATCATTTCAGTGTTTGTAGAATATATAGTTATGCCTCTTCTTTTACAATCTCTTGTATTAATGAGATTCATAATTTGTGTTCTTTTTCTCATTCTCAGTTAGTTTAACTAGTGATTTATTGATTTTATCAATCTTTTAAAAAGATCAGGTTTAGGTTTGAGTAATTTTTCTGTGTTTTTGGTCTGTTTTCTATTTGATTTTCATTCAAATTTTTATTATTTCTTTTCATTGGCTGACTTTGTTAAGCTGTGCAGTGAGTTTTTTCACTTTGTATATATTTTTTATGCTATAGAAGTTTTCTTAAGATTCTTTTTCATTGTTAGATTTTTTTGTCTGCTCATTTTAAATTCTTGAGCTTGTATATAATACATAGTAGCTTTTTTTTTTTTTTTTTTTTTTTGAGAAGGAGTCTCGCTCTGTTTCCCAGGCTGGAGTGCAGTGGCACGATCTATCTCAACTCATTGCAACCTCTGCCTCCCAGTCTCAAGCAATCCTCCCACCGCAGCCTCCCGACTAGCTGGGATTACAGGTGCACACCACCATGCCCAGCTAATTTTTGTATTTTTAGTAGAGACAGGGTTTCACCATGTTGGTTAGGCTGGTCCTAAATCCTGACCTCAAGTAATCCACACTCCTCGGCCTCCCAAAGTGTTGGGATTACAGGCGTGAGCCACCACGCCCAGCCTTATAATAGCTCTTTTAAAAGCTTTTCCTGCCAAGTTTTGTTATCTATGCCATTTCTGCATCTGTTTCTATTGACTTTTCTTCTGTTTATGGGCCTTATTTTCCTGCTTTTGTGCATGTCTAATAAATTATTTGGTGGTGAGTCATTGTGACTCATGTTTTTGACTTTCTAGATTTTGTTATCTTCCTTCAAGAATGGTGAATTTTGTTTTTCCAGGCAATTTAATTATAGATTAGTTATAGATACACTTGATCTTGTTGAGTTTTTAAAATTTTCTTAGAATTAGTATGGAATACTTTTTACTCTAGGGCCATTATAGTCTACTGCTTTCCAAGAGTCACTATTGAATGCCACTATTGTATTCAGTGATGTCTACACTCTGACTGGTGTGAACTTAAGTGTCTCCCAGCTTGATATGAGCTCTGAGAATGTTCATCTTCAAGCTCCCCTATGGTTGTGTCTTGTGTTGTGAATTTTGTCTTTATGCATTTTCAACTTAGTATTTAGCCAAAGCCTCAAGGGGACATCAGTGGAGACTTCTAAAGTTCTTTCTTGGTGAAATACTATCTCTTCGGTACACTTAGGCACTTCAGTTGCCTCTACCTCTCAAGTTGTTGTCTCTGTCTCTTGAACTTTGGCTTCTATGTTCTATCCCTGTCCTTATTCTGTTTAGAAAGTACCTACACACGAAAGGCTGGATAAGCATAGGGTGTTCTTTATTTTGCTTCTTTCAGTCATTGCTGTTATGCATGGTTTTTGTTTGTTGTGTGAGGCCAGTTATTTCATGTATTTTATCTAGTTTTCTGGTTGTTTACAGCAGAAGACCAAGTCAAGTAAATTTGCTCTGTAGTTTCCACAAGTGGAACTGTCTGGAATGTTATTTAGAATACTGTTGGAATAATGTAATTGATTGGTTTCTTATTAATCATGTTTTATTGGATAGAGTAAAACATAACCACTTTGTGTAGTCCTTCATGACTAGCAATTTGCTTTCTTGCCTTGTGTTCTTTCCTCAAAGGATCCTATGCTTTGTTTTATTCTTCTGGACAAATTTACTTTGCTTTTTCCTAATTATATTCCATTCTCTTTAAACTAGTAGTTTTTATTCTAGTTACCTTTCTTTTTCCCCCTTCCATTTCTGTTAACTCTCTTTCATTGGTCATGTACTTTCTTGGCCACAAACCTCTTTTCTCACTGATGACCTCTCACTCTTGCTGAGACCAGCTTGATCGTGGAGACCCTAACCCAGCAGCTCTAGAGGAATTAAAGACACACACACAAATATAGCGTGTGGAGTGGGAAATCAGGGGACTCACAGCCTTCAGAACTGAGAGCCCCGAACAGAGATTTACCCACATATTTATTGGCCTCAAGCCAGCGATAAACATTGTTTCTATAGATTATAGATTAAAAGTATTCCTTACGGGAAAAAAGGGATGGGCCGAAACAAAGGGATGGGCTCTGGCTAGTTTCCTGCAGCAGAAACATGTCCTTAAGGCACAGATTGCTCATGCCATTATTTGTGGTTTAAGAACGCCTTTAAGTGGTTTTCTGCCCTGGGTGGGCCAGGTATTCCTTGCCCTCATTCTGGTAAACCCACAACCTTCAGCATGGGCATCATGGCCATCATGAACATGTCACAGTGTTGCAGAGATTTTGTTTATGGCCAGTTTTGGGGCCAGCTTATGGCAAGATTTGGGGGGGGGCCTGTTCCCAACATGTCCCCCTTTTTTGTTTCACAAAGTGATAAAAACAAAGGCAGCTTTGTCACGGTGAGCTACTTCTCGCAGGAGTCGGGATCTGCATCTGCAGACTATACAAAGACAAATAACACAGATTAAAAGCACAATCATCATTGAAATCACCCAGCTTCCAAGTGTTTTTATCCTTTTTAATGGGTTACTAGCTGCTAATCTGTCTGCAGCTCCTTCAAGCACTCCAGTTCCTAGCATTAAGGTCAGGTGTGCCTGGGATGCTTTAAATATTTGTTCTTTTAATTTTGCAATATCCAAAGACAAGTTTGTAGAGTGTCCTTCTAGATGTTTTTTTATTCTTTCCATTAATAGTTTCCACAAATCCTTATGTTAAGCTCCTACAGCAGGCATATCATCTGAGGTTGAGGTGCCTCTATACCACCATGTTTCCAAATAATAGGAACTTGCCGTATTTTTTACTGTTTCTACCATCTGATTGTTTTGTTTGGACCAGCTGAACATAGTGTGGCCATGGCACGCAGACTGAGAGGTGTAATTCAAATTAAACATCCCCTTAGGGGACCAATCAATGATTCCATAGGAATCGCTGCGCAGCACCTCTGCCTGTTCTGTAATGCAATCTTCCCAAACAAGTAAGTTCATTATTTCTGGCCAGGTCCAATTCTGTTTACAGATAGGTTTTTGAGGGCGGTACGCCTAATTATAGGAGCAGATTTATTATGGTAAATACTGAGACCAGAAAGCATGTGTATATGTGTCATAGAGTGATTACATCCAGGCATTATTGCCAGCCAAGATTGATAAATATGCCCAATAAGAATAATTGTTCTCTGTGTCAGCCGTTGTTGAAGGAATACTCACGGCAGTAGTGACCACCGCTATCATAGCTATCATTAAATTACTCGTTGTGACAGGTTGTCCGCTTTCCTCAGGTTTTCTTCCACCATCTGTGACAGCTGGGGTCCTCCTCAGCATCAGTGTCAACATGGCTGCAACTGGGGGGTCCTCGCAATCCTGCTAGAATGTCTTCTTTGGCATCTGGCTCATGATAAGGTTTCAGGTGTCTTGATGGTATCCAAATTGGCTGCTGGTTTTGGCCTGGAGAAAGACAAGCATAACCTCTACCCCAAGTTATTATTTTACCTATTTCCCAACTTTTTGTTATCGGATCTCTCCACCAAACCAGTTGTTCTGCTTCTGTCTTTGCAGCTGGTTTCTGTAGATGCTCTTCAGCTGCTGATAGCATCTGGCCTTTAGGCAGGCTCAAAAAATTTGAAGTCAATAATGCTAGATTAAGTTGCATATGGGGTGTTCCATAGTCCCTGTTTCCCCCTTTGTGCTTTTGCAATTGTTGTTTTAGGGAGAGATTCATTCGTTCTACAATGGCTTGTCCTTGAGAATTATATGGGATGCCAGTAATGTGTTTAATATTCCGTATAGAGAAAAATGTAGCTAGAGCTTTGCTAGTATAGCCTGGGGCATCATCTGTTTTAATAGAAGCTGTAATGCCTATCACTGTAAAACACTGCAAAAGGTGATGTTTAACACAGGCAGAAGACTCTCCTGATTGGCATGTAGCCCAAAGTGAGAAAAGGTGTCCACACATACACGTACACAAGCTAGTCTCCCAAACGAGGGAACATGTGTGATGTCCATTTGCCAAAGAGAATTAGATTCCAGTCCTCGAGGATTAACTCCTCCTGTAAAAGATGAGGAATGCACCATTTGGCAAGTTGGGCATCACTGGATAATAGCTTTAGCTTCTTTCCAGGTAATGCTGTATCTGCGCTTGAGACCAGAGGCATTAACATGGGTTAAATTGTGAAAGTGTGTAGCATTAGATACTGCAGTAGCAACTAGGCAATCAGCCATTTGATTCCCTTCAGTTAAAGGTCCTGGAAGACATGTATGAGCTGTAATATGAGTAACGTAAAAAGGGTGCATTCTACTCCTAACTGCTGTTTGCAGTTGGGTAAATAAAGTCATCAGTTGTTCATCTGTATGAAATCATAACTGAGCACTTTCAATTAATTGTGTAGAATAAACCATATATGAAGAATCAGAAATCACATTAATAGGCATATTAAAAGCAGTCAATACCTCAATTACAGCTACAAGCTCCGCATTTTGAGCTGAAGTATAGGGCATCTGAAAAACTTTACCTTTCGATCCAGAATAAGAAGCTTTACTATTACTGGACCCATCTGTAAAAACATTCTCAGCACCTTCAATTGGTTTGAATTTAGTTATTTTAGGGAGAATCCAATTAGTTAATTTCAAAAATTGAAACAGTTCATTTTAGGAAAAAATGACTATGGAGAATACCCACAAAGTCAGCTAAATGGGTTTGCCAAGTAAGACTCTTTATAAAAGCTTGCTGTATTTGTGCCTTCGTGAGAGGGACAATAATTTTTCCAGGATCATATCCATGTAATTTAACAATCCAAGTTCTCCCATTTCCTATCATAGTAGCAATTTCATCCAAATAAGGAGTTATAGAGTCCATGAATTCACATGTGGAAGAAAAAGCCATTCTACTAAGTCCTGTTCTTGGACAATAACAAAATAACAACAGTAGGTGAATGCTGAGTCGGAAAAATTAGCAAATCTAGAGTCTTCTTGGGATCTATTCTATTTATTTGAGCTTTATGGACTTGCCTTTCAATCAGCTGTAACTCTGCCTCAGCCTCCTTTGTTAATTGCCAAGGGCTAGTGAGACTAGGATCTCCTCTAAGGGTAGAAAATAGATTACTCATGGCATGGGCAGGAATGCCTAGAGCAGGTCATATCCAATTAATGTCCCCTGGTAATTTTTGAAAGTCATTCAGTGTTTTAAATTGATCCCTACATATGGTTACTTTCTGTGGCACAATTGTACTGTCAGTTACTGAGGTCCCCAAGTAGGAGTAAGGAGTAGTCTGAATTTTGTCAGGAGCTATAATTAAACCAGTGCAAGAAATCGAATTTTGCAAGTGATCATAACATTGGAGTAGTATTTCTCGAGTTGGGGCAGCACAAAGTATATCATCCATATACTGAATAATGTAACACTAAAAATTTTTTTACGAGTAGGTTCAATTGCTTGCCCTACATAAGTCTGGCAAATTGTTGGACTGTTTAACATGCCTTGTCACAACACTTTCCAATGAAAATGCTTAGCAGGCTGCAGGTTGTTTACTGCAGGAATTGTAAGTGCAAAGTGTTCACAGTCTTGCTCAGCTAAAGGGATAGTAAAGAAACAGTCTTTTAAATCTATGACAATTAAAGACCAGTTTTTTGGAATCATAGCAGGAGAAGGCAATCCTGGCTGTAATGCTCCCATAGGTTGTATAACTGAATTAATGGCTCTTAAGTTAGTTAACATTCTCCATTTACCTGATTTTTTCTTAATTATGAAAACTGGAGAATTCTAAGGGGAAAATATTGAAGCTATGTGTCCTTTTTCTAATTGTTCAGGAACTAAGTCCTCTAAAGCCTCCATTTTCTCTTTACTTAGCAGCCATTGTTCTATCCAAATTGGCTTATCTGTTAACCATTTTAAAGGTATAGGTTCTGGAGGCTTAACAATGGCTGCCATCAAAAATGATAACCTAAACCTTGGCGGGAACTTTGTCTTTCCGCTTGAAGCAGTTCCTTCAAACCTTGCAAATTTTGTCCTAGTCCCATACCAGGGACATACCCCATTTCATGCAACATACTTTGACTTTGAGGGCTGTACAATTGCTCTGGAATTAGAACTTGTGTTCCCCATTGTTGTAATAAATCTCTTCCCCATAAATTTATAGGTACAGAAGTTATAATTGGTTGAATATTCCCAGGTTGTCCATCGGGTCCTTCACAATGCAAAATGTAACTACTTTGATATGCTTCAGGGGCTTTACCAACTCCAACTATGTTAAATTGAGTGGGTTGAATTGACTACGTGAACAGCCAATGCTGTAGAGAAATGATTGAAATGTCCACTCCTGTATCTACTGAACCTTTAAATTTCTTTCTCTGAATAGTTATTTCACGGGTAGGACATTGATCAGTAATTTGATTCACCCAATAAGCTGCTTTGCCTTGTTTATTTGTGTTTCCAAATCCTCCTATTCGTTTAGTTTCACTTTTTCCCATTTCCACATATGGCACAGTCAGGAGTTGTGCTATACGCTCTCCTGGCTCTACTTTCCAGAGAACAGAAGTAGATATAACAATCTGAATTTGCCCATTGTAGTCTGAATCAATGACTCCTGTTTGTACTTGCACTCCTTTTAAATTTAAACCAGACCTACCTAGAAGTAATCCTACCGTCCCCACTGGCAACATCTGACTGGAGACAGCAACATTCTTTAACAGTCCCATTACAAAAGGAGAACCTGGTCCATATTGATTAATCGCTTGCTTAAATTCTTTGAGTAATTTAAAAGGAAAAGGCTCAAATGTAGCTATAATATTTCCCTGTTGATCTCGGGGGGTGTATTCTAACAGGAAACTGCCAAGCCTCTAAATCACCCTCTCTTCTAGCTTGCTGGATTCCTGCCTGAATAGAACTGAGAGAGGTTGCTTGAGGCACTGCTTGAACAGTCACTGGGGCAACTACTTTTCACCCAAGGTCCTCCAGAAAAGAAAGATCTGGAGGGTTAGGCCACTCTTTTTCTTCAAAATAAGGAGGGGGTGCAGAAGGGTAGGGATGAACATCTGCCTCCTTTGCCACTTTAGCTTTACCTGGCAAACAAACCTGCTCTGTTACTTTGTTATACTCTCCTTCCTCCTCATCATCAGTGTGAAAAGGTTCCAAGATGGAACTAACCAGAGCCCACACTTGTCCCATTGTTACCCTGATGCTTCTGAGCTCCCCTTTTTACTCACCACGGGGATTGCTTAAGAGCACTCGGGTGTCCTCCAGCTTAGTTCCATGTTCTCCAACCATTGCCCCGGCGACCTTTCGACCTGGGTTTGAGCCCCAACGTTGGGTTCCACTTGCCGAGACCAGCTCAGTCGTGGAGACCCTAACCCAGCAGCGCTAGAGGAATTAAAGACATATGCACAAATATAGCGTGTGGAGTGGGAAATCGGGACTCACAGCCTTCAGAACTGAGAGCCCCGAACAGAAATTTACCCACATATTTATTGACAGCAAGCCAGTGATAAACATTGTTTCTATAGATTACAGATTAACTAAAAGTATTCCTTACGGGAAAAAAGGGATGGGCCAAAACAAAGGGATGGGCTCTGGCTAGTTTCCTGCAGCAGAAACATGTCCTTAAGGCACAGATCGCTCATGCCATTATTTGTGGTTTAGGAAAGCCTTTAAGTGGTTTTCTGCTCTGGTTGGGCCAGGTATTCCTTGCCTTCATTCCAGTAAACCCACAACCTTCAGCATGGGAGTCATGGCCATCATGAACATGTCACAGTGCTGCAGAGATTTTGTTTATGGCCGGTTTTGAGGTCAGCTTATGGCCAGATTTGGGGGTCTGTTCCCAGCACACTCCTAATCTGCCTTCTTCTTTAAGATTAACTTTATTTTCTCCAGTTCCTTAATTCTCTTGTCCAGTAGAAACCCAATTTTCCACCTTCTCACCATCCTAGTACGTGAGACCCTAAATTGATTTACTTAAAAATAAATGCGCGTGTGTGTTTGTAAAGTAAATCAATTTAGGGTCTTAGGTACTGGGTACAATTTAGGTCTCAGGTACACACACACACATGTATATATCCTGTAAATATAAAGTTATCAAATACATATATTACATTTTTCTGTTTCTAAGGAGCTCTTTCCCTAATAATATTTATATTAGAATCTACAAATTTAATGCCACTTGATCCTCCCAGATTTCAAAAGAGAATTAATGGTGACTTTTGTGTAAAAATGAAGACATATTTATGTACAGTACAGAATGGAGATTGTCCTTATCAGTAATTTAAACTTTTCAGTTATTAGAATTATTCATAAGTGTTTATAAGGTGGGGCTATTTTATTTAAAATGTGGCCTTATAATAATGTTTATACTGATGCAGAAAAATTCATTGGAAACATATATATCATTTCCCTTTAATTTGTAATTTCAAATGTTTTATCCATAGTTTTAGATAAAGCATTTGTCACTTGTATCATTGGCTTTCTTTCCAGTGTTAATTTTAATTTCTTTCCATTCTCTTTTTCTCATCTAATTTCTGTGTCATTTTTTTCCTAAATCCGAAAAAATTCTCATGAGAGGTATTTTCATGTTAGACAGGTTAAGGCAGAATTTTGTAAACTACTGGTTCATTCAGCTCTTAAATTTTATTAAGAAGCGTTTTGTATCTTGTTAAACTATTTCTAGGCATTTTAAGGACTTGGGAGTGTTAAAATTCATAAAAATCTGTTGTACCATGGAACAGTTTCTGATCAGCAGAGATCTCCAGAAAAGTTGCCACTTAAATGAAGAAAATTATCAGTTGGATATAAAAGTGGGTAACTTGATAGCTATAGTTTGTTTACATTTTCAAAGTTTTTAAGTGGAATAATTTTAAGTTGGCATGCTATAAGGGTTGTGACTAGGTAAGGAAAAAATAAGTTTTTAAAAATTGCAGCAGTTATTTGAAGATAAGCATTTGTTCAGCCCAATAATAATTTAGAACTTCAGGTCATGTGTGTATATATATATGTATTTCTTTTTTTTCTTTTCTTTTTTTTTTTTTTTTTGTGACAGCGTCTCGTTCTGTCTCCCAGGCAGGAGTGCAGTGGTGCAGTCTTGGCTCACTGCAACCTCTGCCTCCTGGGTTCAAGATATTTTGCTGCCTCAGCCTCCTGAGTAGCTGGGATTGCAGGCGCCCACCACCATGCCCAGCTGATTTTTGTAGTATTAGTAGAGACAGGGTTTCACCATGTTGGCCAGGCTGGTCTCAAACTCCTAACCTCAGACAATCTGCCCACCTCGGCCTCCCAAAGTGTATCTTTGGTTTTATTCAACAACATCAATGTATTTTACCAAAGGATTAAAGAATTTTATCCTTTGTAACTGATACTCACTCCAGACAATAATTGAATATAATGTTAGTATTTACTGAGCAATATATTTTATGAAAGTCAATTATACATAGGTAATATTTACATAGGAAAAGGGGATTTTATAGCTTTAAAAAGAAAGAGAGTACTTCTAATAACATTGAGCCAGTTTAGAATTTAGTACATATTCAAATACCTTGCAAGGACTAGGTGACTATTTTTTAGACAGTAAGAATTTGAGAATGTATCCATTTTAGTTGTTTTTAGTAATTTATTAGTGACAGCAAGGGTGTTTTTATTATCCCAATAAAGGACATCTATTTTTAAGGTAATTTATAGTTTTAGTCATACTGTTCTAAAAGAGTTAATAGAAAGGGAAAGATTTTCCTTTAGAGTAGCTGTAGGTGGCTTTATCATAGTGGTTAGGAATGTGGGTTTAGAGATCCCAGTTTAAATGGCTAAGGCATCAGACACACATCCTCTCCAGAAAGAAGAGCTAAAATTACAAATAGACAATCATACCTTGAATAGAATATATAGGAGAGAACACCAGAATCCAACAGAGAAGTCACAGGAAACATCTGCGGCACAGAAGAAGGAAGCCATTGGAGACTTGGCTGAGATTGGTTGGGAGCCCATAGGGGCTTGATATTGTGGTGAAAGAGTAAGTGAGAGAACCTCAGCAGTTAACATTGCCACTGCACAGTACTGTGGTTGGAACCAGAGAGAGCTTCTCTACCTTCACAAATTCTGACACTAGCATGAGTAGCCATTTAAAGACCTCACCAAGGCATTAGACTGGACAGGGTACTCACGCTGGCTCACTCACACACCTGAGACTTGAGTGACTGCAGCTGAGCACCATCGTGAGCACATAGCTGTCATGGAGCTGCATCCTGTCTTCGGGACCACAGCTCCCATATTTCCACATCCTGTGAGCCACCACTGATGTCTCCCAGAGTCCATTTGGAGGGCTGTAGCAGCACAGCGCTGGCTGGACCCAGCCCAAAAGTGCTGAAGGGTCCTCAGTACTCTAGCCCACAGGGAGTACTAATCCCTGGAGTAAGGACAGTGCAGCACACCAAAGACAGCCTCTTGTACAAAGAAAACTAAAGCGCGTAATTTCTAAAACCTGAGAGACTCCTGTCTCAGGCTGTGAGAAGTGACCCTGCCCCCAGCTGAAATAAACTGTGTGCTCGGCCTAGCACACAGAGAGTATGATCTCTTCCCCCCGTAAGAGTTATCACTGTGTTCAGGCTCTCACATGTAGAGAGGGACCCTTTGTCTCACTCCAGACGCTTCTGTAGGCCCAGCCACTGTTGCTGCTCCTGGAGGCTGGGGCAGGCGAACTGGAGGGTTAGCTTTCCAGGGCTGTGAGTGGTGACGGCACCCTCACTGGCAGTGGGATCTTCAGTTTGTGTGTGAAGGGCTGGGTGCCTCCCCCTAACCCTTATGCAGTGCTGTGGTGCTCCTGTCACAGAGAGTGGAAGAACCTGAGAGTTGTGTGTCTGGGACTCTGGCTGGTGACCGTGCACTGTAGCCAGTGTCAACATCAGTGTGCAACACTTGGGCCCCAGAGGATCATCCCACTACTACCATCACCCACATCACACAGGTTATCCAGTGACTCAAGAACCCTCTCATCTGCTCAATCCACTGATTCCACTACCAGTATTTGAGCAGGCCACCTGGGTGCCCACGAATTGGCCTGCCTGGTCCCAGTAATACCCTCATACCAATGTACACTGCCCTGGAGCCCATGATCAGGCACAGTCAGCTCATCACTGCCATCATTGGGATCTTAAGACTAGCCCACCTGGCATCTCTGTCTTCAACAAAACATTACCATAGGATCTACTGATAACCATAACCTAAGCCACCAGGGAAAGCACAGATACCACTGAAGCCATTTACAGCTGGAGAAATCATATAGTGATGACACTACTGCACACACCGATAATCAAAGCCAAAGGGGCCTACCCAACCAGCACAATTGGTACATCTTCAGAAAAAGTTCTCCCCTAAGAAGGCAAATTCAGAAAACCTGAAGAAGCAGCTGTTCCACCAGATGTGCAGATATCAATGTTAGGACACAGGAAGTATGAAATAGAATGTGATAATCCCTCAGCAATAGATCCCAATCAAAAATAAATTTACACAATTCTGGAAAAAGAATGTAAAATTAAACTAAAAATGCTCAGAGAGATACAAGAGAATTCTGAAAATACAAAAAATGAGAATTCAGGATATTTATGAGAAATTTATCAAACAGATAATCATAAATAAGAATCAAATAGCAATTCTGGAACTGATGAATTCCTTTTATGAAATACAAAATACACTCGAAAGCTTCAGCAATAGACTAGAACAACCAGAAGAGAGACTCTCAACTTGAAGACACATCTTTTGTAATAATCCACTTAGACAAAAATAAAAGGAGTAAAGGATGAACAAAGTGTTCATGATATATGGACACCACATAGTGATCAAATGTATGAGTTATTAGTATCCCTGAAGGTTGAGGAGAGAATGAAGGGGTTCGGAAACTTATTAAACAAATTAATAGATTAAAACTTCCTAAGTCTAGCAAGAGATTTAGACATCCAGATACAGAAAGCCTAGTGACCCCCAATCACATGCAATGTAAAAAGGTTTCTCCACCCCACATTATAGTGAAATTGCCTAAAGTCAGTGACACATAGAAAATCCTAAAAATTGTAAGAGAAAAGCGTTTAGTCACCTATAAAAGAGCCCCATCAGACTAAGAGCAGCTTTCTCAGTAGAAACCTTACAGGTCAGCAGAGAATGGGAGGATATATTTAATGTGCTCAAAGACAAAAACCCTGCCAGCCAAGCATACCTTATCTAGCAAAATGATTCTTCATGAAGGAAGGATAAATAAAGTCTTTTCCAGACAAGCAAATGCTGAGAGAATTCATCACTACTACACCTATCTTACAAGAAATATTCAAGGGAGTCCTAAACCTAGAAGCAAGCAAAAGGGTGACAGTTACCATTATGAAAACACTTGAAAGTATAAAACTCACTGGTAAAGCAACAAATGAGGAAGAAAAAAAGACTCAAATGGTATCACCACAGAAAATCAGCAAACTACAAGGACAATCAATCAGAAAATAAGAAAGGAACAAAGAATATTCAAAACAACTAAACAACAGTTAACAAGGTGACGGGGAAAAACCTTTCATATCCATAATAACCTGTGTGTAAATGATTTAAATTCTTAAAAGATATAGATTGGCTGGGCGCAGTGGCTCACGCCTGTAATCCCAGCACTTTGGGAGGCCGAGGCAGGCAGATCATGAGGTCAGGAGATCTAGACCATCCTGGCCAACATGGTGAAACCCTGTCTCTACTAAAATACAAAAAATTAGCCAGGCATGGTGGCACATGCTTGTAATCCCAGCTGCTCAGGAGGCTGAGGCAGGGGAATCGCTTGAACCCAGGAGGCAGAGGTTGCAGTGAGCCGAGATCGTGCCACTGCGCTGCAGCCTGGTGATAGAGCAAGACTCCATCTCAAAAATATATATATATATATATATATATAGACTGAATGAATTTAAAACATGATTTCACTATATGTTTACTACCAGAAGTGTACTTCACTTGTAAAGACACATACAGACTGAAAGTAAAGGGATGGATAAGGATAGTCCATGCAAACAGAAACCAAAAGTGAGCAGAAGTAGATATACTTAGATAAAACAAAACCCATAAAAAAAGACAAAGATGGTCATTATATAATAATGATAAAGTGAAGAATTCATATAACAATTGTTACATAAGCCCCCCCCACACTGGGGCATGCAGGTTCATAAAGCAAAAATATTACTAGATCTAAAGAAAGAGACAGACTCTAATAAAATAATTGTGCAGGCCTGAACATCCCACTCTCACCATTAGGCAGGTCATCTAGACAGAGAATCTATAAAGAAACGTTAGACTTAAACTAGACTTTAGACCAAATGGACTTAACAGACATTGATAGAACATTTTATCCACTAACTGCAGAATCCTGTGAATGCAACTGGAAGTCATTTTATCTAACAGCTTTATCCAGTTTGTGGATGGAACTGGAGGTCATTGTGTTCAGTGAAATGAAAATTAGCCAGATACAGAAAGACAAATACCACATGTTATCACTCATATCTGGGACTAAAACACTAGATCTAATGGACATGGAGAATAGAAGAATAGATACCAGAGACAGGGTAAGTTGGGAGGGTGGGGGAAAGGGACCATGAATAGAGGTTGGTTATGGGTACAAATGTATAGTTAGGTAGAATAGATAAATTCCAATGGTTGATAGCAGAATAGGGTGACTGTACTAGTAAGAATATTATATATATTTCAAAGTAACTAGAGGACTTGATACCTGTACATAAAAATAATAAATAGTCAAGATGTTGGATTACCCCATTTATCTTGACTTGATCATTACACTTTTTTTTGCATGTAACAAACATTATCATACATCCCCAAAATATATAAATTATTATGTATTAATAAAAGAGAGAAACAAAATGTGGGCTTAGAGTTAGGCTGGGGTTTGAAGGAGGTTTAGCTACTTAGTCTTTAATGTGTTCTCGGAATAGTTGTTATCTTTGGGCCTCAGTTTTCTCATCTGTAAAATGTGGCTGATAATTGTATCAGCAAGATAATCTGTTTTAGAAGATTATATATATATAGAACACCATCTATGTCTGGAATGTAATAAGTACTCAGTTCATGCCAGATATTGTTATTTTTATTTTAGTATTTTGCTATAGTAGAATACATGGCTCATACTCCTATTTCATCCTGTGTATTTCATGCAGTGGGGCAGTATCACCTTTCAGAATGCAAAAGAAAACTCTCTCAGTATAAGTTGATTTGTAGTTCTCCTAGGAAAAAGAATGAGTTTAAAGACATAACTCCTGCTGTGATACAATGAGTCCCAAGAAGTTAGTTAAATAATGGCTATTTTGGTAAAAATGGTTACTGCAATAATAAAAAATTAAAATTAAAAAATAAAATTAAAAAACCCAAACCAGTAAGTAATATTTCAAATAACTCAGTTTTTACCAAACTCATGATTTTTATAAAAAAGGATTCCAGAATTTTGATTTTATATATGATTTTAAAAAATGTTAGGGTTTAATCTTAGCATATTTTGGAGTGCTTGTTAATTCATTCAATTAAATGCTTTCATGCAAGATTATATCTTCTTATCATCATAGCAAAAGTTTGATAATCCTATTGGTAAATTGATTATTAAGAATTTATTTTTAGGTTGGGCACGGTGGCTCATGCCTGTAATCCCAGCACTTTCAGAGGCCAAGACGGGTGGATCGCCTTAGGTCAGGAGTTCGAGACCAGCCTGACCAACATTGTGAAACCACATCTCTACTAAAAATACAAAAATTAGCCTGGTGTGATGGTGCATGCCTGTAGTCCCAGCTTCTTTGGGAGGAGAATCACCTGAACTCTGGGGGCGGCGGCTGTAGTGAGCCGAGACTGTGCCACTGCACTGCAGCCTGAGCCACAAAGTGAGACTCCATCTCAAAAAAAAAATTTTTTTTATTTTTATTTTTAGAAGGTGTATTCTTCAGAGAAAACCAATAGTGTGTGTGTGTGCGCGCGCGCGGGTGTTTGCATAGAAAGAGATTTATTATAAAGAGTTGGCTCACATGATTCAAGTTTAACATCTGCAGAGCCAACATACCAATTTGAATCTGAAGGCTAGAAGCTCCTATATAACCAGGAAAAGGCAATGTTTCAGGTTTAAGACAATAGGCAAGAAGAGCTCATGTTTCATTTCTAAGGCTATAAAGCAGCAAAATTCTCTCTTACTTGGAGGAGGGTCAGCCTTTTGCTCTATTAAGGCCTTCAACTGATTGGATTAGAACCACTGCCATTATGGAGGGCTATCTGCTTTGCTTAGTTTGCTGATTTAAATGTTAATCTCATCCCAAAACATTCTCATAGAATAACTTAGAATAATGTTTCATGAGATATTGGGGTGCCCTTTGGCCCATTTAAGTCACACATAAAATTGAACATTGTAAAAGGTAAGCAGAAAATAATAAAAGCAGACATTTTTGGCTTCACTTACTGATTGCACTTGAGGAGCAGATAGAAAATGATTCACCTGTAGAAGTTACACCTTCACAGTGTGATATTGCCATAGCATTGCTCTGTATGTTTTCATATTGGCAACAGATCATTATGTACTTTGAGTGTAGTTTTTTTTTTGCTTGTTTTCTTCGCCATTCTTATTATCTTGATAAAAATTAAAATATAAAAGTTTCATTTTGTTTTATTTTTAATATATTCCTCACTCTCAGCAAGCTTTACTGTATCATCTGAAAACATTAGCTATATTGCCTTAATGGGCTTAGTGTGTTTTTAGTCAGGCCAGACACAATGTTAAATTAAGGAATAATTTAATCATTGAAGTGATTGGTACCTGTGTTTTGGACCTTTTCTTATTATTCTCTACCTTTGAATCTTATTGTTCATGGCATAAAGCTGCCTGGTGGGTTGGGTGTCCTGTCTCACTGGGAAACCAGTTGTGATCTAGGAATGCAACAGGTGTCCAGGTAACCTTTTGTTTAATATTATGTGTTAGGTTCCTAATCTGAAACATAAAATGGAAAAGGAAGTCCAAGTATAAATAGTCTTTTTTGGAGGGAGCCTGGAAATAGTTTAAAACTAGTGGGAAAAGCTAATAACTGAAATTGCATGAATTTTATTTTTTATGAGCAGTATCTAGTTTTATGATTATTTTTAAAGCTGAAATCTACAGTTAAGTTAAATAAGTTAAACATAATTGTGAAGGCATAAGCACATAAACATCACAGAGTTAAGGAATCATCAAACTAATTAACATATTACTAATGTTGAAAATGTCTGAAGTAGAATATGTTTTTCAAAAGATATCTAATATAAATAATTTTTCATAATTATTTTAATTCCAGAAATTTTTCTCTTATAAACATATTCTAGTTTCCTTCAATCATGGAATTTATTTTAGTATTATTTCATATACTAACTATCATTAAATAGGTTAAAAATTTGATAATTTTGGCTGGGCATTGTGGCTCATCCTGTAATCCAGCATTTTGGGAGGCTGAAGCAGGATGATCCCTTGAGCTCAGGAGTTTGAGAATAGCAAAACCTTTTCTCTACTAAATATATATATTTAGTATATATTTAAATATATATATATTTTTCTAGATGGTCTCACTCTGTCATTCAGGCTGGAGTGCAGTGGCATGATCGTAGCTCACTGTAACCTCGAACAGGGCTCAAGCCATTCCCCCACCTCAGCCTCCCTAGTCACTTGGGACTACAGGCACTTGCCACAGAGTACATGTAGTTTTTTTAAAATATTTTTGTTGGCCAGGCGCAGTGGCTCACGCCTGTAATCCCAGCACTTTAGGAGGGCAGGGCGGGCGGATCATGAGGTCAGGAGTTCGAGACCAGCCTTACTAACATGGTGAAACCCCGTCTCTACTAAAATATAAAAATTAGCTGGGTGTGGTGGCATGGGCCTGAAATCCCAGCTACTCAAGGCAGGAGAATTGCTTGAACCCGGGATGCGGAGGTTGCAGTGAGCCAAGATTGCGCCACTGCACTGGGTGACAGAGCAAGACTCCGTCTCAAAAAGAAGAAAAAATTTTTTTTTGTAGAGATGGGGGTCTTCCTATGTTGCTTAGGCTGGCCTGAAACTCCTGGCCTCAAGCAGTCCTCCCACCTCGGCCTCCCAAAGCATGACAATTTAATAAGCCTATTTTACCAGCACAGCACAATACCACAGTCAGTCATCATGCAGGCTTAAAATTTAATTTTTTTCTGTATTTGAGTAAACGTTATACACACACACACACTCAAACATACACACATACAAATATATATTGTATGCTTAGAGTCATATTGTATAGTGTACATCCCCTGGTGGCAGAAAGCAAAACAATTTAGCTGCCTTAAAATAGGAATACTTTTCTGAAATAAAACTTAGAGTTTTAATATACCCAACTGAAAAATATCACCATTTCCTGGACTTCATATATCTGCTGTAAAATTATAGGATTATCAAGAGGATTAAATTCACTGATAAATGTAAAGGGCACACTACTTGACACATTGTAAGTGCTTAATATAATGTATGACTTATTCTTACATATCTGAGGATTGCATTGGTGTATATGTCTTGTGAAGATGACAGTGTTTAGGTTAATTTTTTTTCTCCTTAACAAATTTATGCCCTCTTTGTCATTGTACTAAACAGTTGGCTCCATGTTTATTGCTTGTTATGTAGAGTAGGGAATGTTTTAGTGGTGTATTTTAGTTTCATTGATAAATTACTACAACCATGTGGAAGGCTGTTATTTCTTCAGGTCTTTTGGGATTGTGCTTGATCTGTGGGTATAAAAGAGATTTTTGTATGTATTTAATAATGTGATGAGACAGAAATATACTAAATTGTATGTTTTATTCTACAGCAGACTCTGTTAAAAAGTGGATTATTGTTATATACACTTAATAAAAGACTTGAAACAAACCTCCAAGATACTTGCAGGGTTGCCAAAAAACATACTAGCATACCATCTATTCAGTGATGAGGAAGAAGATAGTGGAAGAAAGTAGTAATCCAACCAGTTAATCTCTCTCCATATGTGGAATGGTCAAAAATATTAATTTTTATAAGAAATTTTGTATAGATTTAGCTGGGGCCAATATTGATTATGATACAGTAGCTATCTGTAAAGATTTGGTGTTGATTCTTAATATTGAAAATTAAGGCATATAAGATAGTTCACAAAATGTCGATTAAATGAAGTAGCTGTATTTGCCTAAATGTTCTTTTGTCCTTGTTAGTGAAGAACATAAAAATCCTGTCTGACAGTATAGATTGTATATTTTTATTGTCTTTTTTTTTTTTTTTTTAGATGGAGTTTCGCTCTTGTTGTCCAGGCTGGAGTGCAGTAGCTAAATCTTGGCTCATTGCAACCTCCACCTCCGAGGTTCAAGCGATTCTCCTGCCTCAGCCTCCCGAGTAGCTGAGATTACAGACGCATGCCACCACACCCGGCTAATTTTTGTATTTTTAATAGAGATGAGATTTCACCATGTTGGTCAGGTTTGTCTTGAACTCCTGTCCTCAGGTGATCCACCCACCTTGGCCTCCTAAAGTACTGGGATTACAGGTGTGAGTCACCACGCCTGGCAGATTGTATATTTTTAGAAGTTTAATAACTTAAATGTATGGGACCTTTTATGTGTTCAGAAATACACATAATGATAACTTTTATTTCTGTGTCAAAATTTATTATAGTGGCAATGATAGATATTATAATAAATGAAAAATTATCTTACCTTGACTAATAGTTAATAAAATCTGTTGGGTGTAGTTTTTTTCTTTCTATCTTTCTTTCTTTTTTTTTTTTGGAGACAAAGTCTCACTCTTTCGCCCAGGCTAGAGTGCAGTGGCGCGATCTCAGCTCACTGCAACCTCTGCCTCCCAGGTTCAAGCAATTCTCCTGCCTCAGCCTCCAGAGTAGCTGAAATTACAGGCTCACACCACCACGCCCAGCTGATTTTTGTATTTTTAGTAGAGACGAGATTTCACCATCTTGGCCAGGCTGGTCTCGAACTCCTGACCTCTTGATCCAGTTGGGTATAGTTTTGAATGAACTCTTGCTTGCCTATTCATCCTTTTGTCAAATGATGGTAATATATAGAGATTTAAATTTTTTTGAAGATGTATTGATACTAAAATGCTGTACACTGTGAAGTGTCACTACCATTTATTTAAAATAGTAAACTCAGTATGTAGGTGGTGACAGAACCACACAGTGAGAAACATTCTTTCAGCATGTCATAGTTTGTTCTGCTCAAACCATGAAGTACTGTAGATCTTTTAACAATCCCATTGAGAGAATTTTATGCATTTTAGAGGGAGTACTTACATATGAGTAATGAGAACATCTTTAAATAGACAATACAATGGGAACAGGAAAACCTGTATAGTGAGTGGTAAGAATGATATTAGTTTTAATGACATTTACATTTATATGTATATATATATATTATGTTTGTCTTTCAATCCTGTGAGTGAATTCTAACTGAAAATATATTGCCTTTGGTTCTTTATGGAATTTTTTTTCAAATGATTTGTTTTTGGTACATTATGATATATTTTATATTTAATATGTATATTTAATATATATTAAGATATTAGATATATTTTATTAAGGCTTGTTGGTGTAATTTACTGTTGGTTAAGTATTTCTATCATTTTTAGTATTCTACTTGTAATTTAACATTGTTAGATTAAGATTATATTAATGTTTTAAATTGAGGAATTTAAAATAAACTAGTAATTTAGTGCTTCATAGTAAATTCGTAAGTAGAGCTCTAGCTTTGATTATACTTATATTTGCAATAATTTACATCATGATGTGATAATTACAGTAAATGTATCCTTGAAGTTAAATTTAAATATTTGGTAATTTTAGACTTTACTCATTCAGAATTTGCTAGGATTTGATAGAGCTTGCAACTTAGCTTTAGTTTATCTGTTATAAGAGGGTAAGATTAATTGAGAAGATATATATCAGATTAAGAAAAAATTTCATTATTAAATATAAAATTTAGGGGCTTTGTAGGGTATGATTTATATAGTTAGAAAAAAGTTCTATAATTGATGTTTTAATTCTGGGAATCTGAAATTTTAGATTGGAATTTCTAGGTACATACGAATTTAGTATGGCACACCTTACTGAACTTTTACAATAGTATATGGTATCATTTCTGTTTCTTCATTTTAGTTATTTAAAATTAAACTTTTTATTTTGAGATAATTGTAGATTCAAAGGTAGTTGCAAGTAATAATACAGACAGATCCTGTGTATCCTTTATCTAGTTACCCCCAATGGTAAGAGGTTGTAAAATTATAGTACACTATTAAAATTAGAATATTAACATTGATAACATCCATTGATTTTGTGAAGATTTCTGCACTTGAACTTGTGTGTTTGTTTAGTGTTTAGTTCTTTTTTTCTCACATACGGTTTCATGTATCTACTACACCAGTCAAGACACATAACAGTTCTATTACCATGAAATTCCTTGTGTTGCTTCCCCTTTTATAGCCTCCACCAACTCTTCTCTCATATTCTCTACCTCTTTCCCTATCCCATGGCAAACACTGATTTGTTCTTTCTTTCTATTGTTTTGACATTTTAAGAATGTTAAATGGATGGATTACAATATGTAATATTTGGTATTGATCTTTTTTACTCAAACATAATTCCATGAAGATTCATCCATGTTGTTGCATTCATTAGTAGTTATTAGCTCTTTATTGATAAGAGTATTCCATGGTGTGGATGTACCAGTTTCTTTAATAGTCACCCATTGAAGGACATCTGAGTTGTCTCCAGTTTTGGGCTATTAAAAATAAAGCTTCTGTGAACATTTATATACAGAATTTTGCGTGAACACATGTTTTCATTTCTCTGGAATAAATGCCCAAGAGCATAATTGCTGTGTCATTATGGTAATTGTGTGTTTAATTTTTTAAAGAAACTGATAAACTGTTTTCCAGAGTATCTGTACAATTTTACATTGTCATCAGAAATGTATGAATGATTCACTTTCTCCATATTCTTATCAGTCTTTGTTGTTGTCACTGTTTTTAAATTTTAGCCATTCTGATGGTCCTGTAGTGATAATCTCCTGTGGTTTACATTTGCATTTCCTTGTTGGCTAATATGTTGAACACCATTTTGTGTGCTTATTTGCCATCTGTATGTCATCTTCCATGAAATGTCCATTCCTGCCTTCTGTCATTTTCTAATTGGATTGTTTGTAGTTTTACTGTCAAGCGTTGAGTGTTTTCCTTACGGTTTGTAGTTTATCTGTTCATCCTCTTAACAGGCTCTTTTGCATAGCAAAAGTTTTTAATTTTGATGAGGTGCAATGTATCTAATGTTAGGGATCTTGCTTTTGATGTCAATCCTAGCCTTAGATTCTAAAGATTTTCTTCTACTTTTTTTTTAAGTTTTATGTTTTATATTTAGACCTGTGATACATTTTTTAGTTTTTATATATGCTGTGAGGTTTAAGTGGAAGTTTATTTTTTTGCCTATGAATGTCCAAATGCTCCATCACTATTTGTTGAAAAGGTTATATTTCCTATATTGAATTATACTTTTAAGCTTCTAAAAAATCTGTGAGCCATTATTTGCTTGGTCCATTTCTGCGTTCTGTATTCTGTTCTATTGATCTATGTTTTTGTCCATCTACAGTACCACACTGTATTTATTGTTGTAGTTATATGTAGACTTTAATATTAAGTAGAGTGAGTCCTTTCATTTGTTCTTCTTTTATAAGATTGTTTTAGCTGTTCTAGAAGTAGCTGTTCTACAAATTATTATTTTCTTAAATTATTGTGACCATGAAGTGAGAAAAGCACTACAAATTAGAATAAGCTTCCCTATGTCTACAAAAAGAAAAAACCTTGATGGGATTATAATAGGAATTAAATTAAACTTATATATCAATTTAGGGAAAATTAATATCTTCAGTATGTTGAGTCTTCTAATCTATGAACATAAACTGTGTCTCCATTTATTTAGGTTGTCTGATTTCTTTCATCAACATTTTATACTTTTGAGTATATAACTCTTGTTTATGTTTTGTTAAGTAATTGTCTTAGGAGTAATTATAATTTCTTTGGAGTATTTTAATTTCTGTTTTCACATGTTAATTGTTAGCATTTATAAACAGCTTGATTTTTGTGTGTCAATCTTGTATCCTGTAACTATTTCACTCTTATTATTATATTTTATATTATACTTTAAGTTCTAGGGTACATGTGCACAACGTGCAGGTGTGTTACATATATATACAAGTGCCATGTTGGTTTGCTGCACCCATTAACTCGTCATTTACATTAGATTTCTCCTAATGCTATCCCTCCCGCATGCCCCCACCCCATGACAGGCCCTGGTGTATGATGTTTCCCACCCTGTGTCCAAGTGTTCTCATTGTTCAGTTCCCACCTATGAGTGAGAACATGCAGTGTTTGGTTTTCTGTCCTTGTGATAGTTTGCTCAGAATAATAGTTTCCAGCTTTATCCATGTCCCTACAAAGGACATGAACTCATCATTTTTTATGGCTGCATAGTATTCTATGGTGTATTTGTGCCATATTTTCTTAATCCAGTCTATCATTGATGGACATTTGGGTTGATTCCAAGTCTTTGCTATTGTGAATAGTGCTGCAGTAAACATACGTGTGCATGTGTCTTTATAGTAGCATGATTTATAATCCTTTGGGTATATACCCAGTAATGGGATTGCTGGGTCAAATGGTATTTCCAGTTCTAGATCCTTGAGGAATCGCCACACTATCTTCCACAATGGTTGAACTCCCACCAACAGTGTCTTGCCCATGCCTGTGTCCTGAATGGTATGGCCTAGGTTTTCTTCTAGGGTTCACTCTGTTATTTTTTTCCAGGAGGCTTTTGTAGATTCTTTGTGATTTTCTATGCAGACAGTAATGTCATTAGCAAGTAGGAACAGTTATATTTTGTTTGTTTCCAATATGTGTGCTTTTTATTTCTTTTTCTTATGGTGGTGTACTAGCTAGAACTTCCAGTAAGTAGTATGTTGAGAAAGAGTGGGGAGAGTGGATATCTTTGCCTTGTTACTAATTTTAGAGGTAAAGCATTTAGTCTTCTATCATTATGAATAATTTTAGCTGTCATTTTTTGGTTGTTGGGAAAGTTTCCCTTGATGAAATAATGTTGGATTTTGTCAGATTTTTTTTTCTGCCTCAATTGATATGTTCATACTATTTTTCTTCTTTAGCTTGTTGATGTGATTGTTTGCATTGCTTTATTTTTGAATGTTGAACCGTGTTGCACATGTGGAATAACTCCCACTTTTTTAGGATATGTAATTATTTTTATATATGGTTGAATTTGATATGCTAATTTTTGTGTAGGTATTTTATGTCTGTATTTGTGAGAGAAGATGGTCTGCAATAATCTTTTTCTGTCTGGTTTTAGTTTCAGTTTATATTTGCCTGATAAAATGGGAAGCATTTTCTCATCTTTTTTTTAATAGATTGTGAAAATGGGTGTAATTCTTTTTTTTTTTTTTTTTTTTTTTTTTGAGACAGAGTCTCTCTCTCGGTCACCCAGGCTGGAGTGCAATGGCATGGTCTCGGCTCACTGAAACCTCTGCCTCCCAGGTTCAAGCGATTCTCCTGCGTCAGCCTCCCAAATAGCTGGGACTACGGGCACGTGCCACCACACCCAGCTAATTTTTTTATTTTTAATGGAGACAGGGTTTCACTATGTTGGCCAGGCTTGTCTCAAACTCCTGACCTCGTGATCCACCCACCTCGGCCTCCCAAAGTGCTGGGATTACAGGCGTGAGCTGCTGCGCCTGGCAATTCTTTTTTAAAAGTTTACTTGAATTCTCCACCCAACCAGTTAGGCCTAGAGAATTTTGAATTCTCCACTTAAACCAATTAGGCCTAGATAATTGTTTTGGAATTGGGGGGAGCTATAAAATTATGAATTCAATTTTTAACATTGTTATAGGACAGTTCATATTATCCATTTCACACTGGTTGTATTTTGGTACTGTGTGGTTTTCAAGGAATTGGCTTGTTTCTTCTAACTTGTCAGATTCGTAAGTCTAAAGTTGTTTGTAGTATTCCCTTTTTAATCTTTTAGTAGATGCAGGATTTGTGGTAATGTCGTTTTTTTCATTCCTGGTGTTTGTGATTTGTGTCTTTTCTCTATTTTTGTTAGTTTTTCATTCCTGGCGTTTGTGATTTGTGTCTTTTCTCTATTTTTGTTATTCTTCCTGTAGGTTTATCTATTTTATTCATCTGTTTTCAAAGAACCAGTTCTTTTATGGATTTTCTCTACTATTTTCCTACTTTAAATTCTGTGTCTTATCTTTATGATTTCCTTCCATCTACCTGCTTAGGTTTATTTGCTTTTTTTCTACTTTCTTGAGATAAGAACTTAGATCATTTATTTAAGACTTTTTTTTCTAATGTAAGCATGTAGTGATATGAGTTTCTTTTTCCTCTTGATTTTAGCTGCATCAAACATATTTTGGTGTGTTGTCTTTTTATTTTCATTCAGTTTTATGAGTTTTAGACTTTCTTTGTAACTTCTTTGACCCATGGATTATTTAGAAGTGTGCTTAGAGATTTTCTCATTATCTTTCTGTTATTGATTAATAGTTTGATTCAATTATGGTTAGATAACATGTTCTATATTGATTTAACTCTTTGAAATATGTTGAGATTTGTTTCATGGCTCAGGACGTGGTCTATCTTAGTGAATATTCAATGGGTACTTTTTTCTGGTGTAGTATTTGTATGTTTTAATTTGATTTTGTTGAGTGTGTTGTTCAGATTTTCTATATTCTTGATGATTTTCTCACTAGTACTTTTTTTGAGACGGAGTTTTGCTCCTGTTGTCCAGGCTGGAATGCAATGGCGTGATCTCAGCTCACCGCAACCTCCGCCTCCCAGGTTCAAGTGATTCTCCTGCCTCAGCTTCCCAAGTAGATGGGATTACAGGCATGCGCCATCATGCCCAGCTAATTTTTAAATATTTTTTTAGTAGAGGTGGGGTTTCTCCATGTTGGTCAGGCTGGTCTCGAACTCCCGACTTCAGGTGATCCACCTGCCTCGGCCTCCCAAAGTGTTGGGATTACAGGCGTGAGCCACCGTACCCGGCCACTAGTACTTTCATCAATTGTTGAGATAGGGCTTTTGAAATCCCCATGTATAGTTGTGGATATATCAATTTTTTTTCCAGCTCTATCAGTTTTGCTTTATGTATTCGAGACTCTGTTTTTGGTTGTTTGTATTTACAGGATTCCTATGTCTTCCTAGTAGATTGCTCCTTTGATCATTATATAATATCTTTTCTCATGTTTAGTAATTTTCTTTGCTCTGAAATTCACCTTATCTGATATTAATACAGCTCCTTCTGCTTTCTATTAATATTCCATGTTATATATTTTTCACTCTTTTGCTTTCAAAGGATTACCTTCACGTGTTTTTATGTACTCTGCCCAACTTTGCCCCTTTAAATGGTATATTTCAACAATTTTCATTTAATTATGAATATGTTACAGCTTTTCTTCCATTTTATTTATTGTTTTCTGTTTATTTTCCTCTATTTCTCATTTCTCTCATTCTTTCTTTTTGCCTTCCTGTGTATACTAGAACATTTTTTCAGATTCCACCTTGCTTCATATATATGTTTTTTTGTTTTGTTTTCTTTTTCTTTTGAGACAGAGTCTTGCTCTGTCACTCAGGCTGGAGTGCAGCAGTGTGATCTCGGCCTACTGCAGCCTCTGCCTCCCAGATATAAGCAGTTCTCCTGTCTCAGCCTCCCTAGTAGCTAGGACTACAGGCACACGTCACCACGCCTGGCTAATTTTTGTATTTTTGTAGAGACTGGATTTTGCCATGTCGATCAGACTGGTCTTGAACTCCTGACCTCAAGTGATCCACCTGCCTTGGCCTCCCAAAGTGTTGGAATTACAGCGTGAGCCACCACATTCGGCCAGATTAAAATATATAGTATTTTTGACTATATTTTGTATAATTTTCCTAGTAGTTGCTTAGGGTATACATACATGTGACTTATTCTAGTCTACTGATGTCATCATTTTATATTTTATTTTATTTTATTTTATTTTTGAGGCGGAATCTTGCTCTGTCGCCCAGGCTGGAGTGCAGTTGCGTGATGTCGGCTCACTGCAGCCTCCGCCTCCTGGGTTCAAGTGATTGTCTTGCCTCAGCCTCCTGAGTAGCTGGGATTACAGACGCGCACCGCTACACCTGGCTAACTTTTGTAGTTTTAGTAGAGATGGGGTTTCATCATGTTGGTCAGGTTGGTCTTGGACTCCTGACCTTGTGATTCACCTGCCTCGGCCTCCCAAAGTGCTGGGATTACAGGCATGAGCCACCATGCCTGGCCATCATTTTATTTTTCTAAGGAAATGTAGAAACTTTATTTTTATTTAGGTCTCTTTACATTTTGGCTTTTTATTTTATTTTTCATTAACACATAATAATTGTATCTATGGGGCATTGAGCAATATTTAAATACAATGTGTAATGATCAAATTAGAATAGTTTTATATCCTTTAACCAAAGTTGTCCTACCTTGTAATCTCTCTGCCCTCCCTAGTCTCTAATAACTACTATTCTATGCCCTACTTCTGTGAGATCAAATTTTTTAGCTTCCACATGTGAGTGAGAACATGTGGTACTTATTTTTCTTTGCCTATCTTATTTCCCTTAACATAATATCCTCCAGGCTCATACATGTATTGGAGTCTGTTTCTCTCGTTAGGTATAATAATTTTAAAATATATATCAGGTGTTCCTGTGTTAGGTACAAATATATTTACAACTGTTATATCCTCTTGCAGTTTTGATCCATTTATCATTACGTAATGACCTTCATTGTCTCTTTTTACTATTTTGACTTAAAGCTTGTCTTAGCTGATATAAATATAGCTACTGCTGCTCATTTTGAATTTCCATTTGCATGGCATACCTTTGGCATCTTTTCACTTTCAGTCTATGTGTGTCTTTACAGCTGAAGTGAGCTTCTTGTAGGTAGTGTGTTTGCATCTTTTTCAAAATAATTTATTCAGTTTATTTATCCAGCCTATCTTTTAATTGGTGAATTAAAACTTTCTATTTAAAGTTATTATTTACAAGTAAGGGCTTACTCTTATCATTTTGTTAATTGTTTTCTGGTTGTTTTATATATACTTCGTTCCTTTATTAATTTTTTTTACAGTTTCGTGGGTTTCTTTTTGCAGTGATAAGCTTTGATTTCTTTCACTTTCTCATAGGTATCTGCTGTATCAGTGAGTTTTATACTTTGTGTGTTTTCATGATGGTAGTTACCATCCTTTTACTTCCAGATGGTAGTTACCATCCTTTTACTTCCAGATGGTAGTTACCATCCTTTTACTTCCTTAAGCATTTCTTGTAAGTTCGGTCTAGTCATGATGAATTTCCTCAGTTTTCTAGTCTGGGAATGTGTATATTTCTCTTTCATCTCTGAAGGATAGCCTTGCTGTGTATGATATTCTTGGCTACCATTACCCCCATCCCCCCACACTTTTCATCGCTTTCAATGTATCATCTTAGTCTCTCTGGACTGCATGATTTCTCCTGAGAAATCCTGTTAGTCTAGTGGGGATTCCCTTATATGTGACTTGACACTTGTCTTGCTTGTTTTTAGAATTCTGGCTTTGACTTTTGACAGTTTGACTATATTCTGCTTCAGAGAAGATATTTTTGGGTTCAGTCTATTTGGCCTTTAAGCTTTATGAATCTGGATGTCCATATCTTTCCCCAGACTTCTCAGCTATTATTTCATTAAACATGTTTTCTGTGCCCTTTCCTGTATCTTCTCCTTTTGGGACTTCTGTAATGTGGCTGTGGTTTGCTTAATAATTTCCCATAATTTCTGTAGGCTTTCTTCATTCTTTTTTTCCTTTCTTTTTTGTCTGACTAGATTAATTCAGAAGATCTGCCTTCTAATGTAGATTTTTTTTCTTCTGCTTCATCTAGTTTATTGTTAGTGCTCTCAATTGTACTACATTTTTAAAAATTTCATTCATTGAATTCTTTAACTCCAAGATTTTTTTCCCCGATATTTATCACTTCATATAATTTTTCTTGTAGATCACATACTGTTTTCTTGATTGGGTTGAATTGTCTGTGTATTCCCTTGTATCTCATTGAGTTTTGTAAGGATCATTATTTTGAATTCTTTTTCAGGCATATCATAGTTATCTTTTTCATTAGGGTCTGTCACTGAGGATTATTGTCTTCCTTTGGCAGTTTCATATTTTCTGGCTTTTTCATGTTTCTTGTGTCTTTACCTTGGTTTCTGTAAATCTAGTGGGACAATCAGCTCTTCAGATTTTATGTTAATTTTGTTAATTAGGGATAACATTTTTCCTGCTAGTTGTGTCCTATCATGTTGGTTGAGTAGGCTTTGATTTTTGGTTCTGAGTTAGTGCAGTAGTGGTAGTATGAATTTCCAGTGATTTCTTCAGCTCTATTTGATATCAGTGGTGTCTGTGATTGGCTTTGTGGCCCAGGCTGTGGGTATTTGTTGTTGCTGTCGTGCAGCTTTCCTGGGAGTAGGAGCCACGGGGTAGGTTGATTCTCAGGTCTGGGATGGAATACACTGGGCACAGCGGCTCTGCTGGTTGCAGAGGTAGTATCACTAGGAAGGGGCATGGAGTGCCGACTCTCGGTCGTGAGGGGGTTACAAGCAGCAGGTCTTGGCTCCAGTATTAATGAAGTCTCTGTTACCTATTTTGGAGTGCACTGCCATGATGATAGCTCACTGCAGCCTCAAACTCCTTGGCTCAAGTGATCTTCCTCCCTTACCCTCCCGAGTAAATGGGACTACAAGCATGTGCCAACACACTCAGCTAACATGAAATAAATTATTTTAGAGATGGGAGCTCACTGTATTGCTCAGGCTGGTCTTCAACTCTTGGCCTCAAGTGATCCTCCTGCATCAGCCTTCTGAGCAGCTGGGATTACAGATGTGTGCCACCACACCTGGCTTTTCAGTCTTTATTTCAAAATTGTCTGTACTTTATGATCCATCTTTAAATATTTATTTTCAGTGTTTTACATGAAGAGTTTAATTATTAGATACAAGTTTCTGTATTTCTTTCCTTTCTGTATTTTTTCATTTTTTTTTGTATGTAATTCTTTTCTTTAATGCTGATTTCCTTTCTCCAAGTAATCCTGATTTTCTTGCCCCAGCTTTTACTATCATTAGTTTTCTGAATACTGTCAATCACATTACATTCCCATTTGGCAATTTTTGCTTTTTCTTCATTTTTAGATTATTTTTTTCTCTGTTATTTTCACTTTTCTCAGCATGGATTGAGAATGTGTGTGGTCACTTATTTAAATTTTTTTCATAAGGTGTTGTAGAAAACTGATTTTTTCCTTCTGAGCTGTTATGTACTTGGGTGGTCACTGAATCGTTTGATACTGTAGCTGTGAGCTGTGTTTGCTCATTTATACATTGGTTTATTGTTTAAAATCTCTTCCTGGAGTTAATTGCTTTTAGTCTATTGACTTGTTTTTTTTTTTTTTTTTTTTGCATTTCAAAATCTCAAAAGGCTTTCGAGTGTTATTAACATGATTATGGACATGGCTGATTACATTTAAATAGTAAATTATGTAAATTTTAATGTATTTTAGAAATTTGAAATAAGCCCTTTTTAGTACCAACTTTCAAATTGATTCCCAGACGAGAATTTTTATCTTCTGTTTAAAATGATAGAGATTTGGTAATAAAGACTGCTGTCTTAATTCAAAATTTGGAATAATTTTTGTGTGACTTGGACTAAAAACTTATAAAAATTTAGATTTTTTTCTAGCTTTTAATAAATAACGAACATTTAATGGGCTTCCTTGTTCTTAATAATTTGATTGATTAATTATCGTAGGATATAATCCTTAAAAGTTTGCTTACTGTTTCAGCAGAATTGGTCACTTATGATTAATATTACCTAATTGATTTATGAATGTTTTGTTCATTCTCTTATTTACAGTGGCTATAAATATTTGTTTCTCCAACATATTACAACACAGTATTTATCTGTTTTATCTTTGCCAATGAAGAATAATAGGTTATTTAATTTATATTCCCTCAGTGATGTTAAATATTTAAAAAAAAGTTTTGGCCATTTATGTTTGTTCTTCTGTGAATTATAAAACAGTTCATTTTTCTTTTGGAGCATTCTTTTTTTCATATTAAATTTACATGGCTTGTTATATGCTAAAGACATTAACTTATTAAAAAATACATGTTTGTTATATGTTTTATTCAGTTTTCTTTATATTCAGTTCATCACCAGAATGCTTGCCTTTAGGGGTCCTGTTGCTTGAACAATGCATACTCAAACTCTTCCAGGCGCACTTCCTGTGGTGAGAAGCTCAAGCTAAATGAATCATGAGGGAACTTAGACTCATGTCACTCTTCAGGATATATGCTAATTGAATTGTGTGGCAAACACAGTTGTTTTGTCTTTTTGACTCTCATATTTTAGAATATTGGTGGGAGCTTGGTGTCATTTGTTTGGCTAAACCAGTATATTTTTGCGTTTACATTCAAAATCGGCTTCCTTTCTTGTGCTGATTGTGGCATGTTTTGGTATTTGGGTTTTGTCATCCTTGGAAAATAAACTTGCCTTACCTGGAAACAACCTTGTATAATTTTTGATCATGTAAATGCATCCATCCATGGTGGGGGAAGGACATCACCTGTAAACAGAAGGATATTTAAGGTAAACAAGAATGGTATTTAATCAGGTATCAAGAGTAGATCCTAAAAGACAATGAATGATGTCCTAAGAACTGTGAGGGAAGGTTATTTGTATGTAGAATTCGATACCTAAGCAAATTGTCAGCCCTGAAGACAGAAAAAGATTATTTTTAGGTATTCAAGTGATTAGTACTACATTCTATATACCCTTTGGAAGTTTCTTGAAGACTTTCTCCAATAAATAAGGAAGAAAATCAAGAAAAACAAAGTCATAGGACCTAGTGAGTAGTAGAGTCAATACACACACACACACACACACACACACACACACACACACACACACACACACACACACACACACACACATAGTGGAGGTGGAGGGAAGTTTCAGAACCTACGGCTGAGGAAGAGAGCATTTTCCAGGAAGAAAAGGAAACTCCTTTTAATAAAGCCATGATGAAGTGAGTGGAATGCTTAAACTCATTGAGATACATTTTTCATTTTAAACAAGAAGAATGAAAAGAAGTAAAATTCCAACCCTAAAAGTTATATTAAAAGTTCGGGGAAGAACAACCAAGTATAGTAAAATGAAGCATGATTTTTAAGCAATTGATTCAGCATAAGAAAAGTGTGTATATTTGATCTTGCTGCTAGAAAAATTTCCTTTTTCTTTTTCTTTTTTCTTTTTGAGACAGAGTCTTGCTCTGTGGCTGGAGTGCAGTGGTGCAATCTTGGCTCACTTCAGCCTCTGCCTCCCGGGTTCAAGGAATTCTCTCATCTCAGCATCCAGAGTAGCTGGTAATACAGGCATGCACTGCCACACCTGGCTAAACTTTTTCCATTTTTAGTAGAGATGGGGTTTTGCTATCTTGGTCAGGCTGGTCTTGAACTCCTGGCCTCCTGTGATTCGCCCACCTCAGCCTCCCAAAGTGCTAGGATTACACATGTGAGCCACTGTGCCTGGCTGAAGAATTCTCTCTCTCTTTTTTTTTTTTTAGTTGAGACGGAGTCTTGCTGTGTCGCCAGGCTGGAGTGCAGTGGTGCTATCTCAGTTTACTGCAACGTCCGCCTCCGGGATTCAAGTGATTCTCCTGCTTCAGCCTCCCGTGTAGCTGGGATTACAGGCACATGCCACCACGCCCCCCTAATTTTTATATTTTTAGTAGGGACAGAGTTTCACCATGTTGGCCAGGATGGTCTCGATCTCTTTACCTTGTGATCTGTCTGCCTCGGTCTCCCAAAGTGCTGGGATTACAGGTGCGAGCCACCACGCCTGGCCCAGAATTCTCTTTTAATTGGCCTAGAGACCATGTTATTGGACAAATACCGAAG